>NC_000002.12:55038837-55341867 GCF_000001405.40 Homo sapiens
AAAACTATAATCCAAACATCCAACGAGTGAATACATAATTAAACTGTGCTATTCTTAGCATGGAATACCACTCAGCAGTTAAAAGGAACAAATTACTGATACCTGCAGCATCATTAGTAAGTCTTAAAAGCATCATGCTGAATGCAAGTAGCCAAGCACAAAATGTATGATTCCATTCATATGATTGATGCTTTAAAATACGTAAAACTAATCTATGATGAAAGAAATCAAAACAGTAGTTGTTTGGGATTGGTGTTGCGGGTAGGAACCAGAGCAAAGAATTGAAGGACTGACTGCTAAGGACCCAAGAGATCTTTCTAGGATGATAGAAATGTTCTATATCTTGTCAGAGGTGTGGATAAACTAATGTACGCATTTGTCAAAATGTAAAACTGTTGAAACTTAAAATTTATGCATTTTACTGCATGTAAATTATATCTTAATAAAAACATTAAGGTGAAAAAGGTGTATGGGCATTCTTCAACAAATAAATTGCAGAGAGAGAGAGACCACAAGCAAGGGAGAACTCATCGATAGATTAAAAGACTAATAAATCAAATTGATCTATTGTAATATGTGGACCTTACTCGAATTCTGATTCTAACTGTAAAAATAAAAAGAAAGAAAGAAAGACCATTTATGACATTCAGTAAATAATAGTCAATGTGAGGCCAGGCGCGCTCGCTCACACCAGCACTTTGGGGGGCCGAGGCAGGTGAATCACCTGAGGTCAGGAATTCGAGACCAGCCTGCCCAATATGGTGAAACCCCATCTCTACTAAAAATACAAAAATTAGCCAGGTGTAGTGTTGGGTGCCTGTAATCACAGCTACTCGGAGACTGAGGCAGGAGAATCACTTGAACCCAGGAGGTGGAGGTTGCAGTGAGCCAAACTTACACCACTGCACTCCAGCCTGGGTGACAAGAGTGAAACTCCATCTCTAAATAAATAAATGGAAATGTGAACATTAGCTGGATGCTTGATACTAATTCTATTGTATTGAAGACATTTTAACCGTAGTTTTACCCTCAACTCTTTTAGTATTCCATTAAAATATATACATGTTTGAGTCTATCAATCTTAAACTTAACCATATCCCCTGCAACATATTTCATTAACAAAATTTTAATAAGGGAACAAGAGTAAGTTTGGTTGATGAGAGAGGGTAAATGAGAAGGTATGTTGTAGGTGGCAGTTTCTCAGTCCTTGTTCAAAAGTGATGTCTTATAGCCCTAATCCTTATGGCAGATCTCTGTGCAGTACATATAGCCTATAAAATATAATGAAATACTAACTTGATCTTCTATATTCTGATTTTCAATAATTCACCTATGCAAGCAAAAGCATCTAACAAAGTTTTTATCAAGTTATTTTATATAAAATTTGGTTTTTATACAAAATTAAAATATCAGAATTTGATAAAATAAAACTTTCCATAATTTAACAATGATGTTGATGAATTGAGACTGAAGTTCTAGACTATGAAAGGGATTTATAACACAGATACAAGCATCTTTGGTAACCTCTTCAGAAGAGAATAAATAAAAGTAAATTCCCTTATTTTCTGAGATCAAAACCTCTAGTAGCTTAAAAAAAAAAAGTTGTAACACTTTTAGGTCACCTCCATCTACGGTTGTCAGGGCACTGAGATAAATGAACTCAATAATGGCACCTTCCATTTAGGCGAGTTTATAAATCAACCTACAAAGTTGGGGAGAAAGAACACGTAGGCAGACCTGGAATCCTTAAGTAAGCTTCTCTCTTTCCACAAAAGCAGTTCACAGATCTGTAAATATGTCCTGTAAGGCCAATCACAAAACTCCTCTGGTTTTAAGAGCAGAAAATTCTTTACAACTAAGGGCCTGTATTTTTTCCTTCATCTGCTACCTATACCTCTCATAAGTACAACCTCTATTCATCTTTCTTGTCCTCTTACTCAGCCCTAGGCCTAGTTAAAAAAAAAAAGGAATATATTAATTTTTTTCTTAATATTGAACTTCCAAGAGACCACCAATATAAGCAGCAACTCCAAACTCTTGAACAACAAAACTTTATAAACTTTCTGTATCTGTGGTAACAATTCCATCAATGAGAAAAACAAGCTATTAAAGAAATAATTATTTTTGAAAAGTAGAGGGCCACCTATGTAAAGAGACTGCTTTAAAAAAAAAAAATCCAGTATTTGGCAGCTATAGCTCCTAATACAAGAGTACAGAGAATATTTCTTTCTTTCTCAACACAATTTTTTTTTTTTTTTGGAAATGAAAAAGCAGGAAGACTTAGCTTTCTTTCTCAGTCAATTATCAATTGAAAAGAGAGAGCCAAATACCTGTATAATTCAGTATGTTACAAGGAGGCTAGAATATTTATTTTTAAAAGTCTCTAGTTCACCTAATTATATGCTAAATTTTTTTTAAATACATGTTAATAAAAACCACGTGTTTATGGAAAAATACACAATATCAACACCGAATGTATTTCAATTCTCCCCAAAATTAATCCATAAATGTAATGCAACCTACTAAAACTCCAACAGAGGGAGAGGGGACAAGATAAAAAAAATTTTAAGATGAAGTAGAAAATTATACACACATAAGATAGCCAAGAAAAATATTTATGGAAAAGCCGTTTAGCTAGTATTTAAAAATTATAGCACAACAGTCTGATACTTCTGTGTGAACTGACAGATAAATGGAAAAGCAGAGGAAATATTTCACCCATACTACAAGAATATGACAAAAATGGTACTTCAAAGTGGTTAAGAAGGATAATTCAAAATAAAAGGTATTGGAACAAATGGGAAATAATCTTGAAATATAAAATTATTTCACTACTTCACTCTCTAGAACAAAACAAACTGCAAATAAATCAAATAATTAAATGTTAAAATGAAATCATAAAAAGTATAAAAGTACTTACTAGGAGTAAACATGGGGGAAAATTTTTATGATCCTCAAGAAGGATTTTCTAAGGATTACATAAAACTCAATGACTTTTTTCACTTTTATGACTCAAAGTCATAAAAGAAAATGATAAATCTGACTACATAAAAATTTCTAAACAGAAAAACATACCATATGGTCAAAATACAAATAACAAATCAATAAAAAGTTTTCAAGACATATGACAAAAGGCTAGTTTCCTTACAATGCAGATTAAGTGAATCTACATACATGAGACCAAAAACCCAAAAGAATAGGCAAAAGCTGTGATCAGAAAAAATTTGACACCTAAGCCTATGAAAAATGACTCAAATTTAAAAGAACAATTTGCTAAACAATGTATTAGTTCACTAATATACTGTGTTGGTAAAGATATAAGGGAAAAGGTACCTTAACAGGTTGGTGGGAATAAAGGTTGGAACCATTCTTTGAATGACACTTTGGCATTAGCTACCAACATTTTAAATGCAAATATCCTTTGAAGCAGTAATTCTACTTGCACAGATTTATCCTACAACATATATAATGGCATGTATTCCCAAAGAAGTGTATACAAGAGTGTTCACAGAAATAGTATTTGTAAGAGAAAAAACTAAGTATCAACCTAAATAACCATCAATAAGGGACTGATTAAATAAAATATGGTACATCCCCAGAGTCCTCTGCATCTATTTTTGTGGAAAATAAAGTGAAAAGGATATACATGTATAAATAAATATTTATCCACAGATTATCTCTAAACAGATACTCAAGAAACTACTAACAGAGGGTGGATCTACAGAAGACAATTTGTGGAAATCTGGGTAACAGGTAGAAAGAGTTACTTTTCTGTGTATTCTTGTAGTACTGTTTGGAATTGTTACCTTGTATACATAAATAAATAAATGCTTTCGTAAGATTTGGGATTTTTATTGAGAGAAGATATTATAGTAATTCTAGAACTATACAGAATATGAAGATCAGCATCTTTCTCATTCAACAAACTGAGTGCCTATCACATCTAAGGCACTGCAATGCAGACACAATGCATACAGTCCTTTTCCTCAAAGAAAAAGGTCACAGCACCTTTCCTCAAGGAGTACACTGTCTGGTGGAGGAAAGAAATCAGTAACCATACCATTACCTTATATAGAATGATATATACTATGAAGAGGTAAGAACAGAATATTATGGAAACACGTGATGAAAGCAACTTAAAAATCAATGATCATCATTCCAAGAAACATAAATATCAATAGCTTAAATATGAAATTATCAACTCCTCCTTTGGGGTTAAAAAGGATGATGATGGCATTAGTCTGAGAAAATCTTAGCATCAGTAAAGCTGGGTCTCATCATTTTGCATACCTATGTCCTGCACTAGCTATCCACAAAGGTCACATTCATTCAAACACTACTGAGAACTATGGTTTTACCATTACAGTTCCCATCCCTAGTGCTGTCATCCTCAGAAGAACCTGATCCCTTTAGAAACAGGAACAAAAAGTCTCAAAGAATGTACCATAAGTATAGTATATCTGCAACATTTACTTCTATTTATTTAAGGGTTCCAGGGAAGAATCAAGAAATAGCCATTCAGTTTATACTTTTATCCTGGGCTAGCAAAGTACCTTAAAAAGGAACCATTAAATTGAGGCTTTGAATCAAGTTATTCTAATAAGTTGCTTGAAGGTATATTATGAAAATAAATGGCGGGGCACAGTGGCTCACACCTGTAATTTCAACACTTTCAGAAGTCGAGGTGGGAGAACTGCTTGAGCCCAGGAGTTCAAGACCAACCTGGCCAACATAGTAAGACCCCATCTTTAAAAAAATAAAAATAAGGCTGGGAGCAGTGGCTCACACCTGTAATCCCAGAATTGTGGGACACCGAGGCAGGTGGGTCACCTGAGGTCAGGAGTTCAAGACCAGCCTGGCCAACATGGTGAAACCCCGTCTCTACTAAGAATACAAAAATTAGCCAGGTGTGGTGGCACATGCCTGTGGTCCCAGCTACTCGGGAGGCTGAGGCAGGAGAATTGCTGGAACCTAGGAGGTGGAGGTTGCAGTGAGCCAAGATTGCGCCACTGCACTCCAGCCTGGGCTACAGAGCAAGACTCCACCTCAAAAATAAAATAAAATAAAAATAAAAATAAAAATATATTTAGGCTGGGTGTGGTGGCTCACGCCTGTAAACCCAGCACTTCGAGAAGACTGCTTGACCTCAGGAATTTGAGCCCAGCCTGGGCAACATGGCGAAACCCTATCTGCACGAAAAACACAAAAATTAGCCGGGCGTGGTGGTACGTGCCTGTGGTCCCAGCTAGTTGGGAGGCTGAGGTGGCAGGATCACTTGAGCCCAGAAGATGAGGCTGCAGTGAGCCAAGACTGCACCACTATACTTTAGCCTGGGTGAAAGAGCAAGACCCTGTCTCCAAAATATAAATACATAAATATAAAAGTTTTTTTAAAAAATTTTAAAAATAGCCAGCATGGTGGTGTGCACCTGTAGTCTCAGCTACCTGGGGGGCTGAAGTGGGAGGACTGCTTAAGCCCAGGAGGTCAAGGGTATAGTGAGCCATAATCATGCCACTGCACTCCAGCCTGAGCGACAGAGTAAGACTCTGTCTCAAAAGAAACAAACAAACAAACAAACAAACAAAAAAACTTGCCAGGCATGGTGGCTCATGCCTGTAATCCCAGCACTTTGGGAGGTCCAGGCAGGAGGATTGCTTCAGGCCCCAAGTTTGAGACCAGCCTGGACAAAAGTGAGACCATTGTTTTTTGGTTTTTAGATTTTTAAAAAGAAAATAACTACACATAAAACAAAGCCAATTAATGGACAATAGGTAACATGCTCCTTTTCAGAAATGTTTTTATAACATGGCAAATCCTTTAAGTTTACAATAATATAGCACTAAAATAGCATGTTTTCTAAACACTATTCCATGCAGTTATTTATCAGTGGTTCCACATATACCCATCACTTCATTTTAAAAAGGATTTGAGAGAGTTTGCAAATCACTAAAAAAAAAAAAAAAAAAAAAAAAAGACCACAAATTTGACACTCAGTTGCCCAGGAACCAATCTGAAACATAATTCACCATATCCATGAGGAGTATACTACTTATTCCCAACTTTTAAAAATAAGAAATGGCTTAACCAGAAATTATTCAGAATCACAAAAATGAAAGTGGGGAATGGACAGGGCATGACTTTCTTGTGTTTAGAAGCATCCACTTCCTGGGAACTTGGACTTTATATTAAGAACTGATACCTAATATTTAAACCATATGTCACTCAAAATCTTAAAATTTCTAATACATGCTACTACGCCAATAAAAATGATCATATAATAAATGGCTTCATGATAGTAAAAACTAGTAATTTTTAAGCCCCAACCCATAATCTGTATTTATGAGCAATATTCAATTTTATACAAATTTTCATGGCAATTAAATTTTGGCAGTCTCTGAAACTGATTTAATAAGCACTAATATTCTTTTCTTTGTCTTTACATTCATGGTTTCCAAGTCCTATCAATTCGTCTTTCATACAGCCTCTTCGTAAACTAACTATAAAAACAGATTCACAGCCAATTAAAGAAAGCGTGCTTCTTATACTCTTATATTCCTCCCTTCTATTCCATTTTCACTGAATGAACAAATAATGAAATAGTTCAGGCCCTACTCATCTTTCTCAGAACTACTGTAATAGCTTTCTAAATAATTCATCTGCTTTTCCTTCCCACCTATCTTGAATATTGTCACCAATTTTCTAATACTGCTTTCACGGTGCCTTGCCTCAGTTCAAATAACCTTCAATGGCTGTCTTCCCAAAGCCAAAAGCTCTAATTCGAGAAGGGGTGAAAAACAATAACTTTAGAAACAACAATTAAAAAAAACAATTTTGGTTTCATAATATAAATTACCAAAAGCAAGGGCAACTGGATAGCAGAGCATGGATTAAAGTGGAATGATAAAATCCAAATTCCTTAATTTGGCATTCAGTATCTTTCAGAATCCAGATCTACATATTTTCGGTCTTAATTAACCTTGGTTTAGAACATGTCCAGAGACCAGTTCGAAGTCACCCTTAATTATGTTTGCACTGCTCTCAAATCGATTTCTAGCCAGAGTTTTCTGCGCATATCCTCAAAGCCTAACTTAACCAACCACTAAGCCAAGTATTTTCCCATGAAAAATGGCCCTCAAGTGAGAGGTTTTAGTCTCACTTCAGTTACTGCATTGCGATGGAGATGCTCTGGGCACAACAGCAAACAGTAAAATTACAACTTATTAACAGATGAAAATCAGGGCTTACTCATAAATAACGTAAACAGCAATGTTAAACAGACAAGTGTCAGTGATCTAGAAACCCTCTCTTCCAGGCAGGCTAGTCTATGCTTCTAACCCTGCTCTGCACATTTCTCACCTTTGTCTCACATCAGTCCTCTCAGTAGCCCTGAATCTTCCAAACTTATTTTAGTTCCAAAATCACAATATAATTATTTAATAAGCATATTTTTATTTTTTTAAAAAGCTAAACATTTTTACCATTGCCTGTTAGAGACCCCCAATGATCTGGGTGGGTAAGGCCACCTCTTCACTCTCCCACTAGTTTTTCTCACTAGTCTTACACTAGATTCTCAGACACAAAGAGCTCATTCCTGCCTCAGGGTTTTGCCCTGAAGTTGCTTGGAAATGTTTTCTCTCTGCAGCTCAAATCTCACCTTCTAAGCCTGTCTTAGTGTCACCTAACCTAAAAAAGCCCCCATAAATCCCCATCATTCTCTATGCCATTATCCTGTTTATTTTCCTCATAACACCACTATTCTGGGTTCTTTATTTATGTGCTTATTATCTGTACTCTCCCAAGGGGGAGCATGTGTCTTGCTTATTGCTATACCCTCAAAGCTTAGAATAGATCCTGTCTCTTGGTAGGTAATCAATAATGGGTTGAATTAATGAACAAACTCTTGAATGCATTAAGAAATCCAGACACATTGAAAATGGTTAACTATCCACAACCATAATCACAATGTTCTTACACTTACTAAAAAAACTAAAGTTTCCCAATAGGTATCATCAATATGGAATTAGGGAACTCTGTAGAACAGGCAATATTCTTTCCCCATTGCCTTCCAACCTCAGCATTCCAACACACAAGATTCCAAGAGAGTGCTGTCACCCCCTGAATCCCTAATGTTCAAAGACAGAACTATTTTCTTTGTTCCCATACCAATACAAGATTAGTATGCTTTTGTCAATCATTAAACTTCCTGTGGCCAGGCGCAGTGGCTCATGCCTGTAATCCCAACACTTTGGGAGGCCAAGGTGGGTGGATCACTGGAGGTCAGGAGTTCAAGACCACCAGCCTGGCCAACATGGTAAAATCCCGTCTCTACTAAAAATACAAAAATTAGCCAGGCGTGGTGGCAGGCGCCTGTAATCCCAGCTACTCGGGAGGCTGAGGCAGGAGAATCACTTGAACCTGGGAGGCGGAGGTTGCAGTGAGCCAAGATTGCGTCATTGCACTCCAGCCTGGTGACAAGGGGGAGACTATCTCAAAAAAAAAAAAAAAAAATTCCTGTTTAAAAATATATTTCATATTTTTCTCTTACCTCAGTTTCCCTCAAGTATGTCTTTTTCATAAAGAAAAAGGAAAAGATTGAGTTACTCCTCATCTTCTAAGACCTTTAATATGGCAATTAGTGTTTTGAGTAGTATGGGGGTGAGGAGTCCGTCAACATCAAAATATTACTAAAAAGCATCGCAATTGGCTTATTTTCCCCCATTATGGAGAAGTGAATTGAGAAAAAAAAAAATCAGACTGATTTTCTTTTAAGAAATGAATCACCTCTAACATCCTACAAGGCTATGAAGATTTCCAAGCAGGCAGTTACACTACTTGATTCTTGACCTTTTATACATAAAGGTCCTACTGCTAGTGGGACACTTTCTGTCCCCGAAGTAGCAAGTACTTATGAATGTATCTAATATTATGCATTCTCAATCTCTAACAAACGTGATTTTTTTCGCTTCCAAAATAATTTCCCAAGATGAAAACGGCAATAAAACAACGTGACTAATAATAACATACAATCAGGAACTTAGGTGAATGAAAGAACTTGAAAACTATTTTACAGACCATACATAGTCATGCCTCGCTGAACAGGGGGAACAGGATCTGAGAAATGTATTGTTAGGCAATTCTGTCGTTGTGCAAACCTCACAGTATACTTACAGAAACCTAGATGGTAGAGCCTACTACATACCTATATGTAGGCTATATGGTATAATCAATTGCTCCTAGGCTACTAACCTATACAGGATGTTACTGTAGGCAACTGTAACACAATGGTATTTGTGTAGTGTTTATCTAAACATACCTAAAATAACACTGTACAAAGGATTAAAAGATGGCACACGTGTGCAGGGCACTGGCCATGAACAGAGCTTGCCAGCCTGGAAGCTGCTGTGGACGTGAGTAGTGAGTGAATGTGAAGGCCTAGGACATTACCATGTACTACTGTACAACTTACAGACACTCTACGGTTAGGCTACACTAAATTTATCTTTAGATATATTTTTTCAATAATAAATCAACCTTAGCTTACTGTATCTTTTCTATTTTATAAACTTTTTGGCTCTTTTGTAATAACGTTTAACTTAAAACACAAACACATTTTAAAGCTATAGAAAAGAAATTTTATATTCTTATTCTATAAGCTTTTTTCTATTTTTTTTTTAACTTTTGTTAAAAACTAAGATACAAACGCATTACCCTAGGCCTACACAGGGTCAAGATCAAGACGTCGCTAGGCGGCAGGAATTTTTCAGCTCCATTACAACCTTATGGAGCCACCGTTGCAAATGCGGTCTGTCCTTGACCTAAACGTCGTTATGAGGCACGTGACCGTATTTTGATTCTGTAACCTAAAACATATCCTTCTGAAAAACAGTATTTCTAACCAATATATATGAAAATGTCTGTCTCAAAACATTTCTCTGTGTCTCATGGTAAATCTGCCACGAGTTCAATTAGCCAATTCCTGGCAAGGAATCCACAGGTTTTCCCTTCTTTAGGAATGTCAACCATTTTGCCTTTTATTTTTTTCTGTAAGATTCAATTATGATGCACTAAGAGGCTGGGCCAAGTCCACACTAACAGCAATTCCTCCGACCCTGCAGCTGAAACCCCGGCAGAACTACGCCCCCTCGAACACAATGCCTAGATCCCCTTTCCCTGGCTCGGTTTAGCTGGTGGGGAGCAGTCCACATCACACCCCGGGGAGCTGGGCGGTGGCAGGACTTTACCAGAACTCTCTCCTTCCCATTTCTCCACGCACCACACCACTGGAGGCGCTCTCCCTTCACTGCGGTTGGGTCAATGTGGACGTTTTCCACTCGGCCAGCTCCCCACGAGCACAGGAGGAGGGGGAGGGGAAGCGCAAAGGGGCCACCCACGCCAGCCAGGAGGTGAGGAGGGAGCCCGGGGCAGAATGCAGGCCAACAGACCCGCAGCAAAACTGCACCTTTTCCAAAGGAGCAACCCAGACGGGTAGACAAAAGCACCTCCTAAAAATATCTGGGTGCCAAGGCCTTTCCTTCCTCACCTCGAAGCCCAACCAACCCGATAAATCCACAACCCTGGCTCTCGGGTATATACCCGGCTCCTACTACGGGTGGGTGCCTAACTTCCGAGAATCCGTACGCTGGGCATCACACAGGGTGAAAGTGGGAGCCGGGAGCGGTGCACGTGTTCCCCGAAACCAAGACGGACAATAAGAACAAACCCGGGCTCCAAGGGCCGCCCCACCCTTCTCCCCGCGCTTCCAACCAGACGGGGCGCCATCGCCCCGAAGTCCGCAGACAAAGCGCCCTCGGGGCGGAGAGGAGGGACCAGCCCAAAGCATCTGGGGCTGCACACAAAAGAGGGAGGGGCGCGAGGGGCGGCGCGAAGCGAGAGGTCGCGGCACTCACCCACTGAGCCCGAGGAGCCCCTGCGCTTGGGCGCGGCCGGGGTGGAGGGGGGCGCGGCGGGAGCCGGGGCTGGCGGGGTCCACACGGGCTCTGCCTGGGGGCTCACGCTGGCCGGGGGAGGAGGGGGAGGCCGGGCCGGAGGCTCGTCGTCCTCAGGGAGCTTGGAGGGCGAGACTGCGGCAGCAGACAGCGGGGATGGCGCGGGCACGGTCGACGACACCGGGCTCGGGTCCCAAGACGGCTGCCGCTCCGGGGCGACGGGGGGAGCGGCCGGCAGGGGTCCCCGGGGCGCCGGCGGCACGAAGTCATTTCCGAAGTCCATCAGGGGCGCGCCGGCGGCAGGGGCGGTGGGCACTGGGGCCGCGGACAGCCCGGCGGCGGGCTTCCTCTCCAGCACCTCCAGCTCCTCCAGGTCTTCGTCCTCGTCCTCCTCTTCCTCCTCCTCTTCTTCCTCCTCGTCCTCGGGCTCCCTCACGAACTGGTACTTGAACGCGGGCTGCGGCCGGGGTGGGCTGTCCGAGGACGAGACCAGAGGAGACTGGTCCAGGTCTTCCATGGCTGGAGGGTGGAGATGATGCTGCAGCTGCTGCCGCCGCCGCCGGGGCCGCGTCTCAGAGCCGCGGGCGGTTGTGGGGGTTGGGGAGGACTGAGAGGGGCTGGGCCGACTGAGCCGAGGGACCTACTGTGGTGACGGCTCCCGGAACAATGAGACTGCTCCTCCTGCCTCCGCGCCGGTGATGCGCCACCCGCCCTGTCCCCACTTGCCGCCGCCGCCCAGATGAGCTAGGAGTGAGGCCAGCGGACTCTCCGCCCAGTTTGGCGTGACTCACCCTCCCCAGGGGAGGGCAGGGACTGGCGCGGGAGGGAGAGAGCCAATCGGCTACAGGATCGAGAAGATAGGCGACCAGCCGGGCCAACAGAAAGGGAAGGAGATGAAAGTGGGTGGGGACTACGGCACTTCCTCTCTCTTACCGGCTGGGATTGCGTTCAATGGGCGGGGCTGAGAGCTGGGAGCTCCACCCCCACTTTGGGTAACCGTGAGTTGGGGTGGGGTCTTGGCCTTGCCCGCAGCTGGCGTCCGTATGTCGTTAGAGCACTGGGAAAGGGGGCGGGCTGCTGGCTGGGAGGGGTCGGCGCGGTTTCTGGCGCGCCACCGGAAGGGCGTTATCCTGGGGGAACTGAGAGTGGAAACTTTCCTCCCGGGAAAGGAAGAAACCCGACTGGAGAAAGGTATTAGCGGGACTGGGAAGTGGGCCCTAAGGATTTTTAAAGATTTTTGAAATAAAAGATTATTTGTTCACTCAAAGTTCCAAACTACATCACTACTACTACCACCCTAAAATAAGAAAAAAATTGTTTTTTGACAGTTAGGCTCACTCAGTCTAAACCGCAGCCCCCGAAATTGGGAGGAAAACAGCTGTGCTGAATTAACTAGGGATCTGGGGCCGACCATTTGAAAGTCTGCTCTTCTTCCAAAGAGAGTTTGGGGCCTTGCCTGCTGGACTCTTACATGGTAAGAGAGTGAGTCACCCAAAGAGAGAGGCAGCGGGGAGACAGGAAAGTGGAAATACAAAGATGCCTTGGAAAGCTAATTTGGTTCACGTTACATTTCAGTCACCTTAGGTTCATGAGTCAACATTTCGGATGATTCAGGCTTTCTGGGAGTCAGGAAGCCCCATAGTCATTGGTTTGATATGCAGGAATAAGCATGATCCCCATTCCACTTTTTATGAGGCTGGAGAGTTTAAAGAGAGTAGTTGCAGAACATCTTTGTAAGAATCAGGATCCTTTTATCTTTCTGATTTACCTTTCAAAAATATTCACTGCATGCCTACTCTGGAGGCCCTGGAGAGAAGAGGATAACCTGCTTTCAAGTTGCTCAAAGTCTAAATCTGTGCTGTACCTGACAGGTACTGGCTACTTGTGGCTACTGATTGAACACTCGGAATGTATGTAGCTAGGCTGAAATTAGATGTGCTGTAAGTGTAAAATGCGCACTGGATTTCAAGAATTAGTACCTCCGAAATGTAAAATATCTCAGCTTTCCTGTTGACTGAATGTTGAAATTGATATTTTGGATATATTGGGATAAGTATAATATTATTAAATTAATTTTACTTGTTCCTTTTAAAGCAGCTTCTAGAGTTTTTTAAATACATAATGGCTCACATTATATTTCTTTTGGACAGTGCTAGTCTAGATTAATAATTAAGAAAGTTTGATTGCCATGGGGAATCACTGGCAAATTCTTAGCTCCAACTAATTTATATTACTGTGGCTTAATTTGGGTATTAAAAAAGAAAAGTAAGAGTTGGAGGGAGGGATAAATAGGTGGAACACAGAAGATTTTGGGGGCAGTGAAACTGTTCTGTATTATCCTGTAATGGTGGATACATAACATTATGCATTTGACAAAACCCACAGGACTATACAACAGAAAGAGTGAACCCTAATGTAGACTATTGACTTTAGTTAATGATATATCAATATCAGTTCATCAGTTGTAACAAATGTACCACCTCAATGCGTTATGTTAATAATAATAGAGGAAACTGTGGTTAGGGGGCAGGAGTGAGAGTGTATGGGAACTCTGTACTTCCTGTTCAACTTTTCTGTAAACCTAAAACTGCTCTAAGAAATAAAGTTTATGAACCTTTAAAAAAGGAAAAGAATAAAGATTTCCTGGCAATGTTACTTGATTGGGTTAATTATCAACAATATATTCAAGACCTATCACATTAATTCCACGGAGAACTGGCTTTATTTGTGCAAAACGTTTGTGACTTGCTTTGAGTTTGGTGTTATTTTTTGGAGGGGTTGGGAAGAGTAGGAAGAGAGATGTATTGATGTAGAATTTTGGGGCGGGAAGTTAATGCCAAATGAATTTAAACAAAACAAATTTCTACAATGGTGACTACAAGAGACATATTTGAAGTCTTTGTCAAATATTTATCAAAAATTATAAAAAATTTGCCTGATTTTCAACCAATTGCATAAACATACAAAAATATACTAACAGTATTTTATGATACGACCTTTTCTATTGTCACAGTTTAGCTATCAGCAGTCTTCCCCGCATGCTTTTCCCACTATGACTGTTCTGAAATTCCTTAATGATAAGTTTCACAGGGCCTTTATGTATGTCTAATATAAACAGGACTTACGTTATTTGCAAGTTGTTTATATGATATTTCTGCATTCATATATCCCTGTACCTACTACTACTAAAATAGTCTCAAAGGAGTATCTTTAATCAAAGTTTCACAAAAGAATAATTATAAATAGTAGATTTACAATTTTAATAGGAAATAGCAGTTAATATTGATGCAATAATATAAGCACTATCTGGTGCAGAATAAAAATAAATTTTATTAATCTCAGTGACTTCTAAAAAAATAAGTATTTGATAGATAGATGAGTAAAGAGTTTGCCCAGCTTTCATAGAATGATCAACAAAGCAAAAAGAAAGGAGGCTGTTGCTGCTCTACCACAATTAAAAGTAAAGCTAGTTATACATTGTTGTAACTAGATGTAAATATCACTATCACTAACAAAATTCTGGTGGACATTTGAACCAGTTAAAAGAAAAATGCACATTCTAGATACTAATAATAGTTTTAAAATAATTATTCAATAATTTATATTTGAAAATAGCTTATCAGACGGGCACCGTGACTCATGCCTATAATCCCCGCACTTTGGGTGGCTGAGGCGGGTAGATCTCTTGAGGTCAGGAGTTTGAGACCAGCCTGGCCAACATGGTGAAACCCCATCTCTACTAAAAATACCAAATTAGCAGGGCATGGTGGTGCACACCTGTAACCCCAGCTACTTGGGAGGCTGAGGCAGGAGAATTGCTTGGACCTGAGAGGCAGGGGTTGCAGTGAGCCAAGATCATGCCATTGCACTACAGCCTGGGTGAAAAGAGCGAAACTCCATCTCAAAAAAAAACAAAAAAAAAAAGAAACAAAGAAAAGAAAATACCTCATCAGAAGTAGAAGATTAAAGTTTTCAGATACCACTGGTTAGTAGCTGTTCTCTCTGAGAACACTACAAGAGATCCAGCCTGCTAGAATCATAGAATCTTAGGGTTGGGAGAACTTTGGGAGGTCAGCTTAACCAATCTCTCTTCCATTATCATGGTCTCACTTATAAGCAAGAGCTAAATAAAGTGTACATATGGACATAGAGTTTGGAATGATAGTGGAGACTCAGAAGACTGGAGAGAAGGAGAAGGGATGATGAGAAATTCCTTATTGGTACAATGTACATTATTAGGGTGATGGATACACTAAAAGGGTGACCACTATGCAATCAATACATGCAAAAAAATTACACTTGTACCCATAAATTTATACAAATAAAAAATTTAAATAAAAAAATTCTTAAGAGTACCAAAATGATGTTTCAGTCTCTTTTAAATAGAAAGATTGAATGTAATTCAGAGGTGCTCTTGAACACAGGCCAGTCATTTTCAGTAGGTGAAAAAGCTGTGGTTGACTGCTCTTGAAACAGGTGTGTCTGTAATCCACCTCTCATCTTTCTTATCTTGCTTAACCATCCCTTTTGTGCTTTCACTTTATACTTTTTAATAAGAGAAATATTTGTTGGGTATACAGTCTGCACCAGGCCCTGCTCAAGACTTTGAAGAATACAGCACTACGCCAGACACAAACGTGCTTGCATGTTTTCAGTAAGAGACCTATTACTTGGGGAAATCACCCCTTCCATTTCTATAGTATTATACCTTATTTGCAGAATGCTAAATTGACACCTAAACTGGTATTTGTAGAACAAGTTAATTGTCCTTGAATTATGTATGCCCCTCAAAAGAGTTAAAAGGCGTAGGATGGGTATACTCTTGCCTACATATAGCAGGACGTGAACACCAGAGTGGGTTCGGTAAGAGAAGAAAGATGAGAGGTGGATTGTAGAGAAACCTGTTTCAAGAGCAGTCAACCACAGCTTTTTCACCTCTGAAAATGACTTGCCTGTGTTCAGGAGCGCCACTGAATGACATCTGACCTTTCTATGTAAAAAAGACTGAAATATCATTTTGGCACCCTTAAGTGAAAAATTAACAGCGTGCTAAGTTGTTGTCCCTATCATTTTGCTGGGATTTTAGATTTTATGAAATGTACCATTTTGTGAAATGCAGTTCATGGTTCTGTTCAACATCTTAACATATTAAATCCATTCTGTAATAAGAATAGAAATATAAATGTAAGATCAACTTCTTCAGTCATGTTAGTTAAGCATTGACAGTTAGTGTTGGATCTAAAATAAAAATGTTAAGTCCCAAAAAGAAATCCCATAATAAGCAAGTGAAAGTCATAATTAAAACTGAACCAAATCTTTCTCCTTTAACTGTTTTCGGTCCCCTGCATTATTAGAAATTAGGCTATTTGAATATGCATTGTTTCCCTGGAGAAATTTATTTTGATCTAGCAAAAAAATTATTTCAGATACGAGAAAGTTAATTTTGATCTACTAGTACAAAACCAAGCAGAAGACATCCTATGCTGTCTTAGACAAATAAAAATGTGTCCTCATATGAAGAAAGAAGGCAGAAAAGAGTCCACAAAATTTAACAACTCATTCTAATATATAACTTATTATTTTTAATACTTAAAGGTTGAAGTGTAAGTTCTGTTATTTAATCTTCAATGGAGATAGATAGAAACCAAGTGGTCACTGTCTTTAAACATTGTTCATTGATTCAACTAAAACCAACTGACCTTGGCCGGGCGCGGTGGCTCACGCCTGTAATCCCAGCACTTTGGGAGGCCAAGGCAGGCGGATCACGAGGTCAGGAGATCAGGATGATCCTGGCTAACATGGTGAAACCCCGTCTCTACTAAAAATACAAAAAAAAATTAGCCAGGCGTGGTGGCGGGCGCCTGTAGTCCCAGCTACTCGGGAGGCTGAGGCAGGAGAATGGCGTGAACCTGGGAGGCAGCGCTTGCAGTGAGCAGAGATCGCGCCACTGCACTCCAGCCTGGGCAACAGAGCGAGACTCCGTCTCAAAAAAAAAAACAAAAAAAACAAAAACAAAAACCTACTGACCATCTAGGCTCTGGTGATAAATAATAGATAAAACACATTTCCTAATGTCAAAGAATGCATAGTCTAGTTTACATAAGAATGTATATCTATAAATATGTGTATATATAGATGTATACATGTATATACATATATGTAGATGATATAGATTTATGTATCTATATATACATATATGTGTTTGTGTGTGTGTGTGTGTGTATATATATATATATATCTGTACACACACAGTAGTTCCACTTAATCCATGCTTTCACTTTCCGTGGTCTTAGTTACCCTCAGTCAGCTGCAGTTCAAAAATATTAAAATGAAAACTCCAAAAATAAACAATTCATAAGTTTTAAATTGTGTTCTGTTCTGAGTAGCATGATGAAATCTCAAGCAGTCCCCTTCTGTCCCTCAAGGGAGGTGAATCATCCCTTTGTCCAGTGATCACACTATCTACGCTCCCTGCCCTCCCCTCGTGATAGTCACTTAGCAGCCATCCCTGGGATCAGATCGGCTGTCATGGTATCACAGTGCTGCATTCAGGTAACCCTTATTTTACGTAATAATGGCCCCAGAGTATGAGGGTAAGGACGCTGGCAATCTGGATATGCCAAAGAGAAGTCATAAAGTGCTTCCTTTACATGAAAAGGTGAGCCGGCTGTGGTGGCTCGTACCTGTAATTCCACACTTTGAGAGGCGAAGGTGGGCAAATCACTTGAGGTCAGGAGTTCGGGACCAGCTTGGGCAACATGGCGAACCTGATTTCTACAAAAAATACAAAAATTAGCTGGGCGTGATGGAGTGTGTCACCCAAACTGGGTGACAGAGCAAGACCCCATTTCAAAAAAAAAAAAGTCAGGTAGAAGTGAAACTTCTCTGGATATCCTCTTTCTGTAGTTTTGACCTTCAAATTATGTAACTGTATTGCCTATTTAAAAAGTATTTAATTTAGAAATTATTGTTGAAATAAGTTCCCAATATAGTGATTATGTGTTCTGCATCACAACTCAGGATGCCCACTCTGTTTATTAAAGCAGAGTAAAAAACACAGGTCGGAATTTTAAAACTCAGGCCTATGTAACAAAGCCAGAAATTTTACAATGGAGAATCAGAGGTTATGCAATAAGATATAATTCCTAGGTTTAGGTAGTAGGCTTGATCTCAAAATAAGGCTTGTTATCCAGAAAGTAACCCAACCCCCTTCATAGACCTCTTTGGGATGCTTTGAAAACTTCTGACCCCAGAAAAAATGCACAAACACAAAACATAATTTTTCAATGGTTCATGCATGTTTCAAAGCCCATCCATGGATGTCAATAAATTTAGCTGCCAATACATTTACATTGCTCTCCTATTTAACTGGAGATGAATTTACATACCTGAAACAACTAAATAACCATACAGTGGTATTAAATATCTGCATAGCTTAGCAAGAAAGCCAAATAGGGAAGAAATCAGTGGGTCTGATATGATGTATGCGGATTTTTTGGAGGAGCTGAGAAATGACCTCACTCTCAAAATAGTAGGATTCGGAGGCATAGAAGGTACAGAAAATAGAGCATAGGCATTTGAGAAGAGAGCAAAGTATATATGGGAACCATAGGACACAGGTCTAATTGAAGTAAGGATTTGTGTTAGCAAATTGTATAAGGAAAGCACCTAGCACAGAGTCAGGCACTTGGGTACTCAATCAATAGTAATTATTATTATTATTGCTACTATTAGAGCAGAATAAGGTCACATAGCTAAGGTGAAGCCATGTTCTAAAGGACCTTGAAAGTCACAAAAGCAATTAAGACTTGATAAGTCACTCTATTTTTGAGCAGAAGAACTTGATTGAGCAAACTATTTGGAACATGTGAAGAATGCGTTTGAGAAAGCGAAAAGAGGATGGGTACTAAGAGTAGTTCACCCAGGCCTGGTGGTTCACGCCTATAATCCCAGCACCTAGGGAGGCCAAAGCAGAGGCTTGCTTGAGGCCAGTAGTTTGAGAACAGCCTGGGCAACATAGCAAAAACCTATCTCTACAAAAAATAAAAAATTAGCTGGGTGTGATTGTGCATGCATGTGGTTCTAGCTACTTGGGAGGCTAAGACGGGAGGATCGCTTGAGCCAAGGAGGTCAAGGTTACAGTAAGGCATGATTGTACCATTGCCCTCCAGCTTGGGCAACAGAGCAAAATCCTATCTCAAAAATAAAATAAATAAATAATAGAGTAGTTCAGTGGGTTTTGATCACAAAGCTAAAGAGAACTAAAACTAGGATGGTGGGACTGGAAATAAAGGACCTATTTGAGGGACTTTAAAAACTGGAGAGGCCTCAGGGACTGATTCATGATCTACAAGGGATAAAGGAGAGGGAAAAGTTGGAGGGAATATTTTTAAATTTACATTATTATTATCATTTCCTTATTAAATATTACTAAATTAATCTTCTATTCTTTAGATTCTATGAGTGTTGCACTACTAGAATGTTTGTTCTGGGTAAAGGATGCAAACATCCTTGATGAAGCTCCCCACGGATCTTACCAAAACTAGGCTGAGATATGATGTAGGAGGGAATCAGGGGTTTCTCTTCAGCCATGAACAGCTTTTAACTGAATGTGTAGGTGGTGATAATGTTAAATGTACCACACAAAATCAGATTCATTTTTTTACCCATACGAAATTTCCATGGTGTACATGCCAGCTACCAGCCACTTTCAGGCTTGTCTATGCTTAACAGCTTCTGAACTTTTTGTTGACGAAATTTTAGTGGAAATTCTTATAGTAGAATCCCAAATGTTCTCTTACTGTGTTAAGCCTGATTCATGGTAGTTGGAGGTTTTCATTCTCTCTTGGTGATTACATTGGGTCTGCAGCTGCTGGAAGCAGAAAGAAGAGGGAAAATAAAGTGGTGCTTCCAGGATGCTAAGAAAAATGGAAAAAAAATCAAAGAAATGACAGATAGCTTTAGAAATCATCTCTACAGTCAAGATTTATTTCAGTCACGTGGCAGCTCTGTTAGTTGCTCCTGGTACATTGTACAGTCAAAAATGCAATTCTGGTTTAAGTTTTGGCTTTCTTTTTTGATAATTTTTTTTTTAAATTATAATAATAGAGAGGAGGGTCTCACTGTGTTGCCCAGGTTGGTCTTGAACTCTTGAGCTCAAGTGATCGTCGCCACCTCGGCCTCTCAGAGTGCTGGGATTACAGGCATGAGCCACCATGCCTGGCCTAAGTTTTGGCTTTCAGAAGGTAGTGTGATACCTAGAGAACATGGTGCCAGAAAACTTGGGTTCTAATTCCAGGTTTATCTCTAATAACGGAGATGACCTTGAGCAAGTCAATTCATTTTTTTTTCAACCCAGCCTATGACAAGGTATTGTTTCAGGAATAAGTGAAATTTCATTGTCAAAGCTCTTTGTAAATGTAAAGCACCACAGAAAAATAAGGTATTTGTTGGGACTTTTTACTTTTTGTTTTGCCTGTGCTGATCTCGACATCCCAAGGACAAAATCTATGATTTAGACTTAATTGTTTTTTTTTTTTAATATACTTAATACATATAGTAGAAATTTAATTAATACTTTTTTTATTTTTGAGACAGTCTCACTCTGTTGCCCAGGATGGAGTGCAGTGGTGCGATCACGGCTCACTGTAGCCTCAACACCCCAGGCTCAAGCCATCCTCCCACCTCAGCCTCCGGAGTAGATGGGACTACAAGTACGCACCACCACACCTGGCTAATTTTTGTATATTTACTGGAGATGGGGTTTCAGGCCGGGCACAGTGGCTCATGCTTATAATCCCAGCACTTTGGGAGGCCAAGGTGGGTGTATCGCTTGAGGTCAGGAGTTCGAGACCAGCCTGGCCAACATGGTGAAACCCTGTCTCTACTAAAAATACAAAAATTAGCTGGGTGTCATGGCAGGTGCCTGTAATCCCAGCTACTCAGGAGGCTGAGGCAGGAGAATCGCTTGAACCCAGGAGGTGGAGGTTGCAGTGAACCAAGATTGCACTACTGCATTCCAGCCTGGGCAACGGAGTGAGACTCTGTCTCAAAAAAGAGAGAGAGAGAAAGAGAGAGAGAGATGGGGTTTCACCATGTTGCCCAAGCTGGTCTCTAACTCCTGGGTTCAAGCGATCCTCCTGCCTTGGCCTCCCAAAGTGCTGGGATTACAGGGGTGAGCCACCCTGCCCCCAGCCATAATACGTTTTGATTAATGATGCAAACAAGGGGGAAACTCTCCTGGAATGTCGCTGGCTAATGGATTGAAACTGCAGTCAGCCAGTGGGTGTCTTGCTATCTTCCCACAGCAGTAGTAGGAGAAGGAGATAAGGTGGAGAGTAAGGGGAGAAAAAAATAGATTGGATTTCTAACAATCTCCCAAAAAACACACAGAATTTAGCTTTTTATATTTGGCTATTTTTATTACAAAAAGCTAATTCAATGCCCTGGACTTTAAAAGGAATGGGCATGGGGCAATACAGTTAACAATAGTATCTTGCCATTATTTTACCTTTTTAATGTTTTCTATCTTTTATTTGTTTCTTTGCAGTTCCATAGTTTTTCATACCTCTTTAGTGCTAATTATAGCATATAGTTGTCATATTTCAGTTATACCTATTTTTAAGTGCAGTGATCTCTTGACAGATGTCTGCTGGATTCCCAATGTCAGTGGAACTCATGGTTAATTTCTACATTCCTTTATCATCCTCACATATTCATTCGTTTAACAAATATGCAAGGAGTGCTACTATATGCTGGACAGTGTATTAAGCACTGGTTATGGAAGCAAAATAGGCACAATCCTTGCCCTCATGCAACTCACAGTCTGGTGGCAGAGTATGCTAAAGACTTCTTGGGCTGGCCACGGTGGATCACAGCTATAATCCCAGCACGTTGGGAGGCCAAGGCAGGTGGATCGCTTGATTCCAGGATTTTGAGACCAGCCTGGGTAACATGGCAAAATACCATCTCTACAAAAAATACAAAAATTAGCTAGCATGGTGGCACGCACCTGTAGTCCCAGCTATTCAGGAGGCTGAGGTGGGAGGATTACTTGAGCCTACGAGGTCGAGGCTGTGGTCAGCCAAGATCATACCACTGTACTCCAGCTTGTGTGAGAGAGCACAATCCTGTCTCAAAATAAAGAAGACTTCTTGTTGGCCCCTAGTATCCATTATCCTATTCTTTAGAAGTGGACCTCCAATACTAAAGAATGTTAAGTAAATAACAGTCATCATGACATTCTTCGTCTAAATTTTAGTATGCATATTTTAAAAATAAGAATTTTTTTTTTTTTTTTTGAGATAGAGTCTCACTCTGTCACCCAGGCTGGAGTGCAGTGGCACCATCTCGGTTCACTGCAACCTCCGCCTCCTGGGTTCCAGCAATTTTCCTGCCTCAGCCTCCCAAGTAGCTGGGGTTACAGGCGCACGCCACCACACCCAGCTGATTTGTATTTTTAGTAGGGACGGGGTTTCACCATGTTGGCCAGGCTGGTCTCAAACTCCTGACCTCAGGTGATCCACCCACCATGGCCTCCCAAAGTGCTGGGATTACAGACGTGAGCCACCAAGTTTTCCTACATAGCCAAAATAACAATCACAGCTGACAGTAGTAATAATTCCTTAATAGCATATTATATTTGAATACCCATGCATATTGAAATTTCTCCAGTTGTCCACGCAATGTCCTTTACAGCTGGTTTATCCAAACCAGGATCCAACTGAGGACCACACATCACATCTGGTTGTTATGTCCCCTCAGTCTCTTTGAAATATATCAGTCCCTTTATTCATGATACTGCAATGTTAAAGAGACAGAAACAGGAACAATTCTTCTACAGAAGAATGTCCCAACTTCTCAACTTGTTTGATTGCTTCGTCAAGGTACCAGTTAGCTTGTTTCTCTTCCCCTTGTGATTTCTGTAAAGCTGAAATTATGTTATGACAAATTGATACAGAAGAGGGGCAGGGAAGTGCTGGGAGGAGAAAGGTGGGTCCCTGGCGAGGGCTCCACCCCCGGTCCTGTGCCCATAGACCTAGGTGACGACAGGCACTCCTGCCTTGGCGCCCAAATGTTGCATTTCCCAAGACCCCCTTGGCCTGCCACGCCCCCATCCTGTGCCTATAAAAACCCGAGACCCTAGCAAGGCAAACACACAAAAACGGCTGGACGTTGAGAGAAGCACATTGGCGGAGGAACACACAAGCGGTTGGATTTCGAGAGGACATCAAGAGCACGTCAAGAGCACGTCAAGAGCACACGGACAGGCACTGGCACGCCGGCAGGTCATTGACCGGCAGAACAGAGTTTGGCCAGGGCTGTCAGAGAAGAGTCGGGCCGCCAAGCAGCCCGACTTCCAGCGGAAAACCATCTGCCTTCTGGCTCCTCCATCTGCTGAGAGCTACTTCCACTCAATAAAACCTTGCACTCATTCTCCAAACCCACATGAGATCCAATTCTTCCGGTACACCAAGGCAGGAACCCCGAGATACAGAAAGCCCTCTGTCCTTGCAATAAGGCAGGGGTCTAATTGAGCTGACTAACACAAGCCGCCTACAGATGGCTAAACTAAAAGAACACCCGTAACACGCCCACTGGGGCTTCAGTTGTAAACATTCACCCCTAGACACTGCCGTGGGGTCAGAGCCCCACAGCCTGCGCGTCTGTGTGCTCCCCTAGAGGTTTGAGCAGCGGGGCACTGAAGAGGGGAGCCACACTCCTATCGCATGCCCTGAGAGGGGGACAAGGGAATCTTTCCCATTTCAAAATTAAGGCCCAATTAGACTCAAATTTGAACATTTTTGGCAAGATTGTGTCGCAAGTAGTACTGTGTACTTCAAATCACATCACATCAGGAGACACAGAATATCTGACCCCTGGATTGAGGTGATGACAGCCTGACTTTTTCACTGTAAAGCTTTGTTCTTTCATGGACAGAAGTAATCTGTGCAGAGGTTTTGTTTTGCTTTGTTTGGCACCTTATGAATGTCCTTTATCATTAGCCATCTACCTGGTCATTTTAACATCAATTGAAAATCCTTGCCTGATTCAATAATTTCACTAAGGAACCCTCAATTTTTAACAGTGTGTATAAAATCTCAATTACTTTGAATAAAAACTGTATTTGCCTTCCTGACTCCAGCTGTATGGAATACAAGCATGATGGCTGGAACTGGGGCAACCATTTTGGACTGTGAGGTGGAAGCCATATGCTTAATTTGGTGGAATAGCTAGAGGGAAGAAGCCTAGGTCTCTTATGACCATGGAGCTACCATACTAACCTTGATCTACCTGCCTCTAAACTTCGTTTATATGAGAGAAAAATGAACTATCATTTTTAGCCACTGTATATTTTTCAGCAGTTGAACCAATTCCTGACACAGCAAAGAAGATAATAAAACAAGCATATAATTATAATTTTGGTAAATTATATTTTAAAAAAATAGAAGATGGGAATAGAAGATAGTGGGCTTCTTAGGTGAGGCGGGAAAGCCTTCGCAAGGAGGTTACATTTAAGTGGAGAGTAGAATGCTGAGAAGCAGTAAATTGTGTGAGGTGGTAGGGAGTTTCCTAAACAGAGGAGACTGCGTGTGGGAAGTGGTAAAGTAGAAAGGGCTTGCTTGGCATGTTCACAGAATTAAAAGGAGGCCATGTAGCTGGAACTTAATGACACCAGATGGTGGGGGAGAGGCTAGCAGATGCAACGTCATTTAGGACTAGCAGGCCATAGTAATGAGTTGACTTTTTTTTTCAAGCATAATGGTAAGGGTTGTAAGCAGGAGAATAACACTGAATTATGTTTTAGTTATTCTGGGCCCGACGCAGTGGCTCACACCTGTAATGCCTGCACTCTGGGAGGCCAAGGTGGGTGGATCACCTGAGGTCAGCAGTTCCCGACCAGCCTGGACAACATGGTAAAACCCCGTCTCCACTGAAAATACAAAAATCAGCCGGGCGTGGTGGTGGGCGCCTGTAGTCCCACCTACTTGGGAAGTTGAGGCAGGAGAATTGCTTGAACCTGGGAGGCAGAGGTTACAGTGAGCGGAGACTGGGCACTGTACTCCAGCCTGGGCAACAGGGGGAGACAGTCTCAAAAAAAAAAAAGTTACTCTGACTGTTCTGTGGTGAACAGAGGGCAACAAAACTGAAAGCAGGCCAAGCGCAGTGGCTCACACCTGTCCTCTCAGCACTTTGGGCGACCAAGGTGGGAAGATTACTTGAGGCCAGGATTTCAAGACAAACCTGGGCAACAAAGTGAGACCCTCTCTCCTCAAAAAAATTTAAAAATTAGCCAGGTGTAGTGGTGTGTACCTGTAGTCCCAGTGCCTCAGGAGGCTGAGGCAGGAGGATTCCTTGAACTCAGGAGTGGCACCATGATGGCTGTACTCCAGACTGGGCAATAGAGCAAGACCATGTCTTAAAAAAAAAAAAAGAAAGAAAAGAAAAGAAAAAAGAAAACACATAACAGAAATTTATTTTCAAAAGAAACATCTAGAGTCATCCCAGACCAACTACAGCACTTTGGCAACAATTATTCATATTTAAAATGATAACACAAACATTCTTTTTTTTTTTTTTTTTGAGACAGAGTTTCACTCTGTTGCCCAGGCTGGAGTGCAGTGGCACTTGATCTCGGCTCACTGCAACCTCCGCCTCCCGGGTTCAAGCAGTTCTCCTGCCTCAGCCTCCCAAGTAGCTGGGATTACAGGTGCCTGCCACGACACCCAGCTAATTTTTGTATTTTTAGCAGAGATGGGGTTTCACCATGTTGGTGAGGTTGGTCTCAAACTCCTGACCTCAGGTGATCCATCAGCCTTGGCCTCCCAAAGTGCTGGGATTACAGGTGTGAGCCAATGCGCCAGGCCTACACAAACATTCTTAAATCATTAAAGAATATGTTGGATTTCTATACAAAAATACCGAGACTGTGAAAGTACAATAACTTACTTAAAAATGTTCATGAGTGAGAAATAGAGTTTTCTGGTTAATCTTTAGTTAACAATGAGTCAAATTAATTATAATGTAAAATTCCAGTTAATTGAGACTTTGTTAAATTATGTGATTAACTAAACATATGAATTTTTCCCTAACATAACTTTCCTTTTTAAGGAATCACTTATATGAAAGTGATAGGGTATCAAATTAGATTAATAATATAAATTAATAGCTTTAATTTTCCATTTCGAATGCATGTGTTATATTATATGTGTTTGTAAACATTGTACCCCAAATAAGCCAGTAAGCATATGCTGGAAAGAATGCAAGCAAAATTACAGAGATAAGTTGAGTATGTTACTGGTTGATATCTGTAGCCTGAAAAAGCCATCGGTTCTACTCTCATAGGATGTCTTCTTTATTCAGCATTCTACGGGAGTTTTTTCATATCAGAATCCACTGGCATGCCAATATCCAGCTTACATAAATAGCATTTTACTAGAGCATTTGCTTTTATTTATACCACATTTTCTTTACATTTCTATAACTAAAAGCTTTCTTAAAATTGCACTCATAATCTCTGTGTTTTATCCCATCTGCCTTCTACTGCTATTTGCTAGTGTGATGAATGTGTTATACTACCTCTATGAAGGGCTGCCTTTGTAGGCATATTAACACATTTAAACCAAAATGAGATCAAGTAAGAACATACCTAAGAAAATTAATGGATATCCACCAAAAGACATGTAAAAGTGCTCATGGCAGCTTTATTATAATATCTAAAACTTATAAAATAAAAAAAAAATTTTTCATCAAGAGTAGAATGGATTAATTCATGTAAGGGAATACTATAAAAATGGTTTGCAATAAAAAGAGCAAACCACTACACACGCTAATATAACTCAACCCTAGAGAACCCACGTTGAACAAAAGAAACAAGGTACACACATACACACACACGCAAAGGATGCAGTATGATTCCATTTATATGAAGTTTAAAAACATGCAAAACTGCTTCTGGATGGCTAGATAATAAAAAAAAAACATGCAAAACTAATCTATGGTGATAAAAATTAGAACAATGGTTACTGGGTTAGGGAAGTATTATTGACTGAGACAGGGCTTGATAGGGCCTTGTGGGATGCTGGAACTACTCTATACTTGATTTGGATGGTGGTTACACAGTTATACACACTCATGTAGAAGGTAGTGTGCATAAACATGTATATACGCATATGGAAAATAAACTTTAAGATTAGTTCATTTTACAATGTGGATGTCATGCTTCAATAATTTCTTTTAAATTCAATAGTAAATTATGGTACATTCTCCAATAGACTAATAGAAATTTTTAAAAAGAATAGAACTACATGAATTGGAAGGAATGATATCCCAAAATATCAAGTGAAAAAAGCAATTGGCAAAGTAGTTTGTTAGTATGAACCCATTTGTGTGTGTGTGTGTGTGTGTGTTTGTGTGTGTGTGTGTGTGTGTGTGTGTGTATGTTTTAATAGCTACATGTTTGATTGTATATGCATGGGCAGTTCCTGGAAGGACACACAGGAAATTGTTTTGATAGTAGGTTACCTTAGACAACTGGGATGTGGGACTGAGGGCTGGGGTTTGTACATAAACTCTTATTTTTCAGTTTATTCTTTTTAATGCTCTCTTTATATAAATTTAGCCTAATTTGGCTGGGCGTGGTGGCTCACACCTGTAATCCCAGCACTTTGGGAGGCCTAGGCAGGCGAATCACTTGAGGTCAGGAGTTTGAGACCAGCCTGGCCAACATGGTGAAACCCTGTCTCTACTAAAAATACAAAAATTATCCGGGCATGGTGCAGGCACCTGTAATCCCAGCTACTCAGGAGGCTGAAGCAGGAGAGTCGCTTGAACCCGGGAAGCGGAGGTTGCAGTGAGCCAAGATCGTGCCACTGCACTCCAGCCTGGGTAACAGCAAGACTCCATCTCAAAAATAAATAAATAAATAAATAAATAAATAAATAAATAAAGCCTACTTTACAAGGCCTTATTAATCTTTTCTGCGTTTGTAAAATTGTATTATGTTGAGCCATATGAAATTGTCATTTTTATAAGTCAAAAATGTGAGAATATTGGCCATTTCATATAGTTCAATGTCATACAATGAACAGAAGTAGGTATATGAAAACACTCATTTAGACATTACTCATTCAGAATTTGAAATAATTTGCATGTTCAACATAAAGAACATAACCCAAACCCAATAAGATTATCTATGTATATTTGAGTTTAATGTTTGTTACCCAAAAGTACAGTAATTTAATAAACCCTTTAAAATTGTTTATAATGTACACTGTTCATATACTAAATTATTTCTAATAGTTTCTGAACCTATAAATTAGTATTACAAAAATATAATGAAATTGGAAATTGGAAAATCTAGGGTTAATGTCCAGCTCTGTCACTGGCTCTCTGACGTAAAATAAGCTGCTTGATGATTGCTCTGAATCTCAATTTTCTTCAGTATAAGATAAAGAATATGATACCTGACCTGCAGGATTGCTCAAAGGATTAAATTGTTGATGCATGTAAAAACACTTTGGAAAGTACAAAGCACCATCGAAATGGAGTCATTAATGTTTTTAAACAATGAAAGGGAATAGCACATGTTTGCTTTGAAGGGATCAACTTTGCAGTAACCATATTGCAATTTTTTTTTTTTTTTTTTAAGATAGAGTCTTGTTCTGTTACCCAGACTGGAGTGCAGTTGCACGATCTCAGCTCACTACCACCTCCACCTCCCGGGTTCAAGTGATTCTTGTGCCTCAGCCTCCCAAGTAGCTGGGATTACAGGCATATGCCACCACACCGAGCTAATTTTTTTGTATTTTTTGTAGAGATAGGATTTCACCATGTTGGCCAGGCTGATCTTGAACTCCTGACCTCAAGTGATTAGCCTGTCTTGGCCTCCCAAAGTGCTGGGATTACAGGCGTGAGCCCCACACCTGGCCCCATATTGTAATTTATATTCTTCTAGATCAATAATTCTCAGACTTTTCATCTCAAGATCCCTTTACACTCTTCCGTGCTGTGGATTTTAGCTATTAATATTTACTGTGCTATAAGTTAAAATAGATTTTAAATATTTATTTTAAAATAACATTAATAAACCCACTGCATGTTAACATAAATCACATTTTTATGAGAAATAGCTATTGCTGAAACAATAAATAATTAGTAAGAAAAGAAGTATTATTTTACATTTTTGCAAATTTCCTTAAAGTCTAGCTTAATATAAGACAGTTGGATTCTCATATCTACTTCTGCATTCAATCTGTTGAAATCTGTTGTTTTGGTTGAAGTATATGAAGAAAATTTGGCCTTAAGCAGATATGTGGTTGGAAATGGGAAGAATATTTTAATGATTTTTTAAGATGATTGTGGATATTACTATTTGGTACCATATCAAAACTCAATAAGTAGTAGTTTCTTAAAGGTGATTTGCAGTGTGGAATCTGAAAGTATATCGATGAACATTTCCTACCCTGCTACATTAAAATCCATTGGTCTGTCTTGCACTCTGAATGGATCTTTCACCCATGCATCATCTAGTAACATCATATTGAAAATATCAGTACATAGACTTATTGATATCTTCCCAAGCTTGACACATTTCCTTAGATGATATTTTAAAATCATATTAATCATATCATCATTTCTTGCATCAGAAAAGTCTTTTAGTACTAGGAAACTGTCATACTCACAGTGGTGAATACAGGTCTTCCAAAATTCAAAATTTTAGTTGAAAACCCAAATTTTATCTTTAATAAACTACTGTCAGTTTTTCTTTCCTCAAAATGACAGGTTTACTTCATATGTTTTTGATTAAAGTTCTGCTGAATACCCAAGTTTGAATAACCACAGTTTGTCTGCCAGTCGCTCTTTCAAGTGAAAAATGGTGCTCTACAAAAAAAAAGGGGGGGGGGTGGGGGCTAGTTTGGCTTGCAGCTCAAATAATTGCATAAATGATTTGCTGAAGACAATCACTTTTGTACTTCAGTATGCAGCAACAATGCTTTCTGTGTACTTTCCATTTTATCACACAGAATGTTAAAAAATGGGCACTCAAGGGTCAAGATTTAATTAATACTTTTTACTACTTTGACAAGGACCTTCTTCAGTGAAACCGGCTTTTCTTTTTACTGTGAGTGCATGGAGGTGAAGAACACAAAGACAATTAGTGTACTTTAAAGCCACTGCCTTGATTTGTGCCAAGGCACCCAAAGTTCGCATCACCATTGCTTCTGCATCATCAGTGCAAAATTAGAGAGAAGTGGCACAAGGGGTGGGGAGAGGGCAAATAACATCTTAATATTATTATAAAAAGAGTTTGGACCTTGCAGACTTTCTGAAGAAATCTCAGGAGGAGCACCCAGGGGTCTGTGAACCACACTTTGAGAATTGCTGATCTAGATAATGACTAACACATTTTACCTAGCTCAGAAAAAAACCTAATTAGACTGGTTTAGTCCAGTCGTCTTCAAGAAATCAATTGCTTAGAGTATGAAAGTTCTAACCTTTATCAGTGAGATAAAAGTAATGCTTCTCATCCATGTCAGCATTCTTCTGGAAAATAAAATCCAAAATTACCTGGTCCTCTGTAACCGCCCCCCTCAAAAAAATCAGAAAGCCCCTCTAATACTCTAAGTGTTCCTCTTAGTAAATTCAACTCTGCCATTGTCTAAAAACAAACTGAAAATATCTGCATGGCCAGAGACTACTATCCACAGGGTTTATTGCTATTACACAAATAAGAGTTACAACTTGTAGGTGAGTATGGAGTATAATTGTTCACCCTCCTTTCAGAAGTAGAGTTAACTTCTAGGAAAATTCACCTGTGAGTTTCCTCTAAGGCACTAAGGGAAGGCCTCTGCCTCCTCCACCCAAGCATTCTTCCAAAATTAATAATAGAAGCTGGCAGATAAGCAGTCTCCCAGAGAGGCCCAACCGACATTCCTGGGGGCACCTGCAGGGCCTGCACCTCCACCCATCACCCAATGTCCACGAAGTTCAGTGTTTTCTCTAAGAGAGCAAGAAAAAGAGACCACAGTGGAACTGAACCATGTCAATTTGATGTCAAAGAGGAAAAAGAGAGAAACACAGGTACATGAATTAAGCCAAATGCTGGCTGGAGAAGTAGGGATGATGACAACTGGGGAAAGGATTGAGAGAAGGGATGAAGAATTAAGAGAAAGCAGCAAATGTGGGGTAAAAGATGGCACATTATTGAACTCCCTTTTAAAATGTCTTGCCCAGTGGTTTCGATGGCAGAGACTAATCATAGGGCAAACTGATAACATGCCAAGCACCATTAACCAAGGCAAAGAGACAGTCTAAAGCAGGGGTTCCTCAACCTCAGAACAATTAAAACTATGAGCTGGATAGTCTTTGTTATGGGGGCTGTCTTGTGCATTCTAGGATGTTTAGCGGGATCACCAGCTGCTACTCACTAGATGCCAGTAATACTCCAGTAATACACCCTTCCCCAAATCCTCCCCACCCCCCCAAACAAAAGGCCAGGCACAGTGGCTCGCACCTGTAATTCCAGCACTTTGGGAAGCTAAGGCAGAAGGATCCCGTGAGCTCAGGAGTTCAACATAGCGAGATCTTGTCTCTACTAAAAATGTTAAAATATTAACCAGGCATGGTGGCTCACACTTGTAGTCCCAGCTACTCAGCAGGCTGAGGCCAGAGGATCACTTGGGCCCAAGAAATCAAGGCTGTAGTGAGCTATGATCATGCCATTGCACTCCAGCCTGGGTGACTGAGCAAGACTCTGTCTCAAAAAAAAAAAAAAAAAAAAAGAAAGAAAGAAAGAAAAATAAAATACTCCCTCCCATTTGCAATAACCAAAAATGCCTTTGGGAAGAGGGATGAGATTAGGGGTGGGGAGCAAAATTGACTTTGGTTAAAAATCACCGGTCTATTATTATCTCAGCATATAAAAATCTCCACTCCTATCAAGGACAAACAGCTGTTTTGATTTTTGTTGTTGTTGTTGTTGTTGTTTGTTTTTTTGTTTTTCGTTTTTTTTGACAGAGTCTCTCTCTCTTGCCCAGGCTGGAGTACAGTGGTGCGATCTCGGCTCACTGCAAGCTCTGTCTCCCGGGTTCACGCCATTCTCCTGCCTCAGCCTCCCGAGTAGCTGGGACTACAGGTGCCCACCACCACGCCTGGCTAATTTTTTGTATTTTTATTAGAGATGGGGTTTCACTGTGTTAGCCAGGATGGTCTCAATCTCCTGACCTCGTGATCTTCCCACCTCGGCCTCCCAAAGTGCTGGGATTACAGGCGTGAGCCACCTCGCCCTGCCTTTTTTTTCTTCTTTTTTTTTTTTTAATGGAACTTTGAAACTCCAAGCCCAGTCTAAGTTCCTGGAAATGGTTTCAAATTATGCTTAGCTTCTACAATAATAATTTACTGGCCACCAGGGGGTCTCTTGCTTGTGATCTACAAGACAAAATGTCTGGCACAGTCAGTCATCCTGGGTCCTATTACTACCTTGCAATTAACTCTTTGTGTCTCAGTTTCATCATTTCTCAAATGGGAGCAATAGTACCTTCCCTACCTTCTGTACGGGTGATTATAAGGAAACAACGAAAGGAGATGGAAAAGTGCTTTGAAAGTTAAAAGAAAATGTAACCAGACATAACTAAGTCATTACGGTCTTTTCAGAAACTGGAAACACATTAACAAACAACCCTGTGTGTTTGATGCCCTTTTCTACTTCTAACTACATAGAATTTGTGTTGCTGGTATAGGAGAGGCACCATTTGCCATCAAAAAAAAAAAAAAAAAAAAAAGCCAGTCATTTACTTCTGCTAATGCAGAGAATATTTGTGATCTGGTTCTATGAAAAATGCTGCAGGCGATCACTGACTTCAGACTGTCAATTTATAGATTACCCCTTTTTAGCAAACCATAGCCCATACCCTTCACTGATGTCCCCAGCACTGCCGCAGTGCCTGTGGTTGTCAAAAAACCACAAACAAAACCCCTGAATCTTTTTAGAGATTCTATGGATTTATTAGTGAAGGGAGGGAAAAAGTTGTAAAGATCATAAACAGTTTAGGAGAGAGCAGTTCAAATTACTTTGTAAAGTAAAGATGTTATAATGACTGGGTTAGCTTGAGAATTTTGGAACCCCAAAGAGATTCCAAGAGAGAGAAGAGGAGAAAGTAAAGTTAGAAGATTGCTAAAATCAACTTCATTTATTTGAAAATTTTCCAGAGTACAAGAAAGTCAAAATGTTCATCATCTTCCTCCTCCGCTTCCTGCAATAAGCAGCTCCCACCACTATCCCAAATCATTAAGATGTCCTTCCATGGTATGGGTGTGCCACAATTGGTGTAAACAGTCCCTTATTGATGTGGATTGTTTTTAGTTATTTTTTTTTTCAAAAAAAAATATGTAAAACTGGAGTAAACAGAGTCAAAGAAAAGCATTATTTGTATTTATATTTTCTTTTCTTTTCTTTTTTTTTTTGAGGCAGAGCCTCGTTCTGTCTCCCAGGCTGGAGTGCAGTGGCGCGATCTCTGCTCACTGCAAGCTCCACCTCCCGTGTTCACGCCATTCTCCTGCCTCAGCCTCCCGAGTAGCTGGGACTACAGGTGCCCACCACCATGCCCAGCTGATTTTTTGTATTTTTAGTAGAGATGGGGTTTCACTGCGTTAGCCAGGATGGTCTCGATCTCCTGACCTCGTGATCCGCCTGCCTCAGCCTCCCAAAGTGCTGGGATTACAGGCGTGAGCCACCGCACCCGGCCCAGTATTTATATTTTCTTAGGATACATTCTTGGTTGTGAAGCTTCTGGATCGAGGGGCATACACATTTTTTAAGTTTTCACTTTTGATAATAATTTTTTGAGCAATTTCTTCTCTTTAATTATCACAGTACCATCTTGCTGTTCTAGATATAACTGTACCACTTAGCACTTGAGCACGTGCCTAATGATATTCGATATGCATTCTAATTTTGAAATTCCCCAAAGGAATGTTTACATGATCTTCAAATCTGAAAAATCTCTAACTATAAGGATCACAACTATTACTGTTTTCTGCCATCTTTTACAGGATTACCATTTGTGCTTTATACTTCTTTATTAAATATGCCATGTTTATTTCAAATAATCAAAAGAGAAACTGTTAAAGTGTTTTTTCTGCAACTCTATCCCCTGAAAATGAGCTTCTTCAGTTGCTCGGCTCAGTTGCTCATTCTTTCATCTTATTCAATCACCCCTTCTAGCTTCCATCCCTCAATATAATTATTTATGTCTGCAATTTTATTAGGCAATTCTGTTAAGAGGCCAGACTGGGTTTTACATATTTTTAAATAAATTAAAAAGAAAAGTTTTACTGTACCTACTATACAACAGCAAAGAAAGACAATTCTAACTAGCCATGTGTCTCACAGAAACCACTTTCAAAAGTGTATTGCTATGCATAAACTTGTGACCTTTTTCTTGCCTGCTGGGGATAACCTTTAGCTCAATCTCTATTTATTTCTCTCCGTAAATACCAAACAACCAAGAGCGTTAATTTTATCATCCAATGTGCATCTCATTATATTTTATTATTTGCAATAGTGTCTACAAATAGCTTTATAGAAGACATAAATATGCAGTAGCATAGCATTTAGTTGTTACTATTAGAAGAAACGGTAGCAGTAATTCAATTTTTATGTGTTATCCTTGGAGCTAAGAGTAGGAGGAGAACAGAGAATTTGGCAGCAAGTTGGTATACTTAAGGAAATGCCTAAAAACCAACCCCAGTATCTTTGGGAAGCAATTCTGGGAATTACAACAAAAATGCTAATATATGACATTTGTATGAAGATACACTACTATGTCAATGTGCAAATTTCCAGGGACTCATTAGGAGCCACTTTAAAATACAATTTTCAGAATTCTCATTTATCTTCAGACTGCTCATATCAATGGCTTTCTGGGGACATTTGCTGATTCTATGCACTGAAAATTTCAATCTAACAGCTTGATTCACAGATGTTGAAACTGAAAAGAACTTTAGAGATAAAGCACAGTTTTCTTCACTTAAAGGCAAAGAGACGTATAAACTTATCCAGACCACTCGTTGGTTGGTGGCAGTGCCAGGACCTGAGCTCAGTTTCTGACATGAGCTCTGGTATACCACCCACAGCACCACCCTCCCTCAGGACCACCTGCCCCAGTTTCGTTGCAAGGTGGCATTCACTGTGAGGTTAAGCCAGAGTCACAGCATATTTCCAAAACAGCTCACTTGCCCAACCTCAGCAATGAAATCAGATGGCAAGTAAGTAAACATAATGCACTCTTGTCATAAATTTCAGGTGTTCTGTCTCAGACACCCATGTTTGAAGGTGATGTGCTTTAGTAACCCATTTGTTTTACAGGATTCTATGGAAGTTGGTAGTGACTCTGAAGCTAGGTCAGAGATGAATATCATAAAGTAAGAAAACACTGGCCATGCACAGTGGCTCACACCTGTAATCTCAGTGCTTTGGGAAACTGAGGTGGGAGGATCACTTGAGGCCAGGAGTTTGAGGCCAGCCTCAGCAACATAGCAAGACCCCTGTCTCTACAAAAAATGTTAAAATTAGCCAGGTGTGGGGGCACACTCCTGTAGTCCTAGCTACTTAGGAAACTGAGGCAGGAGGACTGCTTGAGCCCTGGAGGTTGAGGCTTCAATGAGCTGTGATCACACCATTGCACTCCAGCCTGGGCAACTGAGCAAGACCCTGTCTCCCTGCTGCCCTCACCAAAAAAAAAAAAAAAAAAAGAAAATATGGAGAAAGAGGGAATCCTCCCTAAATCATTCTATGAAGACAGTATCACCCTAATATCAAAATGAAGAAAGGATATAACAAAGAAAGAAAACTGCAGACCAATATCCCTGATGAACATAGATACAAAAATCCTCAACAAAATACTAGTTTACCAAATCAAATGACATATCAAGAAGATAATCCACCATGATCAAATGGGTTTCATAACAGGAATAAAGGGATGGTTTAACATCTGTAAGTCAATAAATGTGATACACCACATAAACAGACTTAAAAACAAAAATCACATGATTATCTCAAGAGATGCAGAAAAAGCATTTCACAAATCCAGCATCCCTTCATGATTAAAACCCTTAGCAAAACTGGCATATAAGAGACATACCTTAAGGTAGTAAAAGCCATCTATGACAAACCCACAGCTAACATTATACCAACTGGGGAAAAGTTGAAGGTATTGCCCCTGATAACTGGAACAAGACAAGGATGCCCTCTTTCACCACTTGTGTTCAACATAGTACTAGAAGTCCTAGCCAGAGCAATCAGAAAAGAGAAAGAAATAAAAGGCATCCAAATTGGTAATGAGGAAGTCAAACTGTCACTGTTTGCTGATGACATGGTCTTATACCTAGAAAACCCTGAAGACATCCAACAATCTCCTAGAACTGGTAAATGAATTCAGCAAAGTTTCAGGATACAAAATTAACATACACAAATCAGTAGCTCTGCTATACACCAACAGCGACCAAGCTGAGAATCAAATCAAGAACTCAACCCCTTTTACAATTGTTGCCAAAAACAAAACAAAACAAAACCTTAGGAATATGCTTAACCTAAGTGAAAGGAGGTGAAAGGCCATTACGAGGAAAATTACAAAACACTGCTGAAATAAATCATAGGTGACACAAACAAATGGAAACACATCCCATGCTTATGGATGAGTAGAATCAATATTGTGAAAATGACCATACTGCCAAAAGCAATCTACAAACTAAATGCAATACCTATCAAAATACCACCACCATTCTTCACAGAACTAGAAGAAACAATCCTAAAATTCATATGGAACCAAAAAAGAGCTCATATAGCCAAATCAAGATTAAGCAAAAAGAACAAATCTGGAGGCATTACATTACTTGACTTCAAACTATATTACAAGGCCATAGTCACCAAAACAGCATAGTACTGGTATAAAAATAGGCACATAGACCAATGGAACAGAATGGAGAACCCATAAATAAAGCCAAATATTTATAGTCAACTGATCTCTGACAAAGCAAACAAAAACATAAAATGAGGAAGACACCCTATTCAACAAATGATGCTGGGATAATTGGCAAGCCGCATGTAAAAGAATGAAACTGGATTCTCATATCTCACCCTATACAAAACTCAAGATGGATTACAGACTTAAATCTAAGACTTGAAACCACAAAAATTATAGAACAAACTTTGGAGAAACCCTTCTAGACACTGGTTTAGTCAAAGACTTCATGACCAAGAACCCAAAAGCAAATGCAACAAAAAGATAAATAGATGGGACTTAATTAAATTTAAAAAAGCTCCTGCACAGCAAAAGAAATAATCAGCAGAGTAAACAGACAACCCATGGAGTGGGAGGAAAACATTCATAATCTATACATCCGACAAATGACTAATACCCAGAATCTACAAGGAACACAAACAAATCAGCAAGAACAAAACAAACAATCCCATCAAAAAGTGGGCTAAGGACATGAATAGGCAATTCTCAAAAGAAGATATACAAATGGCCAACAAACATGAAAAAATGCTCAACATCACTACTTGATATGGTTTGGCTGTGTCCCCACCCAAATTTCTTTTGTTCTTTTTTTTTTTTTTTTTTTTTTTTTTTTGAGATGGACTCTCACTCTGTCGCCCAGGCTGGAGTGCAATGGCACAATCTTGGCTCACTGCAACCTCCGCTTCCCAGGTTCTAGTGATTTTCCTGCCTCAGCCTGCTGAGTAGCTGGAACTATAGGCATGCATAACCACGCTGAGCTAATTTTTGTATTTTTAGTACAGACGCGGTTTCACCATGTTGGCCAGGCTGATCTCAAACTCCTGACCTCAGATGATCTGCCTGCCTCCCAAAGTGCTGGGATTACAGGCGAGAGCCACTGTGCCTGGTCCCACCCAAATTTCATCTTGAATTGTAGTTCCCATAATCCCCGCGTGTCTTGGGAGGGACCCAGTGGGAGATAAGTGAATCATGGGGGTGGTTACCCCCATGCTGTTCTCATGATAGTGAGTTCTCACAAGATCTGATGGTTTTAAAAGGGGCTTTTCTCCCTTTGCTTGGTACTTCTCTCTCTTGCAACCTTGTGGAAAAGGACATGTTTGCCTCCCCTTCCACCATGATGGAAAGTTTCCTGAGTTCTTCCTAGCCATGCAGAACTGTGAGTCAACTAAACTTCCTTCCTTTATAAATTGCCCAGTCTCAGGCAGTTCTTTTTTTTTTTTTTTTGAGACGGAGTTTGTCGCTCTGTCGTCCAGGTTGCAGTGCAGTGGCGCGATCTCGGCTCACTTTAAGCTCTGCCTCCTGGGTTCATGCCGTTCTCCTGCCTCAGCCTCCCGAGTAGCTGGGACTACAGGCACCCACCATCATGCCCTGCTAATTTTTTTGTATTTTTAATAGAGACGGGGTTTCACCGTGTTAGCCAGGATGGTCTCGATCTCCTGACCTCGTGATCCTCCTGCCTCGGCCTCCCAAAGTGCTGGGATTACAGGCGTGAGCCACCACACCCCGCCTAGGGCAGTTCTCTATAGCAGCATGAGAACGGACTAATATACTACTTATCAGGAAAATGCAAATCAAAACCATCAGGAAAATGCAAATCAAAACCACAATGCAATACCACCTCACTCCTGCAAGAATGGCCATAATCAAAAAATCAAAAAATAATAGATGTTAGTGTGGATGTGGTGAAAAGGAAACACTTTTACATTGTTGGTGGGAATGAAAACTAGTACAACCACTATGGAAAACAGTGTGGAGATTCCTTAAAGAACTAAAAGTAGATCTACCATTTGATCCAGCAATCCCACTCCTGGGTATCTACCCAGAGGAAAAGAAGTCATTATATGAAAAAGATACCTGCACACACGTTTATAGCAGCACAATTCGCAAATGCAAAAAAATGGAACCAGCCCAAATGCCCATCAATCAACAAGTGGATAAAGAAAATGTTTTATACACACACACACACACACACACACACACACACACACAGACACACCATATAATACTACTCGGCCATAAAAAGGAATGAAATAATGGCATTTGCAGGAGCCTGGACAGAATTAGAGACTGTTATTCTAAGTGAAGTAACTCACTTCACTTAGAATGGAAAACCAGACATTGTACGTTCTCACTCACAAGTGGGAGCTAAGCTGTGAGGATGCAAAGGCATAAGAATGATACCATGGACGTTTGGGGACTTTGGGGACTCAGGGGATTCAGGGGAAAGGGTGGGAGGGGGATGAGGGATAAAAGACTACGCATTGAGTACAGTGTATAGTGCTCAGGTGATGGGTGCACCAAAATCTCACAAACCACCACTAAAGAGCTTGTTCATGTAACCAAACACAACCTTTTCCCAAAAAACCTATTGAAATAAAAAAAAAATTTAAAAGAAAGAAATAATGGTTTTTAACAGTTTTATCATATTATTTTTATTTTTTTAAATTTACTATTTTTTGAGGCTTGCTCTGCTGCCCAGGCTGGAATACAGTGGTGCAATCATGGCTCACTGCAGCCTCAACCTCCTGGGCTCAAGTGATCCTCCCACCTCAGCCTCTGGAATAGCTAGTTCTACAGACATGTGCCAACATGCCCAGCCTAGTTTTGCCATATTATTTTTAAATTGAATAGTATAGATTTAGAAATGATATTCCAGTTCTTCTTCTACATTATAGAGAAGAAAAAACAGTAACAAAAAGTAAATAACTTCCTATGGCTAAATACTTTTTTACCTCATAGGAGACTTTAGCCTGTCTTCCTTTCTTCCTTCCTTCAAAAATTATTGAAAACCTGCTAGTAATACTTGCAAGATACTATCCTGTGAGTTGTGAGCATATAAAATGACTCAAAAATTAACTCTACTTTCAAAAGATTTACTGACAAGTAGGGACAATGTTTGTAAACACAGAGTAAATGTGTTACGTGCTTTAAAAGCGGGGAGAAATTGCTTCTGATTGGGATCATGGAAAGACGGAGAATGTGAAATTTGAGGTTACTAAGAGAGAGGTAGATTTTGAATATGTGGGTGTTTGTGGAGGGAGTATTTAAAAGAAAGGATGATCACAGAAGTAGAAAAACTCAGGGCAAATACTGGGAAAAAAAGGTTCGATTCATCTGACCATCCTTGGGAATAAGGAGAGGAAATGGGAAATGGAAAATAGAGTAAGACAAACGGGAGCCAGTAGACCTCTTAAGAGGCCATGTATTAGGACAGTCCAGAAAAGGGGCCAGGAAGGCCTGCATTAAGCTGGTGTCTTGCAAGTGGCTGTAGTGAACATAGAGGAGGTTGTGGTCACAGAGGTTTGGTGGTGGAATCTAGGATTTGGCAACTGATTGATCTATAAGGCAAAGACAAGGGAAGGGCCAAAGAGGTTGCCAAAGCTTCAAATACCAGTCCCTGGGGAGATGATGGGGGAAACCAAACCAATCTCAGTCTTTATGGAAGCAAAAAGTTATAACAGTGCTAGTGAAAATTCATTGTGCCTGGGTGGTTAACTCACCGTGAAGGAACAAGTGTTATTTCTTCTACTTATTGGAAGGACAGACTGGGCTTTGTTAGGAAGGAGAGTTTTTTTTGTTTTGTTTTGTTTTAAAGTCTGACCACTGAATCTGTCAAGTAACTTAGAAGAGTAAAGGGCCTCAGGATAGAAACAGGGAGAGCAAGGAAAGCACACATGTCAGGTAAAGTGGCAGAAGACGATGAGCTTCAGCTTATGGTCAGCAAGAATACTGGTGCTGTTCCCAAATCTTCTGATCTTTCAATAAAAACTGAAAATCTTCACTTTTTAATGAAACCTCCATCTTTTAATGTTGTCAGTTCAGAGTGTTAAAAGGTACTATACTCATAGGACAAAATGTGTCTGCTGTCAGATCTGATCAGAGACCAGCAATTTTCTGACTCCAGGTATCAGATCATGGGGCAACAGTTCTGGACTCTCCTACATAGGGATGATGCCTAGGAATAAAGAGACCAACAGCCCTGTCTGAATACTGCTGAAATGCATAAACTCTGAAACTAGTACAGCATACTATAGTGGTTAAGAGCACAGACTCCCAAACCAGACTGCCTGGGTCCAAATCCTGGTTCCTTACTAGCCAGGCAGTCTAGTGCAAACTACTCTCTGTACCATAGTGTCCTTAATTTAAAAATGAATGTAATAATACTATGACCTATCTGGTGCAGATATGTAAACATTTGCTAGCATTATCTGTGATGAATCTCTTATTTTGGGGGGACAGGGGACAGGGTCCTCCCAGGCTAGAGTGTAGTGGCATGATCACAGTTAACTACAGCCTTGACCTCCCAGGCTCAAATGATCCTCCCACCTCAGCTTCCCTAGTAGCTGAGACTACAGGTACACACCACCATACCCGGCTAACTTTTTGTATTTTTTTTGTAGATGGGGTCTCGCCATGTCACCCACGCTGGTCTTGAACTCCTGGGCTCAAGCGATCCTCCTGCCCCAGCCTTCCAAAGTACTGGGATTACAGGTGTGAACCAATATGCCCAGCCATATTTTTGATGAATCTCAAGAGAAACGGAAGGGGCACTGCAAAATGACTGATTAGATTTCTAATTATCCGGGGTAGGTGGCAGTCTTGAGCAAAATTTAATTTGATATAAAAAAATGAAATATGACATTCCTTGTATTTGCATATCACAGAGCAAATTCATACCAGTTACCTTGATTCTGTTGTCATATTTCATCTTCATCATATTTCTCTCCATATCCTGTGTCAGACATAATTTTTATACCCTTCTTTAATGGCTTAGTATCTTATTCCTCAGTGTTACTCATATCCAGAATAGTCTTGTTATTTTCGATGACAACTCTCTATTGAAAGAAAAGGGTAGGAAAAATTAAGTATACTGAAACCGTCTTTCTAAGAAAAGTTTTTAAATCTTATTTTACAATATTCTCCCCTTCCTAACTGGGCATATGACCCTTCTGTCTTTTATAAATAGCCAGTAAAGTGTTTTTGCACATTTATACATACATAATACATATCCACAAACTGTCCCATAGACAGGATCTCTTTACTCAAGCTTAATTAAGTTGATTTGAAAGAACTAATTTTACACTATGTAAAGAATGCGCAATCTTTATCTTTTGAAAACCTTTTGGACTTAAAAAGGAAAAAAATTCTTTTGGAAGGAAATGACATTATACTTTTTAAAAAATATTCAGAGCTCTCAAAAGGTACACTGTATTCACTCTCTCTTTCTTTTTCCCTCTTTCCTTCCTTTCTTTCTTTCATTCTTTCATTCTTACATTCTTTCTTATTTTGAAACAGGAGCTCACTCTGTCACCCAGGCTGGAGCGCAGTGGCATGATCACAGCTCACTGCAGCCTCAACCTCCTGGGCCAAGTGATCCTCCTGCCTCAGCCTCTGAAGTAGCTGGGACCACAGGTGCTCGCCACCATGCCCTGCTAATTTGTTTTTTATTTTTTGTAGAGACAGGGTCTCACTATGTTGTCCAGCCTCGGCTCGAACTCCTGGGCTCAAGTGATCCTCCTTCGTCAGACTCCCTAAGTGCTGGGATTACAGGTATGAGCCACCACAACCAGCCTTCACTCTCTTTTAAGCTACTACACACCAGAAAATTAATTCAAAACTTACTCTGTCTAATTTAAATGGCATATATGCAGAACAGCATTATTCATACCTAAATATATATATGCCATTATGAATACTAAACATTTGTGATTATTGCACTACTTGCAAACTCAGAGAATTTATTTATTTCATCCCATTGATTAAAAAAAGAGATATCCAGCCAGGCATGGTGGCTCAGACCTGTAATCCCAGCATTTTGGAGGCCAAGGCAGGAAGATTGCTTGAGCCCAGGAGTTCAAGACCAGCCTGGGTAATATAATGAGACCTCATCTCTCAAAAATTTTTTTTAATTACCTGAGCATGATAGTGCATGCCTGTGATCCCAGCTACTCAGGAGGCTGAGGCTGGAGAATCACTCGAGCCTGGCAGGTGCAGGTTGCATTGAGTTAAGATCATACCACTGCACTCCAGCCTCGGCAACAGAGCCAGACCCTGTCTCAAAAAAAAAAAAAAAAAAATGAGTGAGAGAGAGATCTATCCCCTGCCTTTTTGCTAATCAAGATTGCTAATTCATTTTTATCAAATATGATGAAAAAGAGGCCTTACATACTTCTGCTTTTTTCCCTCATGCTGCCTTTAAATATAACAGCCATTTGATTCTTTCAGGTAGATGGGTACTTTACTTGGTAGAAGGCCTAAACTGAATTTCAACCCTTGACATAGTCAAGAAGCATAAATGTGCAATAATCTGTATAAAGACAGTATCTTTAATCTCTTTACAGAGATTATTTCTAACTGGCTATACCACTTCCAGGTATGGAACAGGCTGACAGAGCTGGATCCAAAGGGCTCAGAATGGAGCAACCAAGGTGTATTCACCTGATGCTTTGGTCTCCCTAAGCTCTTCCATAGAAACGATCATATATCACCTCGGCAATTGTTTTGTAAGTACTCAGAGATTATATCACAACAAAAATGCTATTGTAGATTCATATATCTCTCAAAAGCCAGAGACTTGAGAACAGCCAAATCAGGAGCAGCCACCACAAACCAAACTACCACACTCCCAACATGCTCCTGAAACAGGCCATCCCCAGCAAGCCCAGCCTTGGCGACTGGCCCAATTTCACCCACCCCTGGCCAGGTAGAGACCAATCTATAACACATTTCCAAAGCCTTATCTGTCTATAAGCCTTGGCTCAGTGATTCCACTTAAGAAAATAATCCTAAATTTCTGCAAAGCTCAAGAAAGCAAATATGTATTATGCTAAGTTCTATGCATCATAAACCATGGTAGGTGTTGGAAACAATAAAATTATTGCTTGCCCTTATGAACTTTATAAAGTGAACTGGAAATTTTATACTTCTCATTTACTGAATGCCTCCTATGTACCAGGTGCTCTACTAGGCATTTTATATGTGTTATCTCACTTAATCGTTACAGCCTATAAAATATAAGTAGTATCACCCATATCTCACATTAAAGCGGTTGAGTAATTTGTCCCAAGTCACACAGCTAAGAAGTAGCATTTCTCTGAGACCGCGCCACTGCACTCCAGCTTGGGCAACAGAACGAGACTCCGTCTCAAAAAAAAAAGAAGTAGCATTTCTGAGATTCAAACTCAGGTCTAAAGCTTTTCAAATTTCGTGTTTTACCCACCAAGCTGCATTATATATTTTAAATAACAGTAACAACATCAACAACCATCTAATGTAAACAATAGAGGAATGAGTACATAAGTTAATATCAATAGGTTGGATATGCAGCCATTAAAAGTGATATCTATGACAGTTTGTCACAACACAGAAAATTGCTTGCTTATAAATATAACAATAAAAACAGGATGTGGGGCTGGGTGTGGTGGCTCATGCCTGTAATCCCTGCACTTTGGAAGGCCAAGGTGGGAGGAACACTTGAGACCAGAAGTTTGAGACCAGCCTGGCCAACGTGGCAAAACCCCGTCTCTACTAAAAATACAAAAATTAGCCAGGCATGGTGGTATGCACCTGTGGTCCCAGGTACTTGGGCAGCTGAGGCACGAGGATTGCTTGAGCCTGGGAGGCAGAGGTTGCAGTGAGCCAAGATTGCGCCACTGCACTTCCGGCCTGGACAACAAAGCGAGACTCCGTCTCAAAGAAGAAAAAAAAACAACCAGGATGTGAATTCATATACTATGATTTAAACTATGATTAAAACACATACACACACACGTACTAGAATAAAAAGCACATTTAAAAAAATAGGTAAACCTCCTGCACTTTCACTTAAATAATACAAAATTAAGGGAAACTATAAGGGGAAAAATTGTGTTTTCACATACAATTCAGACAAAACAGTTGACCCAAGCCTATTTAAAATGGGGACTAGATCCTCTTTCCCCTAACAGTTACTTTAAAAATTTCCTCTCATCATCCTATCTTCTGTGTGAAATAAGAAGAAGCATATATTTGGTCTGACCCCAGTTCCTGGCACACAGCTCCTAAAACCCTTGTAATTTCCTGAGCATCTCAATTGCTAGGTGCATTCTTTGTTCTAATATTTGGTCTTTGACCCTGGTTCCTGAAACAGAGCTTAATTCCTTGGAGTTTCTTGGGTTAAAGGAGCACCTTTTGTTCTAATGAGGTGACTCTTCATGGGTTTCTGGAAGGGGGGTGGTCACCAGAAAGACCAACCCATGATTAAAAGTTTGGAACTTTCAGCCCTACTCTGCAACCTCCAGGAAGGAAAGAGGGACTGCATTTGAGTTAATTGTTGATCATGTCTACATGATTAAGCCTCCATAAAAATCCCCAAACTACGGGGTTCAGAGAGCTTCCGGGTTGCTGAAATCATGGAAGGTGGCATCCCCTAAGAGGCCATAAAAGCTCACAACCCCTTCCCCATACATTGCCTTGTGCATCTTTTTCATCTGGCTGTTCCTGAGTTGCATCCCCCCTGCCTTTTTTTTTTTTTTTTAAATAGAGGTGGGGTCTCACTATGTTGCCTAGGCTGGTCTTGATCTCCTGGGCTCATGTGATCCTCCAGCCTGAGTCTCTGAAATTGCTGGGATTACAGGTGTGAGCCACCATGCCTGGCCATGAATTGCATCCTGTTATAATAACAGGTAAACAAAAGTAAAGAGTTCTCTGAGTTCTGTGAGCCATTCTAGCAAATGATTGAACCCCTGGGGGGTCATGGGAACCTCTGATTTGTAACCAAGTCAGACAAAAGGTGTGGGTAATCTGGGAACCTACTATTTGCACTTGGCATCTGATGTTTGGGGCAGTCTCATGGGATTGAGCCCTTAACCTGTGGCGTCTGTGCTGACTAGAGTAAGTGTCAGAACTGAATTAAATTGTAGGATACCCAGTCAATGTCTGCCAAGAAGTGGAGAATTGCTTAATGTGGCCAAAACTCACACATTTTGGTGACCAGAAACATCTGTGTTGTTGCTGTTTTGAGACAGGGTCTTGCTCTGTCACTCAGGCTGGAGTGCAATGGCGCAATCACAGCTCACTGCAGCCTGAACCTCCTGGGCTCAAGTGATCCCCCCTGACACTCAGCCAACCAACTAGCTGGGACTTAAGGCACACATCACCATGTCCAGCTAATTTTTAAAGAAAATATTGTAGAGACTAGATCTTACTATGTTGCCCAGGCTGGTCTTTTACTCCTGGGTTCAAACGATCCTCCTGCCTTGACCTCCCAAGGTGCTAGGATTAAGGCATGAGCCACTGCACCTAGCTCTTTGTTGCTTTGAGAGTATAAACAGTAGGAGAAGACATTTTAGGTTTTTCCTATTGCACACTGTATTAATTAGGGTTCTCCAGAGAAATAGAACTGTGTGTGTGTGCGTAGACATAACAGGAGATATATACACACACATCCTATTGGTTCTGTTTCTCTGGAGAACCCAAACACAGTGTGTAATAGGTGTGTGTGGGGGTGTGTGTGTATATATACATATACACCCACACACACACACATAGAAGGAGAGAGAGGTAGATAAATCTGTTCCAAGGAACTGGCAATTGTGGGAGCTAGCAAGTCCAAAATCTGCAGGGCAGCCTGGAGACCTGGAGAGGAGTGGGTGTTGCAGTCTTCAGTTCGATGGCAGTCTAGAGGCAGAATTTCTTTCTCCTCAGAGGAGCTCAGTCTCTTAAGACCCTCAACTGATTGTGTGATGCCCACCCTCATAATAAAGGGGAATCTGTTTTACTCAAAGCTGACAATTTAGATGCTAATCTCATCTTAAAAGTACCTCACAGCAACATCTAGACATGTTTGCTCAAATAACTGGGCACCATAGCCTAACAAATTCAAACATAAAAATGAATCATATTATAATCCTTCCCCAATCTACATAGAAAAAAATGAATGAGTATTTCACATCCTGAAACACAGGCTCATTCCATCCTTTGATAAACATTATTGAAGGCCTGGCCCCTTTCTAACGTTAGGCCCATTATGAGACATAAATATAATCTCGCTGCACATTTGTTGGATCATAACAAATCAAATCTGTAGCCCCTTAATGTTTACAAAATATGTTCATAAATACATCTTGTGTAATCTTCACAAATCATTATTGCAGTCCTCATTTGACCAAAAATAAGGCAAGAGAGAATACTCTGACACATCAAAGATTGTAGCGTCAATAGGTGATAGAGCCAACAAGAGTCAGATCTTCTGACATTTCTTCATCAGATAGAGCCCTTTCTTCATCACATGGACACTGTGAACAGAAGTAACACAGGTCCTCAAGGATAGCAGCTATTTTATTATTTCCCAATTAATCTACATTGAAAAGACACAAAGATCAAGATGCCTAGCTTATTCCCCTGACTGGGAATATAAAGTTGTAAAACAACTTTAGGAATTGATCACTGTCTACAAGTAGTGTTTAGTTTTGTTTTTAACTTTTATTAAAGTATAGCATGCTAACTCAGATTATAAGTTTACACCTCAATAAATTTTCACAAAATGAATACCCCTGTGTAACTGTTACCAAGATCAAGAAATAGAATATGACCAGGGCTGGGTGCAGTGGCTCGCACCTGTAATCCCAGAACGTTGGGAGGCCAAGGCAGGAGGATTGTTTGTGCCCAGGAATTCAAGACCACCCTGGGCAACATAGCCTGATCTAATCTCTACAAAAAAAAAAAAACATTTAAAAATTAGCCAAGCATGGTGGTATGCGCCTGTAGTTCCAACTGCTAGGGAGGCTGAGGTGGGAGGATCACTCAAGCCCACGATTTCGAGGCTGCAGTGAGCTGTGATCACACTACTGCACTTCAGCCTGGGCAACAGAGGGAGACACTGTCTCTAACCAACATAATAATAATAATTAATAATAATAATAACATCAGTATCTCAGAAGCCCTTTTGGGGCCCCCTTTCAGCCATCATCTTTCCCGCAAAGGTAACCACCATCCAGATATCTTTCACTGTCAACCAATTTTGCCTTTGTTTTCAACTTTAATTTATTTTTTTTTTTTTGTAGACGATTTCTCACTGTGTTTCTCAGAATGGTCTCAGACTCCTGGCCTCAAGCGATCCTTCTGCCTGAGCCTCCCAAAGTGCCGGGATTACAGGCATGAACCACTGCACTCAGCCTGTTTTCAACCTTATATAAATGGAATCCTACTGTATGTGCTTTTTGATATCTGGGCTCCTTTGCTCTATATTATGTCTGTGAGATTAATAAACTTGTTTGTTCAGTTACGTTACTGCTGTGTAGCATTCTATTGTATAATGTACCACAATTTATTCATCTGGTCATCCAACAATTTGGGTGGTTATGTTTGGGGGTACTGTGAACTATGCTGCTGTGAATATGTACCCAAGTTGTGGACCATCTATGTATGTGTTTCTGTTCAGTATATACCTTGAAGTGTAATTGCTGGGTCATTCATCTGCATGCATTCATTTTTACTGGAAACTGCCAAACAGCTTCCTAAGTGGTTGTGCTAATTTGTACAACCACTAGCAGTTGATGAGATTTCCAGTTGTTCCACTCATTAGCTTTTATCATTGTTGTTTTTAATGTTATACTTTTACAACATATGGATATATTCATACAATGTATAACATTGGTTTGCATGTTTTCAAAACTTCATAGAAATGCTACTATATCATGCTGAAAATATTCTACCACTTGTTTCTGAGATTTATCTGTGTTGGTACATATAGTTCCAATTTATTCTCTTTCACTGCTACACACCATTCTAGTTTTTCAAGTCTGAATCTTGTTGATGGCCACTCAGCTTGTTTCCATTTTTTCATGATTATAAATGACACAAAGACTGTTCTTATTCATGTGTCTTTGTACCCATCTGTGAGACTATCTCAAGTGCAACTGCTGAGTCATAGTATATGTATATCTTCAGCTATACTAGATATTGGCAAAATTGCTTTCCAAAATTGTTGTACCAACTTGACACTGCTATAAGCAGCCTGTGAGGGTGTCCATTGCTCCAGATCCTCACCAGTGATTTGTATGGTTGGATGTTTTTTAATGTTTGTTGATTGAATGGGTGTGTAATATCCTAATAACTTTCTTAAATAAGTTTTCCAAAAACTTTATAAATACATACACTTATATTTGCAAAGAGGAAGAGAGGTTCATTCCCCTTCTCTATTCACATAGAGCTGTGGTTGTGGAACCTTAGTGTTCTTTATTTAAGCGGGGCCTGGGGATCTGCCTGACTGCATGCAGATGTCAGAAGACCCTGAGGAATGTTGCCTCAGTGCCTTGTATGCACAGCTAGCACAGTTATCTCAAGTACTTACGGGTTATGTTATCTTCTCCCCAGCTAGGACATGGGCTGCTGGATGGCAGAGACAAATTCTATGACAGTTTTGTATCCTTAGGGCCCAGCCCTCAGAGGAAACTCAGTGAGTATTCATGGACGTAGGGAAGGAAGGAAAAGTGGGAATGACAACTTATTTTCTGTTTGGTCTGCATCAGATCTTAGAGCATCTGGAGATACATAGTTTGTTTATTTAAAAATGCAAAGCACACACATATTCTTTTCTATTAACTGTTAGGGATTTAATAATATTCTTTCATATAAATAATTTTCAACTTGGCCTAATGAATGACATATCAAAGCCTTCCATTTTGTAGTATTTCCTCATGTTTTCTCTCAGGAGGATTACATACTGAATACTTTGGAACAGGGTGCTCCCTGGACAACATACAGATGTATTCATATGATATGTAACATTGGTTTGCATATTTTCAAAACTTCATAGAAATGCTATCATGCTGAAAATATTCTGCCACTTGGCACATACATTGGAGCTTTCCTCCAAAGGGTCTAGTAAGCAAAATACATTCAAAATGATGACGGGGAGTTAGTGAAAGGCAGAAAGAAAAGAATCTTCTGAAAGCAAAAAAGCAGAGATGGATCAAGGCAGAGGGAGGAACACAGAAAAGGAGAGAGGAGACTGAAAGGTGAAATTTATCCAACAGTGGGTTCATTAATTAGGAAGGGCTCCTCATTAGACAACATTATTTACAGGGCAGTTTATTGGTCTCCCATCCTCTGGCCAGACTGACAGCACAAGAATAGGGTTATTTATTTATTTATTTATTTATTTTGAGATGGAGTCTCGTTCTTGTTGCCCAGGCTGGAGTGCAGTGGCGCGATCTCAGCTCACTGCAACCTCCGCCTCCTGGGTTCAAGCAATTCTCCTGCCTCAGCCTCCCGAGTAGCTGGGACTACAGGCGCTCACAGTTAATTTTTGTATTTTTAATAGAGATGGGGTTTCACCATGTTGGCCAGGCTGGTCTTGAACTCCTGACCTAAGGAGTGCTGGGATTACAGGCATGAGCCACCGCGCCGGGCCAGAGTAGGGCTATCCTTAGGACTCTTTTAACTAAGGATATCACAGAAGAAGAGGGTTGAAAAGGGCTGAACCCTAGCATGTAATCTATAATTAACTTGAGCATCAGTATGAATGCTAAAAATCAGTACAAGTATAGCCAATGTGGTAGCAAGATTCCTCCCCTCCCAGGACAGCACTGTTAAAGCCTTCACTCTGGGCTAGAGCAGGGTCTCTGTTCTGGTTTGAGGCCACCCTCCTGAATGTGACTTGTCTACTTCTACAGTTCTTTCTAGGCACATCCCGTTTTGGTCAGCCCAGCCACTTTCCGGCATGATCTGCCAGGTAATTAACGGATTTATCAATTACGGAAAAATCTGTCTCCTTGTCTGGATGTACTTAAAATTCAGCGTTTAAGGGACAGAGACGTCCTGCTCCAACTAAGTGAATGTTGTCAACTGCATGTCTAGTGCTTTAGCTATTTCTGTTTCTAGTCGTCATTTCCCAAATCTGCGAAATGCAAACACTTGAGATACAAGCCCACCTCCAAAGCAAGGCCATTCTACAAATTGCCTTCTTCTGGCCACCACTCTTCAGCACAGCACTGTGGTCCTTGTGCCTGGGGAGGAGGTCTTATTCCTCTCCTTGTCACTGGCCTCTCCAGGCATGTGGTAAAAAGGTCCCCCTGGGACACCTGGGGCATGGAACATTTTCCCCATTACTGAGATCACTGACTGACAGCAGCAACTAGACTGACTCCCCTCCCCTGGTCCCCACCCCAAGCAGCTGTCTGAATGTTAGAATAGGCACGAGGAATTGTTAAAGTTGAGAAAGGCTTACTTTTCATGAAGAACACATGTTTTCTAAGGAGAGATTTATTTAATGAAAGTCTTTTTTTTCTCCTGAGTCTTTGGTAGATTTGAATTGTAAAATAGATCTGGGGCTGTTTTGAGTAGGATGGGGCTGTTTTGAGTGGAAGGATAGGGCTGGAGTGGAGACAGCTGAATTCCTCTACCTGGAGAAGTCCAGTATCTGCGAATAGGAGGTATGATAAGGCCATAGAACTATCCCCAAATGTCCCCTAGGTAGAGTGGCCCAAGACAGTTTAAAACAGAGAGACCCAATATTCCACTTAATATAATTTGGGTTACAGTATTACCTTCACACTATTTCCAAACACACACGCTCACATCTGCTTCCAGCAAATCTTTAATGCAGTTCCCTGCACACTCAATATCTTGACTGCGTATGGACATAGAGAAAGTGGCTGAATTTCCTCTCTGAGAAGAGGACGTCATGGAGGAAGAAGAGATAGTCCCTAAACGGAGCCAATTCAACCAAAGCAGAAGCTGGAGCTACAGAAGGCAATGAGAATGAAGTCTCCACCTCCCCTCTATCCACCTGGAAGTTTCGCCAAAATCATCTCAAGAGCTTGAGAATTCCATGAAATATGGAGTAGGGCTTTGGACCCATTCTAAAGGACAAGGAGGACTACAGCTGATGGTTCCCAAAGACCTGTCTTCCGCACTGACCCAGGGTCCAATTGCTCATACAATTTCTCCTCTTAGATATCTAATAAGTAACTCCCATTTAAAATGGCCAAAAACCAAACTCGGCTCCACCCCCTAAACATGCTTCTCCCTCAGTCTTTTCCACCTCAGTTACCAGCCCCACATCCACTCAGTTGCTCAAGCCCCAAATCTACGAGTCATCCTTGGTTCTGCTTTCTCTCATTCTCTCTATCCAGGAGATCAGCAGGCCTTGTCAGTCCCTCCTCCAAGACACATCCCAAGTTGACATTTTTCAACTTCTCTGCACATCTCCATTGATTCCACCCAAGAAGTCTCAGCCACCAGTCCTCAACTGAACTCCCAGTTTTGCTCAACTGGCTAGAGCAAAAACCTCCCTAACCAGTTGCCCTGTCTTTCCTCTGGCCACCAGTGGCCTTTTCACTACCTGGTGGTAGCAGCCAGAAAGGGGTGTGTCTGTGTATAAATCGGACAGTATGGCTCCACCATTTACAATCATTCATGGCTTCCCATTGCAATCCAAATTCCTCTCTGTGGCCTAGGGGGCCCCACGTGATTGGGCCGTGTTTACCACTCTGACCTCTTTCTTCCTCCATTCATAGGGTGTCATCCACACTGGGCCCTTTCTTCCCACATACACATAAAGCTTCTTGCCTCAGAGCCTCCGTACATGCTATTTTTCTGCCTGGAATGCTTTTCCCTTAAATTTTCACCTGTCTGCCCCAATCCCTAAACTTCTAGCCCCTGCTCACTCTCTACCCTTTATCTTATTTTCCTGTAACACTTACTTGTTGCTTGATTACAAATTTTTCATCTTCCTGTCCTCATTAGAATGTAAGCTCAGGCCAGCTGCAGTAGCTTGTACCTAGAATCCCAGTACTGTGGGAGGCCGAGGCAGGAGGATTGCTTGAGCCCAGGAGTTTGGGACCTGCCTGGGCAATATAGCAGGATACTGTCTCTCCAAAAAGAAAACTTTTTTTAATTAGCCAGTGTATTAGTCTGTTTTCATGCTGCTGATAAAGACATACCCAAAACTAGGAAGAAAAAGAGGTTTAGTTGGACTTACAGTTCCACATGGCTGGGGAGGCCTCAGAATCATGGCAGGAGGTAAAAGGCATTTCTTACATGGCAGCGGCAAGAGAAAAATAAAAAAGATGCAAAAGCGGAAACCCCTGATAAATCCATCAGCTCTCGTGAGACTTACTCACTATCACGAGAACAGCACAGGCAAGACTGGCCCCCATGATTCAATTACCTCCCCCTGGGTCCCTCCCACAACATGTGGGAATTCTGGGAGACACAATTCAAGTTGAGATTTGGGTGGGGACACAGCCAAACCATGCCAGGCTTGGTGGCACATGCCTGTAGTCTCAGCTACCTGGGAGGTTGAGGTGGGAAGATTGCTTGAGTCCAGGAGTTTGAGGCTGCAGTGAGCTGAGATGGCACCACTGCACTCCAGCCTGGGTGACAGAGTGAGACCATGACTTAAAAAAAAAAAAGGAAGCTCAATGAAGGGAGAGATTTTTTTTTCTTTTCTTTTTTTTTTTTTCGAGTTGGAGTTTCCCTCTTGTTGCCCAGGCTGGAGTGTAATGGCATGATCTCAGCTCACCGTAACCTCCACCTCCTGGGTTCAAGCAATTCTCCTGCCTCAGCCTCCCTAGTAGCTGGGATTACAGGCATTCACCACCACCCCTGGCTAATTTTGTATTTTTAGTAGAGACAGGGTTTCTCCATGTTGTCAGCCTGGTCTCAAACTCCCAACCTCAGGTGATCTGCCCACCTCGGCCTCCTAAAGTGCTGGGATTACAGGCGTGAGCCACCGTGCCCGGCCCGAAGGAAGAGATTTTTTATCTCCAGCTCCTAGAACACTACCTGGCAGAAAAAAGTGCTCAACACAAACTTGTGGAATGAGTATACCTGAGTTTCACTTGTTTCCTGCTTGCCCTCTGTCAGAGGCCACACCCAATTGTGGCACCTGGTAAAAGCCTCACTCATTAGAGTTTTGTCATTTAACTCCTTCCTGTAAGCCAGGTAAAACTGACCACATATATATGTAGATGCCCTTTTCCAATTTCAGTTTGGGGGCTCCCCTGGAGAAAGCAGAGGCCTCACACTAGAGCTAGAAGCGGCCCCAGGAAAATTCACATGGGGTGAAGTTTTATTCTTTCAAAGTAGCCAGTTTTGCCCCTTCGCATTTTCTTCTTCTTCACAGACATTTTCCCAATGGGTAAAACTTTTTTGTTTGATTTTAAAAATTCACTTTTTCACTTATCTATTCAGTGTTGCTTACTGAGTTCTGACCACTAATAAAAATAACCATTGTGTGTGTGTCTATGTGTGTGTGTACGTGTGTAAAATATCAGAAGATAAGAGCCTTGCATTGTTCTAAGAGCTGCTTGAAAATGTCTGTGTTTTGATAGCTTATGATGCACATTCGTGGGCCAGCCAATTATAGTGACAGCTCTTTAATGAAGAAATGTCATACACATTAATATAGAATTTGTATTTGCTCTTAGTAATACCTGTAAGTGCCTAGTTCAACAGTTTTTGTGGTTGAAATGCTAAAAAATACAACTGAAATGCTGTTGAACTCTAAATGGCTAAATGCATGTATACCTGTATGTTGTTTTATTTACAAACACATAAACATATGTGTGTATTTTATACTTAAATAATTTATTCTATATATATTTAATTTATTTTATATATATATAGAATAAATTAAGCAATAATGTCCCTGGGCCCAAAGAAAGTATTCTTCATTCTCCTGTTACGCCAGAAAGGTGTTTATTATGCTGAGGGAAGTTCTTGCACTCATAACCTCTAAGTGATTCCGCAGCATAGCTTAGAGGTGATGCTTCTTCCGGAGGAAGCCCTGAGTCATTATCTGCATCTTTCCTGAGATCTGGAGAGTACAAGGGTACCAACACCTCTCCCTCCACGAGGCCAGGGGGGATTAGGAAAGAGTCAGAGATGAAGGAGAAAAGGAGAAGAGAAATTGGTAAGAGGAAAAAGGGTAAATGTCTCAATTGTTTCCTCCTCTGATTACAGCCAGAGGAAGGCAGTCTGAGGGCCCCTTAACTAACTCCCTGTTAAGGTCTGGCAAGGATATAATGCATTTCATTTAGCTATGCTTCTGTTACTTGAATGGTTTGCTTTTTCTAAGGGAAATAGAATTGGGAAAGGAATTATAAGGAAGAGAATTTTCTTGCTTTTATTCTATTTATAAATGGAATATGAGAGGGACATGGAAATAGCATGAAAGAGTCACAATTTTCTTACGATCACTAATATCCTACACTAATGTATCTGGGTGGCAGAGCGGATGGAGCCATAATGGTGTTTGTTATGGACTGAATCATGTTCCCCCAAGATTCATATGTTAAAGCTGCACCCTCAGTGTGATGGTATTAGGATGTGGAGCCTTTGGGGGGTAATTAGATTTAGATGAGGCCCTGAGAGTAGAGTCCCCATGATGGGATTAGTGCCTTCTAAGGAGAGATCTCTCTCTCTCCACCACATGAGGACACAGTGAGAAGGCAGCTGTCTGCAAGCCAGGAAGAAAGCCCTCACCAGGAATCCATCAGCACCTGCATTTTGGGCTTTTCAGCCTCCAGAACTGTAGGAAATACATGTTTGTTGTTGAAGTCACCCAGGCTGTGCTATTTTGTGACAGTCGCCAAGCTGACAAAGAGAGTGTTTTACATGAATTAATTAAGCAGATAATTCCTGAGCATCACTAGCACTCTGGGTACTGTTGCGCAGTGAAGTATAGAGCAGTGACCAATCAGGTGAGCTTCTGCTTTCATGGGACTTCAGTTTGAGTGGGAAAATACGCCACATACCATAAACAAGTAAACAGACAAGTAAATATTAGATAGTGATAAGAGCCATGAACAAAACACAACAGAGCCATGCTATGTGGAGTGACTGGGGAGGGGCTACTTTAGATCAGGTCATCAAAGGAGGCTTTCTGGGCAGGGGACATTTGAGATGAATGACAAGGAAGAGCTGACTAGGAGACAATCTGGTGGAAAACGTTTGAGGCACAAGGAACCATGGTGCTAACATCAGGTCTATGTAAGACTGACAGTTACCCCTGAGTTAGGTCAAGCAAAGAATGAAGTGGACTTGAGACAGGCTTGAGTGTTAATACCCAAAAGTGAAAGCAAGAGATGCACAGCAAGAAATTCATATAAGAAACTTCAGATTTTGAATACCAATGAAATAACCATGGTTTCCGAGTGACCTCCTACTCCACACAAGTCCTCCTCTTGTATTTCCCGTATTATCGCCATACTCCATCCACACAACATGCAATATCCAAATACCATAATAAGGCTGGGCGCGGTGGCTCACACCTGTAATCGCAGCACTTGGAAGGCCGAGGCAGGTGGATCACCTGACTTCAGGAGTTCGAGATCAGCCTGGCCAAAATGGTGAAACCCCGTCTGTACTTAAAATACAAAAATCAGCTGGGCAGTAGAGGCATGTGCCTGTAATCCTGGCTACTTGGGAGGCTGAGGCAGGAGAATCGCTTGAACCTGGCAGGCGGAAATTGCAGTGAGCCGAGATCGTGCCACTGCACTCTAGTCTGGGCGACAGAGTGAGATCCTGTCTCAAAAAAAAAAACACAGACAAAAAAACCCAAATATTATTATGAGGTTAATCACATCATCATCTACCTTCAATTAATTTTTGTAAAATAATTTTAAAAATTAACATCTTATATTTGTGAGGTCCATTTGTTATAATTGATGAACCAACCAATGTTGATACATTATTAATTGAAGTCCACACTATTCAGATTTTTTTCTTTTCTTTCAGTGAAACCCTGTCTTACTTTGCTGCCCAGGCTGGAGTATAAGTGGCTTAATGAGGGCTCACTGTAGCCTTGACCTCCCAGGGTCAAGTGGTCCTCCCACCTCGGCACTCCCTATCTCCCTGCCCCTGACTCCCCTAAATAGCTGGGACTATAGGCACTCGCCACCACACCTGGCTAATTTTTAAATTTTTTTTGTAGAGATGGGGATCTCACTATGTTGCCCAAGCTCTATGCAGATTTCAAATGCCCTTTTCCTGTTAGGATCCCATCCAGGATACCACATTGCATTTAGTCATGCTTTCTTAGGCTACTTTTGGCTCTAACAGTTTCCTAGACTTTCCCTGTTTTTGCTACCTTTGACAGTTTTGAGCAGGGACTGATCAGGCAATTTGTAGAATGTCCCTCACTTGGGATTTATCTGATGCTTTTCTCCTAATGGGACAGTGGTTATGGGTTATTGGGAGAGAGACTACAGAGGTAAAGTACCATTTTCATCCCACCATATAAGAGCGCATGCTGGGCCGGGTATGGTGGCTCACGCCTGTTCCTAGCACTTTGGGAGGCCGAGGCGGGTGGATTACCTGAGGACGGGAGTTCAAGCCCAACCTAACCAACATGGAGAAACCCCGTCTCTACTAAAAATACAAAATTAGCTGGGCGTGGTGGCGCATGCCTGTAATCCCAGGTACTCAGGAGGCTGAGGCAGGAGAATCGCTTGAACCCGGGAGGCGGAGGTTGCTGTGAGCCAATATCACACCATTGCACTCCAGCCTGGGCAACAAGAGCAAAACTCTGCCTCAAAAAAAAAAAAAGAGTGCATGCTACCACCAGGACTTATCACTGCTGATGCTGACCTTGATCTCTTGGCTGAGCTTCCAAGTGATTTTTGATTCCTCATTCTCCCATCCCTGGAATCTATCATTCATCAGGCCTCATCTAATATATCTCTCAAGGTTCTCTCCCAGAACCCACTCCTCATCAGCATTATCTCCACAGTCTCAAGTCTAAGTTCCCAGACTGTTCTCAGCATCCTGCACCACGTTATCAAAGCTCTAATCATAGCCTTTCTCTGGCTAAATAATCCCACTTAGGAATAAAACTTTTGTCTTAGTTGGAAGTTAAGGTCCAAGGTTTTCAGTGTTGCTTTGGGGTCTTTTTCTCAATCTGAACGCAAGCTACTTTCCAGTTTTGGCTCCTGCCCTGAGATCTGGGTGCCATGCTAGCACTCCACCACACCCTCTGCTCATTCTGTCATGCTGCAGCAGTTACTGTTTATTAAGCTTCTGTCCTGTGCCAGGCAGCTTTCTGGGCCCAGGAATACAAAAAATACGAAGAAAGGCTTCCCTACACTCAAGGAATGAGGTGTAGTTGGAGTGACAGTCATTGTAAATGGATAATTGCAAGGTTGTTAGGTAGATGCGAGGTATTTATTTGGGCATGTACAAATTTTAAAGGGAGCAACTAGGCCAAAGCCCCTCACTGTGGCCCCAGTACTTAGGGGAGATTATACTAAGATAGTGATATCTGAGCAATGATTTCAATAAAGAAAAAAGTTCACCAAGCAGACAAGAGGCCAAGAGAAGTTCTAGGCAGAGGGCACAGCACGAACTAAGGCATGGCCACTAAGCAATTTAATATGGAAGTATTTGCAAAAGATGAGTAAGAGCTAAATTGTGATAAAGGAGGATTGCTTGAGCCCAGGAGGTCAGGGCTGCAATGAGCCCTGATTGTGCCACTGCACTCCAGCCTGGATGACAGAGTGAAATTCTGTCTCAAAAAAAAAAAAAAAAAATTCCTTGGCCTCAGTCCAGACTCAGAATCAGAATTTCTGGGGTTGGGGGGAAAGCCTGGTAATTCTGCATTTGTAATCAAACCCCAGGTACTTCTTGTAAAGAAAGCTTTGGAACACTGGTACTCTAAGAGAATAATAGAAAACAAGATCAAAACAAGAAGAAACTGGAGGCAGAAAGAGCAGTTGGAAGACACTTGCTATTGCCCCAGAGATGGCAAAGCTTGAACCAAGGAGACAGCAGTGGGGGAAGGAGGAGGGGCAGCTTCAGGAGGCCTCGAAGAGGCAGACTGTCAGAGGTAGAGCTGCAGACGCCACCCAGGCCTCTAAGGATTCTATCTTGAACACTTTCATAAACATTGGGAATATGAGAGACGGAATAGGTTGCTGGGAAAGATAATGAGCTCAGTTTTGGAACATGTTGACTTTGAAGTGAAATCCATAATGAAGAGCTGACACTTGAACAGGCTGTTCTGGAACTCAGGATAGAGGTCAGGGCTGGAGATAAGGATTTCTGAATCATTTGAATCACCAGTGTATAGGCAAGAGCAGGAAAAGTGAAATTCCCCCAGGAAGCAGGTGGAGTCTGAAGGGCCAAGAATGACATATGGAAGCCTTCAGCACTCCCGCCCCTCCTCATCAACCTTCAGCCTCATCTTTCTCCTCTGTGCCCTTCCCCCAATCTCTTTTTCTACCTCACACAATTTTATCAAAGGCCATCTCCCAGCTGTTACTATCCTAGATGGAATTAACCTCTGCACTGTGCTACGGTATTTCTTTGTACTCCCTTTATCACATCTCCAGTCATTTTAGATTAGGGCTAGTGTTGTCCCATTTTCTTTTTCACCTGTTAGAGGCAGAAGTATGTCCGGATTTCCAGTACCCAGCACAAAGCTGGTGTTTAGTAAATGTTTGTGGTCTTGTGGTGGAGATTTAAGGATTATTCATTCATTTGGACTTATAATCCTAGTGTCTAAAGTAAAAATATCTTTCTTTGATCAGAAAGAGTGTATACTTTATGCAACCTAAAACTTAGGCACTTAATTTTTAAAAACATTTTATTATAATAATTTAAAACCATTATGTAGTAACAGAATAATAATAAACCTCCAAATACCCATCACCCAACTTCAATAATTATCAACGCAGGGTCAATTCTCTTTTATCTTTACTTCCAACTCCATTGCATATTATTTTGAAGCAAATGCCAGAGAACATATCTTATCAGTAAAAGAGAAGAGTTTTTTAAAACCATAATATTATCACACCCCAAAAAAATAACAATAATCTCTTAACATCAATATCGAGTCATTGTTCAAATGACCAATTTTCTCATAAATGCAATTTCTTTTAATTTTAAAAAATTAAGATCCAAATAAGGTCCACATGTTGCAATTCATCAATATGCCTTTTAAATCTCTTTTAATCTATAGGTTTCCCCCTGAACCCCCTTTCTTGCGAATTATTTATTGACGAAATCAGGTCATTTGTTCCGTAGAGTTTCTCATAGTCTAGTTTTTTGCTGCCTTCATTCCCCCAATGTAGTGCAACATGTTCCTCTGTCCTCTCTATTTTCTAAATTGGCATTTGGAACAAGAAACTTGGTAAGATTTGAATTTGCCTTTTTGGCAAGACTTCTTCATGAATGGGTGTATTCTTCCTTCATCCATCAGGAGGTCCGTACTGTTTGGTTGTCTGTATTCTTGTTACGTTAGCAATCACTTCTCCTTAAGGCCTAGATCTATTAGTTCTTTAGAGGCCATAGAAAGGGGACTCTATTACTCCTTTGTTGTTTAGTGGCTGAATTAGTTCTTTAAACAAGAACTTCACCTCATGCACTATTTAGTTACTGGGGCATACAGTTCATATAAGGAAGGCAGAAAAAAATGGTAGAATTTATTTACCGGTTATCAGTTCAATAATGAGTTGCCTCCCAATCATCTTCTAAACATGACCAGTTTTTTGAGCATCATTATGGACTCATAGATTTAAACATATTTGAGATGTTTCAATCTATTGCTGGTATTATCCCTACTGATGTCAAAACTGTGACACCTTTGGCCATTGGGAGCCTCTTTAAGTTGGTTCTGCTGTCCTTTTGAGAATGACCCTGTAGTCCTCAATAGCTTCCTCACTACCTATATGACAAAGTGCTTCAGGGATCCCTTGTTCATTTCCTGCCCTAGACCTTGACTCAGCCATTTCTTCAAGGAGCCTGGCTCTTTGACATGGGAAATGGTATTTCAGGACATCAATCAGGGATTTGGGGGTGCTCTTTGCACCTGGGTTGGCTAGAGACTGACTTTAAATTTTTGAATTTCTCAGACATACTAGTGGCTAAAAGTGCAGGTGCCAGAGGTAGACTGTCTGGGTTTGAATCACCACTCTGCCACATATTATGTATGTGACACGGTGCCAGTTTACCAACTTATCTGTGCTTCAGTTTTTCTCAATTGTGAAAAGAGAATAATAACAGTAGCTAAATATGTAGAATCCTGTAAAGTTTAAATGAAGCGATTCATGTAAAATGCTTAGAATAGGGCCTGGCACATAGGGCTGTGTAAGCATTGACTATTATTATTCTTATTACTAGTCTCTTTCCAGCCTCATCATTGTTGCCTGCTTACACTGTGGGTCAACTGATATGCAACATGGACTTACATTTTATTCATATCTAGTGACATGCTGACTTATTTTAGAGAACTAGTCTAAGTTACATCTGCAACATTTGTCCTACTAATCTGCTACTTTAAATGATGCAATACTTGCACATATTAGAACATTTCCTGTAAAGGAATCCAAATTCAACAAAACAAATGGCATTCATAAGGTCACCAAGCACCAGTGTACTTTCTGCTTTTTATACTTGTCTGGAAAGGGGTAAATTAGCAGAAGCCTGGCTAGGAGTGACCCCACTACGGAGTTAAGGTCTTACTTTGCACTGGGGGCTTGGACAAGCCACATTCGTCTTGTCTTTCCTAGTTGAACACAGGGAGCTATTGGGGTGGCATTCCCCAAGCCCTCCAGATCCCTTTCTAATCAAACTGGTAGAATTACAAGACATATCCCAGATCACATAAATCTTAATGCTGGTTCTGTCTGGAAGCCCATTCATATTATGAAATCTTGATCTATTCAGCCATTTGCCATAATTCTTTCGTCAGGTTCGAGGAGTTAAGATCTCAGCACTGCTGCAACTGAAGACAGTGAAAGGGAAGCAGCAGACCTGTGGGCTGTTTCCTTGGTGGTCCATTAGACCCCAACAAAGCCTCAAGGTACATCTTCTCTAAACCTAAAAACCCTACGGAGCTCTAACAAGAACAGTCTCTAAAGTAGTTAAATCAAAGTTTATTTAAAGCAAAGGCATTTGTTTATCTGCAATTTTATATACTTGCATTACTGACATATAATTGTGCTATCATTGCATCAGCCATGCCAAGTTTTCCACAGCTCACTGGCTAGAAATTCTCAGGATGCACTAGGGTTCATTTGTGCTTAAACAAAAATTTACTTGCTTGTTTTATTCTTTTCTTTCTTTTTTCTCTTGACAGCACTCTTAGCATTTTTTTTTTTTACTCTTACCATTTTATAAAAATAGCTGTCATTAGATTACTTGACACTTAAAACACTTTGGATTAAAATGTAATTTTAATCACATATTTGTCAAGAGGAAAGTGTGAATAAATAATGGTAAATTTATGTAATAGAAACTATTAAGCCACTAAAATTATAAAATGTATTTTGAAATCTTGACATAGAAACATGAGAGAACAAAAACAAGCTCCAAACAGTTTGTATAGTAGGATTATATTTTAGTAAAATAATAATTATTTTACATGTTGGCATATGCATAGAAAAAAATCTGAACAAACAAGTTGTTAATAGGGATTATCTCCAGGGGTGAGATTATCATTGTCTTTTCCTACATATTCCTATAGTTTCTGAATTTCTTATGAATACTTATTACTTTTCCAATCAGAAAATGTTTATTTTTTTGAAAATCAATGTTGTTGTAACTTGTTCAGAAGAGTGAAATAATACATTATCCATTGTAATAATAATTTTAGTGAGATTTCTCATGGTAGCTTCTCAGGAAATTCTATAATACTAATAAGTTTCTGTAAAAATTGAAGTTATTAATACAATAACTGAAGTATTGAAAAACAGTATACTTAGTCTTCTCAGAATCCAAAATGATTTGGTGTATATTTTTATATATATGCAAAACCAAATGGAATTTAAAACTTTGAAATCTTTAGAACAATCAACAAACCACTTTCATTCATTAAGCATGCATTTCTGCTACATAGTCTGTGCCAGGCAATGTGCTAGGTATGCAAGTACCAGCTACACAGAGATGAAAAAGATCAACCCAATTTCTGTCCTCATATGATGGTATGAACCAGCCCTGTGGATATCCTGGAGCATAGGAATTATTAATTAGAAGAACTGCTGCATGTGAATAAACAATAAGCAAATTAATTAATTTTGTATGTTAAAGTGAATTTTTCACTACATAAGAGCTAAGTGACTGGAAAGATTGTATATTTCATCAGCACATTCAAATTTCACAAAATCATCACACACTGTAGGATATATGTTCAAATATATTCACACCTCCAAATCAAATATAAAAGAAAAGGAAAAATAGAGTGAAATCTTATTATTGTTTTCTACTGATATTTCACTTTTAGATGTGACATCTGAAATCTAAGACAAAAAAAGGCTTCTGCTTTTATTTTGAATCATAAAGTTAACAAGTCCATTTTTAAAAATCATGAGCACCAAATTCCTTAAAGATGAGATATTGTTATTTCATAACTTTCCATCCAAATCATGCCTAAATCATTTTTCAGTTCTTTGGAGCAGATGACGATTAAGGGGGAAAGGGAAGGAGGGATCAAAATGTTCACTTAAATGGAATTTAGTTTGTTTTTGTAAGGCTGAAATCCCTTGAAGATGGTATATAAACTACTACTTTAGGCCAGGGGGTAGCAAACCTTTTCTGTGAAGGGCCAGATAGTAAATCTTTTAGGATTTGTGGACCATGGACCATGCTGTCTCTGCCAAAATGGCTCAACTCTGTTGTTTTACGGCAAAACAGCCATAAACTACACATAAACAAAGGGACATAGCTGTGTTTCAATAAAACTTTATTTGTGGACGCTAAAAATTTTAATGTTATATAATTTTCACATGTCATTTTTCTTTTGATTTTTTTTTAATCATTTAAGATGTGAAATTCGTCCTTAGTTGGCAGACCTCACAAGAATCTGGTGGCTGATTGGACTTGACACATGGCCAACTGCCAGTCCCTGCTAATAGGCCAGTGCATGGTGCTTGGGATCTGCTGCTTCTCTTTGGTCCTGGTATTGAAGGGTAGGAGGTAGGAGAGGAGAATCCAAGAGATTTATAAAACAAAACTCTATAGATTTTCTAAAAACAATTTGTAAGACAAAACTCTATTGTTTTTCTAAAGACAATTCAAATCTCTTTATTAATCTAAGAAGTTACTATCGTGGCCGGGTGCGGTGGCTCACGCCTGTAATCCCAGCACTTTGGGAGGCTGAGGCGGGCGGATCACCTGAGGTCGGGAGTTTGAGACCAGCCTGACCAATGTGGAGAAACCCCGTCTCTACTAAAATTACAAAATAAGCCGGGCATGGTGACACATGCCTGTAATCCCAGCTACTAGGGAGGCTGAGGCAGGAGAATCACTTGAACCCGGGAGGCGGAGGTTGCAGTGAGCTGAGATCACACCATTGCACTCCAGCAACAAGGGCAAAACTCCGGAAAAAAAAAAAAAAAAGGAAGTATATTTTTAAAAGTTTATAAAACATTTAAAGAAACAATGAGTTTTAAAAGGATGCACCTGGAGAACATTATGCTGAGTGACATAAACCAGAAACAGAAAGATACTGTATGATCTCACTTACATGTGGAACCTAAAAAAGTCGAACTCAGGGCAGAGAGTAGAATTGTGGTTACCAGAGACTTGGGAAAGGGAAAAATGGGGAGATGATGATTAAAGGGTACAAAGTTTCAGTTATGCAAGATAAATAAGTTCTGGAGACCTATTATATAGCATAGTGCCTATAGCTAACAATACTGTATTGTACACTTAAAATGTGTCCAAGAGGGTAGCTCTTATACTGAGTGTTCTTACCCATACACACACAAAAATTAATAATATTAATAATAAAGGGGCTGGGAGAAAACTTTAGGAGGTGATGAATATATTTATGGTCTTGATGGTAGTGATGGTTTTATGGGTATATACTTATCCTTAAACCCACAGAGCTGTGTACTTTATTTTTTTCCCTCTTTTTCTACGTCTCACAGAAGACTTCTATACAGTTGTATACTTTAAAAATGTGTAGCTTTTTTGTTGTTGTTGAAACGGAGTCTCGCTCTGTTGCCCAGAGTGGAGTGCAGTGGTGCAATCTCGGCTCACTGCAACCTCCACCTCCCGGGTTCAAACGATTCTCCTGCCCCAGTCTCCCAAGTAGCTAGAATTACAGGCTCCCACCACCACACCCGCCTAATTTTTGTATATTTAGCAGAGATGGGGTTTCACCATGTTGGCCAGGCTGGTCTCAAACTCCTGACCTCAGGTGATCCACCAACCTCGGCCTCCCGAAGTGCTGCAATTACAGGAATGAGCCACCGCACCTGGCCTATGTGTAGCTTTTTATATGTAAATTGTACCTCAATAAAGTGTTTTTTGTTCTTTTTATTCACTTATTTATTTTGAGATGGAATCTTGCTCTGTTGCCCAGTCTGGAGTGCAGTGGCACTAGCTGGGCTCACTGCAACCTCCACCTTCTGGGTTCAAGCGATTCTCCTGGGTCAGCCTCCCCAGCAGCTAAGATTACAGACACGCACCACCACACACGGCTAATCTTTTTTGCTTTTTTTTAAGTAGAGACAGGGTTTCACCATGTGGGCCAGGCTGGTCTCAAACTCCTGACCTCAAGTGATCCACCCACCTCGGCCTCCCAAAGCACTGGGATTACAGGCGTGAGCCACCATGCCTGGCTGTTTTTTAAATTTTTGAGACAAGTCTTGCTCTGTTGCCCAGGCTGGAGTGCAGCGTTGCGATCTCAGCTCACTGCAACCTCCGCCTCCTGGGTTCATGATTCTCGTGCTTCAGCCTCCCGAGTATCTGGGACTACAGGCGCATGCCACCACATCTGGCTAATTTTTGTATTCTTAATAGAGACAGGATTTCACCATGTTGACGAAGCTGGTCTCAAACTGATGGCCTCACGTGATCCACCTGCCTCAGCCTCCCAAAGTGCTGGGATTACAGGTGTGAGCCACCGTGCCTGGCCTTGTTTTTATTTTTTAAGGGCAGCTCTGAATGAAGAGACATCCATTCCTTCCTATTTTTCTTGCTGAGCATTGGGAAATAATAATTTTTTTAAAAAAAGAAACTTCCTAGATTAATAATGAGAAGTAGTATCTGTTTATTGTTTTGTTTTAGTTTTTTGTTATATATGTCTTTTGAAACAGAGTCTCATTCTGTCGCCCAGGCTGGAGTGCAGTGGTGCGATCTTGGTTCACTGCAACCTCAACCTCTCGGGCTCAAGCGATCTCCCCACCTCAGCCTCTCAAATAGCTGAGACCACAGGAGCATACCACTACGCCAGGCTAATTTTTATATTTTTTGTAGAGATGAGGTTTTGCCATGTTGCCCGGGCTGGTCTCAAACTCCTGAGCTCAAGCAATCCACTCACCATGTCCTCCCAAAACGCTGGGATTATAGGCGTGAGCCACCTGGCCCTGCTCATTGTTTTCATTAGCATTTCTTTGATTACTACTTATGTGAACTTTTTCACATTTTTAGGCCTTCCATATTTCTTTTTTGTGAATTACTCATTGCCTTCCCCCCTTTTTTTGCTATTGAAGTTTTTTTTTTTTTTTTTTTTGAGACAGAGTCTCACTCTGTCACCCAAGCTGGAGTACAGTGGCACGATCTTGGCTCACTGCAACCTCCACCTCCCAGGTTCAAGCAGTTCTCCTGCCTCAGCCTCCTGAGTAGCTGGGATTACAGGCATTTGCCACCACACCCGGCTAATTTTTGTATTTTTAGTAGAGATGGGTTTTCGCCATGTTGGCCATGCTGGTCTCAAACTCCTGATCTCAAGTGATCTGCCCACTTCAGCTTCCCAAAGTTGTGGGATTACAGGCATGAGCCACCATGCTGGCTGAGATTGTTTTTCTAATTTATTTTACGCAAGCTCTGTATATTGTTACTGACCCTTTATCTATTATTAAGTAATAAATATTTCCCCATTCTCCCTTGCTGTTTTATTTTGTGGAGTGTGTTTATGATAGGTAATCTTATTGTAGTCAAAAGCAATCTTTTCTGCTGAGTGTGGTGGCTCATGCCTAATCCCAGAACTTTGGGAGGGGAAGGAAGCAGGAGAAACACTTGTGACCAGGGATACAAGACCAACCTGGGCAACATAGAGAGACACCCCGCCCCAGACTCCACAAAAAATTTAAAAGTTAGCCAAGTACAGTGGCACATGTCTGTAGTCCTAACTACTCTGGAGGCTGAGGCCAGAGGATCGCTTGCACCCAGGAGTTCGAGGCTACAGTGAGCTATTATCATGCCACTGCAAGCCAGCCTGGGTGACAGGAGGAGACCCCCATCTCTAAAATAAATTTTTTAAGCAATCTTTTATTTTGTATCTTATTTCTTTTCTCTTATGCTTAAAATATACTTCACCTTTTCAAAAGCACATATTCAATTATATGTTCTACTATTTGGGGGGTTGTACTTTTTAATATCATACTGTTGAGATTTGGTATTCGGTTTGTTATATAAGCTAGAGATCCAAAGCCATAATTTTCTAAATAGCTCACCTATTTTCCTGTGTTCAAATCCTTCCTCATCTGTAGTCCCAGCTCAGACGCACATATTCCACTTGGGTGACAGCTCACCCTACCCTGAATTTCTTGCCCTCCTCCTCTTCTTCCTCCCCCATAGCTTTTCCTTCTTTCTCATAATATAATCATCTGTGCATATATCTTCTATTGCATCACACTGTACACTCCTTGAGAGCTGGGACTGAGTTTGTTATCTTTGTGTCTCCCAAAGCCCTCATCCAGGGCCTCACACAGTTGTGAGAGGAAAGGATAAGTGATAATGACAAATTTCTAGATACATTTTGTTGCAAGTTTCATGTAATATTTATTAAACTTTTTTTTTTAAATGGAGTTTTGCTGTTGTTGCCCAGGCTGGAGTGCAGTGGCGTGATCTCGGCTCACTGCAACCTCTGCTTCCTGGGTTCAAGTGATTCTCCTGCCTCAGCCTCCTGAGTAGCTGGGATTACAGGCGTGCACCACCATGCCCGGCTAATTTTTGTATTTTTAGTAGAGATGGGGTTTCACCATGTTGGCTAGGCTGGTCTCGAACACCTGACCCCAGGTGATCCACCGGCCTAGGCCTCCCAAAGTGTTGGGATTACAGGCGTGAGCCACCATGCCCCGTCTTATTGAACATTTTAACAAATATTTATTTTTGTAAGCCTAAAAGTGATTCTTTGAATGTTTAAAGAAAGTGAACCAAAAGACAGTACACAAACACTAGCACCTGAATGCTGAATATCACCGTAAGTGTAAAATCATATATTTTAGAGTAGTGTGAGCTTTTAATGTTAAGTCATATTAAACTCTTAAATTAAGCAGACCCAGCATTGGCAGTGTAGCTGTAACTTTCTGATGTTAATAAAAACAAAATTGGTGACTCAAAATTAAATCATGCCAAGGTTTTGATACATTTGTCTTAAGATATTAATGAAACACTTCAAAACACTGATATGAAGTGCCCAGATTCTCAGATGTTTGTTGAGTGAGTTTTGTTTAGTTGCGTGTATTTTTTTTTTTCAGTGAATGTCTGGCACATTGCAATAATCAAACATGTGCTTATTTTTCTTGTATTGGCATAATCAGTGACTTGTACATTCAGTGATAGCATTTAAGCAAGTTTTATCAGCAAGCAATATTTTCAGTTCATAAATAAGTTTTAAAAAATCTTGTAAGGATTTAAATTTGCTGAATGTAAAGACTGAACCTCAAAAAAAAAAAAAAAAAAAAGGAAAGAAAGAAAGGGTGAGTGATGGCTACTCTAGGCCCTACTTTCTTGCCCTTGCTCATTCTCACAGGGGAAGGCAGAACAAACCTCACAGCCAGTATGAGACTGCCTGGCTGGTACATCTGGGGGGGTTTTGTGGTGGCTAGGAATCCAAAGAAGCTCTTATTTGAACAACAAGGCTGGTATTTATAGAATAAGTTCAGGCACTTCAGGCTAAGCAGACACAAAAGTGAGCAGAGATGGTAGTCAGGCTCTGGGTAGATAAAGGGTGCCCTGGGCATCCAGAGGCCCAGTATCTATGAACATCAGGAATGTCTGTGCCACTCCCCAGACAAACAGAGATCCCAACTCAGGATTTCTCACCCTTGGTCAACTATAATTACAAAAACAGAGATTGTGAATAGTTCTGCATGACTCTGGAAAGCCTGTATGTGGTATAGATAAATATACACTAGATTCTGTACAACCTCATCATGCCTTTAGCTACATAGAGACTGGACTTTAAAACACACGTTTCCCATCCTGTTAAATTCGGTCCTTTTTTTTTTTGAGATGGAGTCTTGCTCTGTATATAGCCCAGGCTGGAGTGCAGTGGCACATCTCAGCTCACTGCAACCTCTGCCTCCTGGGTTCAAGTGATTCTCCTGCCTCAGCCTCTCAACTAGCTGGGATTACAGGCGATGCCACAATTCCCAGCTAATTTTTGTGTTTTTAGTAGACATGGGGTTTTCCCATGTTGGCCAGGCTGGTCTCGAACCCCTGACTTCAGGTGATCCACCTGCCTCGGCCTCCCAAAGTGCTGTGATTACAGGCGTGAGCCAACCCACCCAGCCCAGTTCTTTATGTATATAGATATATGGACAGCTATAGGGAAATGTGATTAAGCATTTTTTTAAAAATTGCCCATTTCAGTAGTAATCCCCAAATTCTAAGCTAGAGAGCATTTAGTTACTTGAGTGCTCATCTCTTGCCAGGCAGGAGAGGGAGAAGGGTGAAGGGGCTCCAGCATCGGGGATGGGCCTGGAATTCCACTCAGGGTGAATGATAATATTGAGAACTGAGGGTTTAGTAGGTTCAGAATCCCTTGCTAGCCATACTGAATAGGGTTTGTTTTTCTTACAGAATTTTGAGAAGAACCAGTAAGAGCAGCTCTAGTGGAGGGATGGGGGAAGAGGGGTAATAAAAGCAGATTACACTGGATTTGGAAATAAGAAGCCACAGGGCCATGCCCCTATCCTTACCCACCTCTCCTCTCTTATTACTTTGATTCCCATAAAGAAATAAATATTTAGGTTGGCACAAAAGTAATTGCGGTTTTTGCCTTTACTTTTAATTAAAAACATTAATGGCAAAAACCGCAATTACTTTTGCACCAGCCTAATCATAGGCCAATTTCTATGACTAAAATCCCAAAAAATAGTAAGACTAAGAATCTACAGGAGCTCTTCACAGCCATATTCCTCACAGAATAATTCCAGGAGCTCTGTGCTAAACACATCCCTAAGGAAACTCTGTGCAAAGAGAAGATCAAGGCCAGCAGCTTTTTCAGGTCTGCAGCGTTTCCAAGTGACAGCAGGCTCAGCTGGACACGTCTCCAAGTACAATTTCTAAATTATGAGAAGTGGGATTGTTTTAAATCGATACATCGAACCTTTAAACACACACACTTTTGAAACGTTTCAGCCACAGCTGTTAAAAGATTGATAAATTTTAAGTTCCTGAAATACTGAAATGAAAAAAACAGTTATATATTAGAAGAGTGCTAAATTCCTTTAAAAATAAAAATGCACTAAAGGTTTAAGAGCACAGCCATAATTTTTAGAACCCAGCAAGTGGATGCCTGCATGGGACAAAGTCACTGAACAGCCTGAGCCCTTCAATAATTAATAGATGCAAAGTTAAAGAAATGTCAATGCTGATAATAAATTGCTCAGGGTGACTCAAATGCAGCTGCTTCTCTGCTGATCACTTCTGGTATTAACTGTGCTTACAAAAGCAAATACCTCATACTCCTTCCACTCTATAGAAAAACCAACAGGTACAGTATCACGTAGCTAGGTAGGCCTTGAATAGAAAAAAGGGTAACTCAGCTTTGACAAGGACATTTATCTCTGGAATTTCTGTCCTCTGAAAATATTTGTTACTGATACTCACTTGCTATGCCCCAATTCCCTGATTCTGCTAAAACACCTTTTAGAAAAGGAAGCACTGGAGCAGGGTGTTTACTTTGTTGATGCTCTGGAGCAAGGGGGTGTTACTGTATATGTTCCATGTTAGGGGTTTGTCCAAGAAAAAGGAGCAGATGGCTAGTGACTCAGAGCATATGTTGACCCGAGTGCCCTTTGGCAAACAGGAGCTCCAGGCAGAGAGTAAATATGCCCTAAATATTTGAAAAAGGGAATCACTCAGCCAAGAAAAGAGGAGTCTGAGGGAGCACCCTAAAACAATCTTAGCCTTGTAGAGGGATATTATTTATTCCCTGGGGAGAAAACTGTTTCTCTCTTCCAAAAAAGAGTGGACATTGAATTTATATTCAGAAGTGGTAAGAAAAATAAGGGAAGGATGATAAATAGTGAAAGGAACAAAAGAAATTCTGGAATCTCAGGGCTGGGCGTGGTGGTTCACACCTATAATCCCAGCATTGTGGGAAGTCGAGACTGGTGGATAGCTTGAGCCCAGGAGTTCGAGACCAGCCTGGGCAACATGGTGAAACCCCATCTCTACCCAAAAAATACAAAAATTAGCCAGGTATGGTGGCCTATGTCTGTAGTCCCAGCTACGTGTGAGGCTGAGGTGGGAGGATTGCTTGAGCCTGGGAGGCAGAGGTTGCAGTGAGCCGAGTTTCTGCCACTGCATTCCAGCCTAGGTGACAGAGGGAGACCCTGTCTCAAAAAAAAAAAAAAAAAAAAATTCTGGAATCTCGTGCCTCTCATCAATAGAAAGCAGCTGTAAAAGAAGCAGAGGCATAGCCCAAATGGCCCCTGAGTACCCCTTCTCACCTTCCATTTCCTTAGAATGGTAGATATTTGCCCAAGGTTACAATAATATCAAAACAAACAGAACAATCAGGAATACCCTATGACATATCACAGCCAATAAAGGCTCAAAAAATTCTTGCTGATGAAGAAAACAAATGTTCCCAAACAGCATTTCCTGGTTACTTATCAATAATGCAGACCAATGTCAATCTATCTGAGGGCGCATATACGTCCATTTGGATCCTTTAAAAAAAACTGTCTCATTCTTTAAATAAATGTCAAGGGTGTTTACTCCAGAAATAAAATAGAAAGCCAACCTCAAATCAGGAAAAATACAGATTAAAAATATATCTACGCCAGGCCAGGCACGGTAGCTCATGCCTATAATCCCAGCACTTTGGGAGGCCAAGGCAGGCAGGTCGCCTGAGATCGGGAGTTCAAGACCAGCCTGGTCAACATGGCAAAACCCTGTCTCTACTAAAAATACAAAAATTAGCTGGGCGTGGTGGCACATGCCTGTAATCCCAGCTACTTGGGAAGCTGAGGCAGGAGAATTGCTTGAACCCAGGAGGTGGAGGTTGCAGTGAGCCGAGATCGTACCACGGTACTCCAGCCGGGGCAACTGAGTAAGACTGTGTCTCAAAATAACAATAATAATAATAATAATGTATCTCCGCATGGGGGATAAGGTCTGAAAAAAAGAAAAGAATAAAAACAAAATAAAAACAAATTGTCTTTATTTTTACTTGCTTGCTTGCTAACCTTGGGAAATTTGCTAGCTGCAAAGTTGCTTTTTATTTTCCAATAATTCTTGAGGGATCACTGGAATACTTGCATGAAAAAAAAAAATTCACTTTAACCTCACTCTTCCGAGATTTTAAAAACAGAGCAAGCACAGAGATAACAAAGAAACCTTTTTCAGAGGCACCCTCAAATCTTAGGCCCAAATAGATGGTGGTATCAACAGAAACAACGAAATATCCATAGCAACTGTGGAAAGCAGATTCTCATCCCATAGTGAGATAATAAATAAAGTCACTGCCTTTTGTGACACCTTACTCAACCTCAGACAGAAATAAATGTTCCTCACTCCTGTTCGCATAAATCCACCTAGCTAGTGTTTGTGGGAGCAGAGGGAGGATTGTTCCCCAATCCAGGCCCACGAAAGTGGCTTTGCCTTCCACAGCACCTCCCACCCTCTGCTGGGAGTCACAGACCTCTCCTAAGGACCCACTCAGGAGGGTGTTTGGGGCTGTTTAGGAGGAGGGGTCTCCACTGGCTAGTTTGGAGGAAATTCAACGAAATCGAAGCCCAACTGTAGGGGCCATGTACAGAGTAAGTGTTGAAAAAACGTTAATGTCCACCCTTCCTTTATCCAGACACATTGAACAGATATTCACTGAAATGTCCTTAAAAAATCTACCTCACCCCATGTCTATCCATCTTCCCGAATGCTGCCTGCCTCCTGCCTTGTGACCAGCTCTGCCGGCAGACCCTGCAGTATGACTCAGCGTGTTGAAATCCGCCTCTGTGGGCACGCACTGCTCTCAAAACTGCTTCAACCACCAGAAGCAGTTAATTGCAATGAGTCTCTGGGGATCCTGCTCCAATGGCGACACTCAAGAGGAAGCAACCACCTAGGCAATACCTTCCTATTAAATGCTACCAAACTCCAGAAAGAGCGTGCCTTGGCTTTGTGAGGAGCTCAGAGGCTCTGAGAGGCCCCCTGTGGGGGAGCGTGTTCAGGACTATATGAGGCCTACCTTCCCAGCTCACCTGCACTGGGCTGAGATGATGGTGGTGACAATGACAAATAATACTAAGAAGAAAGGTACCACTGACTGAACACTTATCATTTGCTAAGCACTTGGCATATGTTGCCTCATCTACCCCCGGACAGCAACCCCGTAAAATCCTCATTTTACAGGTGAGGAAACCAGAGGTCACAGAGCCAAAGTCAAGTGGTGATTAAGCAAGGCTTGAGCCCAGACTGTGGGGTTAGGGGTCTAGGCTCCCAACCACGTCAACACTACTGGCTTTAGAGCAGCTGCACTTTCCACACTAGTATTGTTCTAAATCTAAGCACGGCCAGAGGAAAGAATAGGAAGCTCCACACTGACCTCTAAGCTTTTTATAGAGAAGCATCTCCCCAGACACAGCCCCTCCAGCGAGCCTGGAGCCGGGCTGCCTCAGCTGTGTCTGCAGCAGTCCTCAGAGGCCCTGCTGGAACCTGACCCTGAAGCTCCCAGCATCCACGCTGCCGCTGGCTCCCAGCCCCGCCTTGCGGCTCGAGCATAGCCATGAACAGCTCTGATGAATTATCTACCAGAGGAGAACTCCAATTGTATCATCAAAAGAGAGTTGGGGATTATCTGTTATTTTCATTGTCCTTGCCACTTCAGCCGCTATTTATTCAGAGCTGCTCATGGCTCTGGCTTCCTTGTTTTATTTCTTCTGCCAACCCCCAGCTGGAGTTTCTGGAGCAACCAAATAGCTAAAAACAAAAAGAGGAAGCAGCAACAGTCTGACATTTACAAAGATGGAAAAATTGCTCTCTAGACACATGACAACAAACTGTAGAAAGAAAAATTGTGGCAAGATCAACGTGAGCAACTGGGAGCTCAGTGGATGGTCCATAGATAGAAGGCCCTGGCCACACTGTGATTCCAGGGCCCCAAAAACCACCAGCACTGGTGTGAGAAGGAGGAAGACCGTGACCTGACATTAAGAGAAAGGCTATGTCCTGTGCTGTTGCTAGAAAAATAAAAAGGCCACCACCAAAAGAAGCCCTCTCCTTTCTTCTGCGAGGAGGGTAAGCAGTGCAGTCCAAGGCTTCCTGGGGTGGGAAAAGGTGTATTCTCTTCTTTATGTGTGGAAGCCTTGCTTACCTGTAGAAGAGGATCCCTCAGGACTTCAGAACTGTGGTTTCTACAGACTGGGGCATGTTCAGGTCAATGTGGAACTGAATTCAAGCCTTATCAATACTCACAAACAACAGAGGAGGATCTCAGGTGAGACTATGACTACCTCCCACTCATTTAGCATCCCTGGCTACTCTGTCCTCTTTTGGAAAGCTTCTGTCTGTCTCTCTGAAGTGGGTAAAAGAGACAAGGGTGGTGGTGGTAGTTGCTCTGGGGGAGAAGTTGCTGCAGTAGCCCTTGTTTCAATTGAACAATATTATGGATTTCCGTCCAGCAAGTGACCTCTCACTCCGGACCTGTAGGGTCCATGCAGTCCAGTGTAAGTAAATTGGCTCTATCAGCCTGGTTTCACAACCCACATCATCCCAACTCTACCCTACCCAAGAGTTGCTAGAAGCACCTATTACTCCTGTAGAAGGTGAGGGAGAGGTGACCCCCAGTCCAAAGTGACTGGAGACCATGACTGACTGACCAGCCCAGAATCAGAAGGCTAAGGAACCACCTGTCTAATAGTCTGGTGCCAAACACAGGCCCTTCACTGCTCTTGGGAATGTTCTCGGCCATCCCTTCCTGGCCAAAAACAGAATATCAACTGCTTCTGAACCTGGGTCCTAGGCAACTAAACTGGGCTGTGAAAGAAACATCTATGCTGAGCCTATTGCTCCCTGAAATGGCCTCACAAATTTGCTTTGGAAACCATGAATTTTTCAAAACTTGATTTTCTTTGTACTTGTTGAAAGTTTTGTTTTCATCTTAAAATGCTAAATATACAATTTATCGGAAAATATAGCTAGATTTATATTTTTCCAGTCAGCAGTTTGGAATCGTCTGTCTTTACATTAGTCTATAATAAGACAGGCACACTTAGAATATTTTATGATGTCACTTTTTCATTCTGGGACTTGGTGCACCATTTGCACCAAGTGTTGGTTTGTTCCACCTCTCTCTTTTGTGAATTAGTCTGCAGCTCCACTTTGCAGTTTGAAATGTGAGTCAGCAAAGGAGAAACTCACTTCTCTATGAAGGGGATGGAGCTGGAAAGGAACAAGGAGGCTCCAAAGTCCAGGTCATGTTTGATGTCTCCTGATTAACTCCAGGCCGGGCGTGGTGGCTCACACTTGTAATCCCATCACTTTAGGAGGCCGAGGCAGGTGGATTACTTGAGGTCAGGAGTTCGAGACCAGCCTGGCTGACATGGTGAAACCCCGTCGCTACTAAAAATACAAAAATTAGATGAGCGTGGTGACGCACGCCTGTAATCCCAGCTACTTGGGAGGCTGAGGCAGGAGAATTGCTTGAACCCAGGAGGTGGAGGTTGCAGTGAGCCAAGATTGCGGCACTGCACTCCAGGCTGGGTGATACAGTGAGACTCTGTCTCTAAATAAATAAACAAGTAAATAAGTAACTCCAGAGAACCACAGAAAGTTAGTACACCTGTTCTCCAGACTGCCTTTAAAAAGGCACGTTCCTCCTCTGAAGCTTCCCTGGGTGCAAATGCTCACGGGTGGCAATAGCGTGAAGAATAGCCACCCCCATTCATCTCCCCTTGTCAGTCCCAGGTTCACTAGAGGGTGCATCAGCTTAAAGATGCCTTACGAGATAGAGGTATTTATTAACTGTTACCACCATTGATGCCACACCAGCACATGCATGTGGGCTGACAGGTTTCATGTACTTGGGATACAGAAGCCACAGCTAGGAGAGAATATAAAAACTTCTCCCTTCAGACAATTTGATTTTCCAAATCATATTCTTGGTATATGGGTTAAATTATGCATATTAGCTTTTTGTGGTTTATATAACTAGTTACTACAAATTAGTGGCTTAAAACAACACACATTTATTATCTTATCAGCTCTGTAGGTCAGAAGTCTGACATGAATCTTACTAGGCTAAAATCAAGATGTCAGAAGGTCTGTATTCCTTTCTACAAGCACTAGAGGACAATCTGTTTCTATGCCTTTTCTGGCTTCTAAAAGCTCCCACATTCCTTGACTCCTGGTCCCCTTCCTTCATCTTCAAAGCCAGCAATAGCTGGTTGAGTCTTTCTCACATTACATCACTATGAAACTGACTCTCCTGCTTCTCTCATTCTCTTATAAGAACTTCCGTGATTACACTGGGCCCATCTATATATATAGGTAACAGGGATTAGGATGTGGACATCTATGGAGAGGAGGCACGATTTTGCCCACCACACTGTAGAAGATTTCTAGAAATCTGAGAATAAAGAGATAACATCCTTATCACAAAATCATGAGAAACGAAGGCTGGGGTCCACCCCCGTCTTAAGCTACTAATGCTACTGCCCAAGAAAGCAGTCTGCTCCCAATAGCCCCTCAGTAGTCTATTCCGGGGCACTATGTTTTTGTCATCAATAGAAGAAAAGCATTCTGTCTAGCTCATCCTTTCTGTACATTGCTTCTCCTCTTACCACATATGGGCAGGGAAATCTAGCAACTTGTATATCTGGCTCAAAGTTAAAGTCACCAGTGTGCTGCTATGAAACTACTACCTCCTCCCCACAGTTCCTTTATGCCATCCTCTTATGACCATTTTTTAACCCTTGAAACATTTTGATGACTCAGTGCTGCAGAATCCCAGCTCAGTGTGATTCAAGGCTTCAGGGTAAGCTAGTAAGCTAGTGCTTTGTAAAGTGACAGCAAAGACCCTCTGGGTGCATTCAACATGGCTACTGTTGTGGCCATTAGCTTCCATTGTGAGAGACAACCCCAAAAGAGGATCATATAACAAGGAGATGGGGACTAGTCTTTTTTTTTTTTTTTTTTTTTGAGATTGGGTCTCACTTTGTTGCCCAGGCTGGTCTCAAACTCCTGGCCTCAAGCTATCCTCCCGCCTGGCCTCCCAAAGTGCTAGGATTATAGGCATGAGTCACTGCCGGGGCCTCATTTCTAATTGTTTCATCAGGCTGATCCTGGACCAGCAGCTGATAAGACTCTGGCTGTGCTAGAAGCCATGTAAGAGGTTTGAAACAGATAATGGGAGAAACATATCAAGAATATCAGAGCCTTGACTTCAAATGATGATAAAAATAGATATACAACACAGTGGTTAAGAGTGTTAAAATGCCTCCACACCACATATTAGCCATGGGATCCTGGGTAAGTTTCTTAACCTCTCTGAGCCTCAGTTTCCTCGTCTGAAATTCAGGATAACAATAGAATCAATTATATAGGATTCCAGTAGCTGATACATTGGAAGCATTCACTGTTAGCTAGAATTATTAGGCAGATGCTAAGCACTTTACGAGCATTTCTTAATTAATCATCAAAATAGCCCCATGAGGTATGTACTATTATTATAATCTCCATTCTAAGATGAGGATGAACTTATAGTCACACAGCTAATGAGTGGCAGAGGCAGGACCAGAATTCAGGTTGGTCTGACTTAAAAGACCATGCCCTTAACCTCTGTGGGGAGCAAGATTCTAGGGGAAAAGACTGGTCAATAACTGCAACTTAGATGTCTCATCTCTTCGACACTTCCCAGAACTCTCCTTTATGCATAGCTGTTTCTTTTTCTTTCTTTTTTTCCTTTTTTTTTTTTTTTTGAGATGGAGTCTTGCTCTGTCACCCAGGCTGGAGTGCAGTGGTGCAATCTTGGCTGTCTGCAACCTCCACCTCCTGGGTTCAAGCAATTCTCCTGCTGCAGCCTCCCAAGTAGCTGGGGCTACATGTGTTCGCCACCATGCCTGGCTGATTTTTGTATTTTTAGCAGAGATGGGGTTTCATCATGTTGATCAGGCCAGTCTTGAACTCCTGACCCCAAGTGATCCACCTGCCTTGGCCTCCCAAAGTGCCGGGATTACAGGTGTGAGCCACCGCACCCGGCCAGATAGCTGTTTCTTACGTGATGGATCAGAAAACTTCAATGAAAAAAGCATAAAGACAGACATGTGAGACCTTGAAATAGCCCTGGGTCATCTTGGACCTGATCCAATGTCACACACTGGTTGAATATTGGGTTTCGAGGCTCCTGAAAGCTCATGCCTTCGAGCATTCCCTTCAATGAGCAGCCTCTTCCTGAAGGGCCTCCTAACCATCACCTCAAGCTCATCCTGGAACAGAGAAGACACAGCTAGAGCCCTGGAGCAGCAAGTCCCAATCCTGACTCGGCAGCATCCCAGGGAATAACACCTGGCTCAAGGAGCACAGTGAAATCCTCATTAATCAAATTAATTTTAACTTGCTGTAATTTTAAAGGAGAATCTATGCTTTTCTGAGGGGTTGCTATGGATCTAAACAATGAGAGGGCGTGGCAGCTCTGGAAAGGGCAACAATTGCTGTGTTAAAAGCTTCATGAAATCTCACAGACAAAATATGCAAAAGAAACCAGACACAAAGAAGTATGCACTTCATTATTTCATTTAGATAAAGGTCAAGAATAGGCAAACTACTCTGTGCTATGCAGGGATGCAATCTTTGATGGTAAAAATATAAAAAAAGAAAAAGGCACAGAAGCCAGGAGAGTGATTACCTTTGGGGTAGGGAAGGGAGTTGGAATTCCACTAGGCAAGGGTCTCCTGGGGTGCTGGCAATGTTCCATTTCTTAACATGGGTGGAAATGACATAGGGTTCCTTTTATTACAATTCATTTGGTTTTATAAGATTCCCTTTATATAATGCATCTATGCAGTTTTCTGTGTGTTATATTTCATAATAACAAAGGTTGGTTTGTTTGGGATTTTCTGTTTTGTCTCACTAAGGAAATTTGTAGCAACCCCACCCCTGAGAAGACTGAATTTCTAACAAGCTTCTAAATGTTGCTGATGCTGCCACACTTTGGATAGCACCGATCTAGTCTACTCTCAAAATTTTGCCCCATCTTTTAAAAGACACCCAGGGCTGGGCATGGTAGCTTATGCCTGTAATCCCAGCACTTTGGGAGGTCAAGGTGAAGGATTGCTTGAGCCCAGGAGCTCAAGAACAGCCTGAGCAACATACTGGGACCTTGCCTCTACAAATATTTTAAAAATTAGCCAGGAGAAGTGGTGTGCCCCTGTAATTCCAGCTACTTGGGAGGCTGAGTTGGGAGGATCGCTGGAGCTCAAGAGGTCAAGGCTGCAGCGAGCTGTGTTCACACCATTTCACTACACCCTGGGCAATGGAGCAAGACCCTGTCTCAAAAAAAAAAGACACCCAGGAAGAAGTTTCACATGATAAAGGGTATAGAATATGGTCCTCTGCTTCTAGTGGACAGACTATTGAATCTAGTTCACGATTCTTTTGTAAAACAATCCTCCCTGCCCCCCAAAACACACTCACACACATGCACAAACTCCCTCTCAACTTTATCAATTATCTGTGTCAAGTTGAATCTTCACCAAACCAGGAGTTAAGTCTAGTGGATTCTGAAGCCATGCAACCAGCCATCAGTGCAGAGGGAAAAGGACAGAAAGGCCCTAGCTCATGGAACCCTGAAAAGAGACTGCTCTCTAATGCAGATGAGGACGCAACCGTTCTGTTCCCTGCTGTTCTGATTGCTATCAGGCTTCAACCATCAGATATGGGTCCCTGACAATTTATCAGGAAGCAAGCAGCCTGCCTTTTCTCCTGTCTAAATTCTGCATTCTATTTCCTTGTATTCTACACAAAATGCAAAACAGCAGCTAAAAATAGAAGCTGAGGTGCTAGTGAGGCTGATTTGTGTGTGAAGAAGGCAGAGAGATATCGGGGGAAGAATTCAGAGGAGAGCTGCCTGGGGCCCCTTCCTGAGCTGTCACAGACAGCAGCCTGGAAAAGAAATACAAGGGAAGGAGACAGAGGTGGGAGGCTGGATGGACTGCCCAATTATTACACCTGCAGAGAATCCTTGCGGGTTTTTTGGGCTCCCTAAAAGCGCCCTGACCTATTTTTTGAAACGTTTTTTTCCTTATTCGTCAAAATACATTCTCAGTGAATTGCAGTCAAGTTTCCTGCAATTACTCAATCTAAAGTTTTGTTTTCTACACTGGGAGCTATAGTCTATGCCTCTACGTATAATGGTAATATACTCAACAGTACCAGGCTGACGATGGATAGGGTGAATTTCTTAAAGTGGCAGGGAAGCTGCAGTTTTAAATGAATCCACCTGAAAAGCTTTGAACAAAGCCTTGAGTCTATTTAAGAACAGAGAGCTCGTGTGATAGCTGGCTGGCTTCATCCCTTAGATAGGGGACACAGACTTATTGGATGCAAGTATAAAAGCCTTATAGTAGAAGTAAATTTCATAATGCCTTGGATTTATAGAGCACTTTTCTTCATAGAACTTGTATTCTCTGGGCAGAGTGACCAGCCCAACTTGGAATCTCGCTTAGCCATAGTGAAAATGATGAAAGTATTACAGGGGGCAAAAAAGCAAAAGATCAGGGAGAGAAGTCAATAGTTCCCCAGGGATCTCCCAGGGCAACCTTGCTCCCAGACTGCTGGAGCACCACTAGGATCTAGGGCATGTGGTTTCCACAACCACCTCCTCCTCCCTCATGTCATAGGGCTGTTGAGAAAACGGGATTAGCTACATGGCCAACCCATAATTATGCAGGGGTGGAGGAGTCAGACCATTGACCAGCTGGCTTCTCATTTCTCCTTCTCTCAGCTGCTCACCAGCCTCAGATGCAGGAGGGTGAAGATGGGATTCCCAGAACACCTCTCCATTTGCTCCCATGAACTGGAAAAAAGCGCAGTCATTGCAAGTGACTGTAAAATGCAAACCCATGCCTCGCTGTGGGCTGCGTGAGGCCCAGACTGGCCCACGGCACTGAGAGGTGGGGTGGGTGAATGATTCCCATGCCCACTCTGGACACCCAGGCCTTGCCTTGGCAGAACCTAAGGAGGGGCTGAACAGCACAGCCGCATCTCTGAAGAAAGCAACCCTGTGTCACCCCAGGCAGATGCTGAGGCCGAAGGAAGCAAAGGTTCTTAGAAGGAAAGCAATGCTTCCTGCCCCCCTCACTTTAGCTCTCCGAAGCCACTTTTCCCAGCAGGTTTCCCCCTATCTCCAGCTCACCAGGGTGGGCACAGACAGAAGGAAACTCCTGGCTGGGCACCCTGGCAGGCTCAGGGAAACTAGAGCCCAGGCTTGGGCCCTGCCTTGCCAACCTTCCTCCGGCCCAGGCTTTACAACGGGCCCTTCCTCCAAGCTGGGGCTGGCCCCCAAACCTCTCACTGTCCCTCCATTCTGCTTGTCCCCTTTCAACTGCTCAGCAGTCAGAAGACGAGCAGGAGATCTTTAACAACTTGAACCTGACCAAATTAAGTTTGAGATGGTTTAAATAAATGTCCAAATGAGTTTTCTACATTTCTATGCTTTCTCTAACTCCCATTCTCAAGCAAGTGAAAAAATGTCTCTGAGTGAAGCCCTCAAGCTCTGACTGAGAATATAATGTTGTTATTATTAGAGCAACGGGGAAGGAGACATGCCATCTCCAGGCAGGGCTCGGGCGGGCTGTGTGGGAGGCGACTGTCAGCAGCTGTTGGGTGGAAAGCTTATTTATTGTCAGCAGCCTGGCTCAGAGATTAAGAAAAGCTCGGGTCTCCGGCTTACACACACATAGCTGCAGGCAGCAGCTGCTCCAGACATGGCATTCAACCACAGGGGTCCCCAGGGTCTCCTTTCAGGGTTAACTTGACCAATAAGGAAACCCTGGTGGCCACCAGGACAGCTGGAAAAATTCCCATGGGGCCACAGAACCAAATACCCCCAATAAAAATGTTCAGCATCCAATGCCTTCGCCAGACTAAACCCAAGAACCCAGAATCAGCCTTGAATCCCACACAACAGCAACAGCTCTATGTCCTGAGACTGTTTTCCAGTCATTCACCAAATACTTATTGTGCAGTGTCTGACAGACACCATACATGGGACTGGAAATAGACCAATGAATGAGACAGTCAGTCCCGATCCCTGCTCTCAGGGAGCTCACAGTCTGGTAAAAATTACCTGCAGTTAAACTGGTAAAAAATCTTGTGTTGAGTATTATGATAGAGGAAGCTCAGGGAGCTATGAGTACAACATCAGGAAAAATCTAACTGACCACAAGGAATTGCCCTGGTAAGAAAACCATCACTAAGAGATACTGTGAAGTTTGGGATTAGGGTCTCAAGAGACGTCAGCCCAAGACCATTACCACTATTTCTCCTTCTTCAGCTAATTAAACTTTTAGCTAATATCTACCCATTTGATTCATGTTCTGTTTATTACCAGTCTGTTGAACAGAAGGCTCTGGGAAAAGATAATTATAATCATAGAGCATCTATCAAAGTATCCAGAATTTTCTGGGAAGCATGACAGATCCTTTTATCCACTGAGGTCATTATTATTATCATGCTATTGTCATCGACCATTATTCTTACTCTTCCTCTGATGATGACAATTACCAGGGAAGGAGGAAGGAAAATGGGATTTGAGTGAGGTACCAAGGGGACTTAAACTTGAACAGTAATGTTTTCTTTTTTATAAAATAACCTGAAATAAATATGCCAAAATGTAAATATTTATTCATTCAGGGTACCGAGAACATGAGTGCTTGTCATGTCATGTTACTCACTGTACTTTTCTATATTTAACTTTTTTTCTGAAAACATACAGAAAAACAAAAAGATTGCTAGAGTACATAACAAAATTTTAGCCGTATTTCTGCTAGGTGGGATTTCCTATTTTTACTTATCTGTATTTTCTTTTTTCTTTTTTTTTCTTTGAGACAGGGTCTCACTCTGTTGCCCAGGCTGGAGTGCAGTGGTGTAATCTTGGCTCACTGCAGCCTCAACCTCCTGGACTCAAGCGATCCTCCCACCTCAGCCCCACAGGTAGGGGCCCCCTCTAGATAATTTTTGTATTTTTTATAGAGAGAGGATTTTGCCATGTTGCCCAGGCTGGTCTCAAACTCCTGGACTCAAGCAATCCACCTGCCTCGGCCTCCCAAAGTGCTGGGATTATAGGCATGAGCCACTGCACCCGGCCTTGGGTTTCCATTTTTCAGAACATGTTCCTGATTTTTACAGGTTCCCCGACTTAGAGTGCTTTCCGGCTTACAACACCAAGAAGTCATTACTTCCCCACCAAGGTTTGCACACATGGCCCTGACCAGAGCTGGCTCCATGGGCCTGCAACCTGTGTAGTCATTTGCACAAGCCCAAGGCTCCAAAAGAACCCCATAGTTGGTTTAATGTCCTGTGGCTATTGTCTGAAATTCTTAATAATTTTATCTTTGAACTTGTGTTTTGTAAGTGACGTCTGATGAGACGATGGAGCAGGCATGTGAGCAGGAAGATAAGCTGGCAGCAGTCCATGCACACATGGGTCAGTCCTATGGGCACAAGCAGGCAGTGTGCTGGGCAGCACCCAGAAACAGAGCTGAGCCCAGATTAGTGACAGTGGTGGTGGGGACAGCAGAAGCTGAGGTGGCAATAGTGGCCACAGCCCCAGAAGAGGTAGAAACTCCACATGGAAGCACAAGGACAGAGATGGGAGACCTGCACACACACCCATCCCCAGAGCCTGTCCCTGCACCATCTGCACAAATAATAACTCTCCAGCCAGAGCCCTGGGACAGGAACTGCCAGTGCTCAAGCAGTAAACCTGGTTGTTAAATTAGTTAATACCACAAAATACAAATGTACACATGGACATTGCAATAAAGCATATCAATCAGAGTTATTAGAATTCTCCAAAGAGTTTGGAATCTCTAGTTTTAAAATTATTACAGCACTGCAAATCCAATATCCACAGACTTAGAAATAGAAATTAAATTTAGAGACCATTGCATCAGCAGAAAAAGCATCATTTTCTAAGGAATAAGCCAATTATTAACCACAAAGAAAATAAAAAATTAATTTATATAATGGAAGATAAAGCAATAGAATGCATAAATAGGCATTTTTAACTACATATAAATCATGAAACCACTTTTGATTCTTGTATGACCTCAGCAAGTTGCAAAAAATGCCAAAGGAAACATTAAAGTGTCACTCATAAATTTATATTTGAAATTAAATTCATACTTACTTGAAGGCTATCATCAACTCTAAATGTACTAAAATTTATATTTTAAAATAATTTATCAGAAATTTACCCCAATGCTGTCCCAGCCTATAAAATATACTTAAGAGCTCCAGTAACAATTGCATCAGCAGAAAGATTATTCTCAAAATTAAAAACTATCAAAAATTATTTGAGATCTTGTATTTGCCAAAAATGACTGTCACTTTCAATTATATCAATTGAAAATGAAGTTGCTAAAAGTAAAACTTTTGATGACCTCATAAATGAATTTGCAAAAAAGTAAGCCAGAAAAATCTTATGATCAAGATATCACATTGATAATTATCACTTATTATATTATATTATATTATACCATATGACACCAAAAGTGGATTTTTGCATTTGTAAGTTTATATTGTTACTCGTGTAACACTATTATGCCTATTACGTTTATAAGTAACAAGATCTTTTTGAAAGAAAAAGTTTATGTAAAGTACCTTTAATAGCACTTTTCTTTCCTAATTTTTGAATAAGGACTCTGCATTTTCATTTTGCACTGGGCCTTGCAAATTGTGTAGCCAGCCCTAACCAGGACTATTCAGTCACCACCTCCCTTTGTAATGAAGTCCAGCATCTCTCTGTAAGGCAGCTGGTCTTGGGAAGTAAAATGGCCCATTCAGGGATGGACTAAGGACTTTGTATCCTTATTGTACTGGCCCACAGCTGAGCAAAGGCAAAATAATGCAGAAACCAGTCACAGGACTCTTCTCCGTAGACCACAGTGGAACTGCCAGCCCCACACATAGATGCTGCAGCAAGTTTGAGCTGAGAGAATCACCCTAATCCCCTCTCTTTTGTCAGTATCCTTCTCTGATGAACTTCTTCATTCTTTTGGGGACACACCACGGAACAAGACTGAATTCCTGAGGAGGGGGCATAGCATAGGGTGTATTGAGGCCCCAACAACCAGTTTCTCAGTCTTTCCGTCTAGATCCAGTTTGATGGCTCCTGGTTTGTTACCTAGAAGCTCTCACAGGGACACTTAACCAAGGAGGCAAAGTCTCTGATAGATAAAAGCCTTGCAGGCATGTAAGGCTAAATCAAAGGAAAACAAAGAGGTGGCCTTCAAACCAAGAGCCAAATCAGAAAGGCAATCCCATTCACAATTGCCACAAAAAGAATAAAATACCTAGGAATACAGCTAACCAGGGAGGTGAAAGATCTCTACAATGAGAATTACAAAACACTGTTCAAGGAAATCAGAGAAGACACAAACAAATGGAAAACACATCCCATGCTCATGGATAGGAAGAATCAGTATCATTAAAATGGCTATACTGGCCATAGCAATTTACAGATTCAATGCTATTCCTATCAAACTACCAACAATCTTCACAGAACTAGAAAAAAACTATTTTAAAATTTATATGGAACAAAAAAAGAGCCTGAATAGTGAAGGCAATCCTAAGCAAAAAGAACAAAGTTGGAAGTATCACATTATGCAAGTTTAAATTATACTACAAGGCTACAGTAACCAAAACAGCATGGTACTGGTACAAAAACAGGCACATAGACCAACGGAACAGAATGGAGAGCCCAGAAATAAGGCCACATATCTATGATCATCTGATCTTCAACAAAACTGACAAAACCAAGCAATGGGGAAAAGACTCCCTGTTCAATAAATGATGCTGGGATAACTGGCTAGCCATATGCGGAAGATTGAAAATGGACCCCTTTCTTATACCATACACAAAAATCAATTCAATAATGCAGACTGCTGCACAAAACAAAAGAAAAAAATTCAACTAAAGATGAATTAAAGTCTTAAAAGTAAAATGCAAAACTATAAAAACCCTGGAAGACAACCTAAACAATACCATCCTGGACATAGGAATGGGCAAAAATTTCATGAGAAAGACACAAAGAGCTATCGCAACGAAAGCAAAAATTGACAAGTGGGATCTAATTAAACTTAAGAGCTCTGCACAGCAAAAGAAACTATCAATGGTAAACAGAATGGGAGAAACCTACAGAATGGGAGAAAATATTTGCAAACTATGCATCTGACGAAGGTCTAATATCCAGCACCTATAAGGAACTTGAACAGATTTATAAGAGGAAAACAACCCCATTAAAAAGTGGGCGAAGGAAATGAACAGATACTTCTCAAAAGAAGACATATGGCCGGGTGCGGTGGCTCACGCCCATAATCCCAACACTCTGGGAGGCCAAGGCAGGCAGATGACTTGAGGTTATGAGTTCGAGACCAGCCTGGCCAACGTGGTGAAACCTTGTCTCTACTAAAAATACAAAAATTAGGTGGGCACGGTGGCACATGCCTGTAATTCCAGCTACTCACAAGGCTGAGGTGGCAGAATCGTTTGAACTCAGGAGGCGGAGGTTGCAGTGAGCCAAGATCTCACCAGTACACCCCAGCTTGCATGACAGAGCAAGACTCTGTCTCAAAAATTTTAAAAAAGCCAGGCACGGTGGTTCATGCCTGTAATCACAGCACTTTGGGAGGCCGAGGTGGGCGGGTCACCAGGTCAGGAGATCAAGACCATCCTGGCTAACACAGTGAAACCCCATCTCTAATAAAAATACAAAAAATTAGCCAGGCATGGCAGCACATGCCTATAGTCCCAGCTACTTGGGAGGCCGAGGCGGGAGAATGGTGTGAACCTGACAGGCAGAGCTTGCAGTGAGCCGAGATCACGCCACTGCACTCCAGCCTGGGTGACAGAGCGAGACTCCGTCTCAAAAAAAAAAAAAAAAAAAAGGTCCGGGCATGGTGGCTCATGCCTGTAATCCCAGCACTTTGGGAGGCCAAGGAGGGCAGATCACCTGAGGTCAAGAGTTTGAGACCTCATGGAGCCTGACCAACATGGAGAAACCCCATCTCTACTGAAAATACAAAATTAGTTGGGTGTGGTGGCGCATGCCTGTAATCTCAGCTACTGGAGAGGCTGAGGCATGAGAATCGCTTGAACCTGGGAGGCAGAGGTTATGATGAGCCGAGATGGCACCATTGCATTCCAGCCTGGGAAACAAGAGCAAAACTCCGTCTCAAAAAGAAAAAAAAAAAAGAAGACATATATGCAGCCAACAAGCATATGGAAAAGAAAGCTCAATATCACTGATCATTAGAGAAATGCAAATCAAAACCACAAGGAGATACCATCTCACACCAGTCAGAATGGCTATCACTAAAAAGTTAAAAACTAACAGATGCTGGTGAGGTTGTGGAGAAAAGGGAACACTTATACGCTGTTGGTGGGATTATAAATTGATTCAACCATTGTGGAAAGCAGTGGGGCAATTCCTCAAAGAGCTAAAAACAGAACTACCATTCGACCCAGCAATCCCATTATTGGGTATATCCCAGAGGAATATAAACGATTCTATCATAAAGAAACATGCATGTGAATGTTCACTGCAGCACTGTTCACAATAGCAAAGACATGGAGTCAACCTAAATGCCCATCAGTGACAGATTGGATAAAGAAAATATGGTACACACACACCATGGAATACTATGCAACCATAAAAAAGAATGAAATCATGTTCTTTGCAGCAACATGGATGCAGCTGGAGGCAAATTAATGCAGGAACGGAAACCCAAATACTGCATGTTCTCACTTATAAGTGGCAGCTAAATAATAATAACTTATGAACATGAAGGAAACAACAGACACTGGGGTCTACTTGAGGGGGAGAGTACGGGGAGGAAGAAGAGTAGGAAAGATAACTATTGGGTACTGGGCTTAATACCTGGGTGATGAAATATTATGTATAACAAACACCCATAACTCGTGTTTATCTATGTAACAAATCTTCATGTGTACCCCTAAATCTAAAATAAAAGTTTAAAAGTAACCTTTAATTAAAAAAAAGAAAGAGGTGGCCTTAGAGCCAGGAGCCCAGGACAAAAGCTGCCCCAAGAGGTGTTCCGCTGTTCTTCAGAACAAGACAGGACAAAAAGACTCAGGCTGACAAGATGATCACCTTTGGATGATTTCGTTTCATTTCACGCTTGGGCAGCTTTCATAAGAGCACAGCCACAGATAGGATTTTACTCTGGTCCTGAACACTGGTTCTTCTCCAACTTCCACTACCTTACAATTTGACAACTTGATCATTTCCTGTCTTGTCCTGTTTTATGTTTCTACATGTGTACATCACAAGCTCTTTGAGGACAGAGACCATATCCTCTTCTTCATGTGTCCCCAAACGCTAAGTCCATATTATACTTCTTAGAGCACATACAACCGACTTTCCCATTCATCACGTCATCCATCCTCATAATACCCCACACAAGCTGGGGTAATTCCCATTTTCAGAGAGGAGATTGAGGCCTTGGCTCACTGATTGGCTCACAGTTTCATAGCTGCCAAAGGACGGAGCTAGAACACAATCACAGATGTCTGATTCTGTTCCACTGTTCTATTGTACCTCTGTGGAGGGGGCCATTTCTAAAAGAACAGACATTCCCCCAGAATCACTCTTTCTACACCCTACCTAGCATGGTGCATTACAAATGCAGATACTTCAGTGAAACCTTGTAATGATAAATGCTTTTGTGTTTGGCATCAGAACCACACCTCTCTGTGATGGCTTTTTTTTTTTTGGACACAGGGTCTCCCTCTGTTCCCCAGACTTGGAGTGCAGTGGAGCCATCATGGCTCATTGCAGTCTCGACCTCCTGGGCTTAAGTTTTCTTCCATGCCTGGCTAATTTTTTTATTTTTTGTAGAGGCGAGATCTTCCCTTGTTGCCCAGGCTGGTCTTAAACTACTGGGCCTCCCAAAGTGCTGGGATTATAGGCATGAGCCACCGCACTGGGACTGTGACTGTTTTTTCCACTACATGGCAGCTGCCTTTGAGGACAGAGCATGTCCTCAAAACTACTCCTGTTACACTTATCTGCATTGTTCTGGGACTGCTGTGTCAAGGAAATTGCAAGGAAAGGATGGAACTCTCCAAAAACTGGGCCTTCAGGGTGGCCTCACATTTTTTTTGCACCCTCCTAGGGTGGAAGACAACAGCAATAGCTTAAAGCTCTCTCTCTAGACTTGCTTCTGGTCATGGTGACCATCCATGCAGCCATGGCTTCTGTGCATTGCTCTCTCCGATGAGGAAAACGTGGAGTTCTAGACCCCCAGAGCAAACTCACTCCACTTGCGCTTCTCTCCTAAGTCCCGAAGGCCTACCAGATTCTGTCCCCTGGGGACAGTCCCAACTCACTGCAACCTAAAAATGGTTTCCACATGTTTATAACCATGGGATAAGGAAGGCCTTCTTAAGAAAGGCACAAAAACAAGCCAGGAAGATAAAAGGATTAAAAACCCAGGCAACATAGCAACTCACAATTCAGAACAATGAAAGATATAGGCAAAGTTAAAAAGACAAGTGACATATTAAAATATCTGAAGCAGGTATTACAAGCAAAGAACTAATATTCAGTATACCAGCAATCCCTACAATTCAATAAGAAAAAAGAAAAAAAAAAAGGGGTGGGAGAGAGGGCTGGGCACGGTGGCTCACGCCTGTAATCCCAGCACTTTGGAAGGCCGAGATGGGTGGATCACCTGAGGTCAGGAGTTCGAGACCAGCCTGACCAACACGGTGAAACCCTGTCTCTAATAAAAATACAAAAAATTAGCCAGGCGTGATGGCAGGCGCCTGTAATCCCAGCTACTCGGGAGGCTGAGGCAGGAGAATCGCTTGAAGCCAGGAGGTAGAGGTTGCAGTGAGCCGAGATCGCGCCACTACACTCCAGCCTAGGTGTGACAGAGCAAGACTCCGTCTCAAAAAAAAAAAAGAAAAAAAAAAGAAAAGGGGGTGGGAGGCAAAGGATATAAAGAGGCAATTCACAATAGCAGAAATACAAATGGCCAACAGCAAAGGAAAATATGCCAAATCTCACTGTAAACATATAAATACACTTAAATACTAAATTATCATTGTTTTCTCATCAGATTAGCAACCATTAGTCTGGGCCAGTGACTCACACCTGTAATCCCAGCATTTTGGAAGGCCGAGGCAGGCAGATCACTTGAGCCCAGGAGTTCGTGACCAGCTTGGGAAACATAGAGAGACTGTGTCTCTCTACAAAAAAAAACTTTAAAAATTAGCTGGTAGTAATAACACATAGCTGTAGTCCCAGCTACTCAGGAGGTTGAGATAGGAGGATTGCCTGAGCCTAAGAGTTTCAACGTTACAGAGAGCTATGATTGCACCACAGCACACAGACTGGGTGAGTGACAAAGCAAGACTGTTTTTTTTTTGAGATGGAGTCTCGCTCAGGCTGGAGTGCAGTGGTGCTATCTCAGCTCACTGCAACCTCCACCTCCCGGGCTCAAGCAATTCTCCTGCCTCAGCCTCCCGAGTAGCTGGGACTACAGGCGCTTGCCACCACACCCAGCTAATTTTTTGTGTTTGTAGTAGAGACAGGGTTTCACCGTGTTAGCTAGGATGGTCTTGAGCTCCTGACCTCGTGATCCACCTGCCTCGGACTCCCAAAGTGTTGCAATTACAGGCGTGAGCCACCGTGCCCGGTCAACTCGTCTTTTAAAAAAAGAAAAAAGAGTAGGAATAATTAGAAAGACTAAAAATGCCCAGCACTGGAAGTTAGGAGGACAATTAGGTTGCATTAAATTTTAAAATGTGCATGCTCTTTGATCCTACATTCTACTTCTAATGTCTAACCTTGAGAAATACTTTGCACATGTGCCTGAAAAAGCATGTACAAAAATGCTAATTATAAAATTGTTTGTGAAGGCATAAAATTGAAAACAACCTGAATGTCCTCTAGTAAAGGCATGGCTTAATAAGTTATGGAACAGTCATATTAAGGAATATTATGCAGCAATTAGAAAGACTACGTTGTTCACTGAGTGCTGACATGGAAAAATTTCCAAGATGTATTAAGTGAAAAAAGTGAATTGTTTAACAATATGCACAATGTTTATGTTTATATTTAAACATGTACACTCCCCACTAAACCATACATTTCTATAGGACATACAAGTATTTGTAAATAGAAATACATCTGGAAAAATACATACTAAGATGGCCAAAAAAAAGTATGTGAGGTGATGGATATGTTAATTAGGTTGATTGTGTTAATCATTTCACAATGTATACATATATTAAAACATCACATTGGGCTGGGTGTGGTGGCTCACGCCTGTAATCCCAGCACTTTGGGGAGGGTGATGTGGGCAGACTGCTCGAGCCCAGGAGTTCGAGACCAGCCGGAACAACAAAAAATACAAAAATCTCTACGAAAAATACAAAAATTAGCCAGGCATGGTGGTGCATGCCTATATTTTCAGCTACTTGGGAGGCTGAGGCGGGAGGATCTCTTGAACCCAAGAGGTGGAGGTTGCAGTAAGTCAAGATCTCACCACATTTACAATAGATCTTGCCAAATTTTACAATAATTGAGGCTCTGAGAGGTAATTTGCCTGAGGTCACAGAGCTATCAAGTAACACAGAAGGGTTTCAGTTCATGTCTGACTGATTCAAGAGCTGCCATGAAGGGAGGTGGCTTGCAAAAACTCAAGAAGATGATCCAGACAAAGAAAGATTAGAGCAACAAAAAGAAGGTATTAGGAAGGTAATGAATACCACTCTCCTAATAGTAGGTTGGAACAGAGATGTCCAAGAGTCATGCAAAAGTCCTGGGCCCCCATCTGTCTTCAGTGTACAAAGGAAAAACAAGCACTTAATTCACTACGTATTGTATGATGATACTTTTAACAAGTTTTGTTTGTTTTGGGGGGTTTTTTTTGACATAAGTTCTCACTCTTTCACCCAGGCTAGAGTGCAGTGGTACAATCTCAGCTCACTACAACCTCCACCTCTTGGGCTCAAGTGATCCTCCTTTTAACAAGTTTTGTTTGTTTTTTGGGTTTTTTTTTTGACATAAGGTCTCACCCTTTCACCCAGGCTGGAGTGCAGTGGTGCAATCTCAGCTCACTACAACCTCCACTTCTTGGGCTCAAGTGATCCTCCTGTCTCAGCCTCCTGAGTAGCTGGGACTACAGGCATGCACCACCATACCCAGCTAATTTTTGTATTTTTAGTAGAGATGGGGTTTTGCCATGTTGCCCAGGCTGGTCCTAACTCCTGGAATCAAGTGATCCTTCCTCCTGGGCCTCCCAAAGTTCTAGGATTACAGACGTGAGCTACTGCACCCAGCCTAAAGTATTTTTTAATACTTTTTAAAGCCCCAAACATTCTTTTACCGGTTTGAACAAACCAGTGGTAAAAGATATCAGAAAAACTGAAAACATTGGCAGGGCACGGTGGCTCACACATGTAATCCCAGCACTTTGGGAAGCCGAGGTGGGTGTATCACCTGAAGTCAGGAGTTCGAGACCAGTCTGACCAACAAGGTGAAACCCTGTCTCTACTAAAAATACAAAAATTAGCCGGGCGTGGTGGTGTGCACCTGTAATCCCAGCTACTTGGGAAGCTGAGGCAGGAGAATTGCTTGAACCCAGGAGGCGGAGGTTGCAGTGAGCCAAGATGGCACCATTGCACTCCAGCCTGGGCAACAGAGCGAGACTCCATTTCAAAAAAATAATAAAATCTGAAAACATTATTACATATTTCTTTTTTTATTACATGATATTTTAACAATTACTGTTAACTGTGTTGGTTGTGCTAATGGTATACCATGTTTTATCAGAAGTCCTTATGTGTTAAATATCTGCTCAAGTATTTATGGGGGGAATGATGTGACACCAGAAATTTGCTTTAAAAACATTAGAACTGGCAACAAAACAAAGTAGAAGCTGGAGGAAATCGGTGAAACAAGAATGGCAGTACGTTAATTGCTGAAGCTGGGTGATGGGAATATGGGGATTCATTACACTATGCTCTCCACTTTTATGTGTGTTTGAAACTTTTCGGCCAGGCGCAGTGGCTCATGCTTGCAATCCCAGCACTTTGGGAGGCTGAGGCGGGCGAATCACCTGAGGTCAGGAGTTTGAGACCAGCCTGGCCAACAGGGCGAAACCCCGTCTCTACTAAAAATACAAAAATTAGCCGGGTGTGATGGCACACATCTGTAATCCCAGGTACTCTGGAGTCTGAGGCAGGAGAATTGCTTGAACTTAAGAGGCAGAGGTTGCAGTGAGCCAAGATGGTGCCACTGCACTCCAGCCTGGGCAACAGAGTGAGACTCTGTCTCAAAAAAAAAAAAACCTTTTAAATTAAAAGGCAAGAGTGATGGTTCATGCCTATAATCCTAGCACTTTGGGAGGCCAAGGGAGGCAGGCTGCTTGAGCCCAGGAGTTTGAGACCAGCCTGGGCAACATGGTATACCCCTGTCTCTACAAAAAATACAAAAATTAGCCGGGCATGATGGTGCATGTGCCTGCAATTCTAGCTACTTGAGAGGCTGACGAGGGAGAATCACCTGAGCATGGGAGGTGGAGGCTACAGTGAACCGAGGTCTTGCCACTGCACTCCAGCCTGGGCCACAGAGTGAGACCGTCTCTCAAAAAAAAAAAAAAAATTGAAAATTAAAAATAAATATACCGATCATTTTAGGAATTAGTTCTCACTCTCCAGTTTTGTTGTTGTTTTTTTTAATTATTATTATTTTTAAAAAACATGGCCGGGTGTGGTGGCTCACACCTGTAAATCCTGTACTTTGGGAGGCCGAGGCAGGTGGATCACTTGAAGCCAGGAGTTCAAGATCATCCTGACCAACATGATGAAACCGTGTCTCTACTAAAATACAAAAATTAGCCAGGTGTGCTGGTGGGTGCCTGTAATCCCAGCTACCTGGGAGGCTGAAGCAGGAGAATCACTTGAACCCAGGAAGCAGAGGTTCCAGTGAGCTGAGATCACGCCACAGCACTACAACCTGGGCAGCAGACTGAGACTCTGTCTCAAAAAACTAAAACTAAAAATAAAAAAATTTGTGGGTACATAGTAAGTATATTTATATATGGGGTTCATAAGATGTGTTGATACAGGCATGCAATGTGAAATAAGCACATCATGGAGAATGCGGTGTTGTCTTTTGCTTGTTTACTTTTTATTTTTCAGTTTATTTGTTCCCTCTCCCTGCCTTTTTTTTACTTGCAAAAGCAATAAATACTTGTAAAAATTGTCAGAAAGGTATAAATCTACTTCCCAATAATACGGGAGGACTGTGTCATGTGTATTTCTTGTAACCTCCTCCTTATGCAGGATACTGCCCACACCGGTATGTGTTCAGTTCAATTCCGTTAGAACTACTGTTCCTCACAAGGCTGTAAGGTACCCTTGAGGTGTCTAGTCCAATTCCTCCATTCTATGGAGGGAGAAACTGAGGCCCTGAGAAGAAGGGAAACTTAGTTAGGGACCCTGAGCTGGTTAAGTGACAGAACCATAAATAGCTCTCACCGTCCTTAACATAGCCCCTGCCAGATAACCCCTAAGGAGACCCAGCAGCCACACGGCTGATAAAGCCACTGCTTGTCAAGATGTCACAGGGTGAACCCCAAAATTGGGGTTCAGCCCAGGAAGTCATGTGGGTTCTTGGCTCCAAACAGGAAGAGCGAGCCAAGAGAGCAAAGTGAAAGCAAGTTTATTAAGTAAAGGAATGAAAGGGTGGAGAGTCCACAGGCAAAGCAACCCCAAAGGCTGCTGGTTGGCTATTTTGATGGTGATTTCTTAATCACATGCTAAACAAAGAGTGGATTTTCATGAGCTTTCTGGGAAAGGGGTGGGGAATTTCCACAACTGAGGGTTCCTCTCCCTTTCAGACCATATATGGTAACTTCCAGACGGTTGCCATGGCTTTTGTAAACTGTCATGTCGCTAGTGGGCATTTCCTTTAGTATGCTAATTTATTATAATTAGTGTATAACGAGCAGAGAGGACAACCAGAGATTGCTTTTGTGGTCACGTGGGTTTTGATTGATTTTCACTTGCCTCTTTACCGCATCCTGTTTTATCTGTGGGGTCTTTATGATTTGTATCTTGTGAACTCCTATCTCACTACCATCAGCATTCCCCTCTTCCCCCCACTCCTCCTGACCTCTTGACAGAAGCTGAGGAAATGGGAAAGCAGATCCTAGACTTGGAGAAGGTCTGTGTGGGGTCCAAGGCCACTCAGTAATAAGACTCCCCCAGGTCCAAAGTCCAGAGACAGCCCCCAGACTCACTCCATCTCTCAGAGGCTGATGCCCACCCAGCAGGCATTCACCTTAGCTCAGAGCAGCACCAATTTCCTGCATGCAGTCAATAAAGTGCAGTTTGCTTCCTGACATAAACAGCTGTTCTCAGAAAGCAAATATGCAAAGAGAATATTATTCTTCAAGTTTAAATGAGGAAGAAGAAAGGGTGGGTGAAGCGGGAGGTGGGAGCTTACACAGAGTTCTAGGTTTATAATCTAATTCTCCAGAGCCAGCCTCTGACCTGCAGCCCCCTGAGTGCCCAAGCTTTTTGGGCCCACCGAAAAGGGCTCTTGAGGCAACTCAAAACCGCTTCAGAAGTAAATGCGAGGAGTTACTTACTCAGGGTTTGCCCAGTCCTGAGGAGGAAACAATTCTGATCGGGGCTTCACTAGAGGGTCTAGATCTCTGCTGTCCAACATAGTAGCCACTTGTCACATGTGTCTGTTGAGCACTTGAAATGTGAGTCGGAAGTGAGCTGGGCTGTAAGTGTAAAATGCACATAGCACCAGGCATGGTGGCTCACACCTACAATTCCATTTGGGGAGGCCAAGGGGGAAGGATCACTTGAGGCCTAGAGTTCAAGATCAACCTGGGCAACATAGTGAGACTCCATTTCTATTAAAAAAATGTTTTTAATGCACATAAGATTTCAAAGATGGCACAAAAATAATAGTTTTAAAATCTCACTAGTAATTTTTATATTGATTATATGTTTGTTTTTTTGGTTTTTTTTTTTTTTTTTGAGATGGAGTCTTGCTCTGTCACCCAGGCTGGAGTGCAGTGGCTCAATCTTGACTCACGGCAACCTCCGCCTCCCAGGCTCAAGCAATTCTCAGGCCTCAGCCTCCTGAGTAGCTCGATTACACGTGCACACCACCATTCCTGGCCAATTTCTGTATTTTTAGTAGAGATGGGATTTCACCATGTTGGCCAGGCTGGTCTCAAACTCCTGGTCTCAAGTGATCTGCCCACCTCAGCCTCCCAAAGTGCTGGGATTACAGGCGTGAGCCACCATGCCCAGCCTCAATTATACGTTTAAAAGATAACATTTTCAATATATGGTGTTAAAACATTTAAATCATTCTGCTTCTTTTTTTACACTTTACTGAAGTATAATTGGCACACAATAAACTGCACAACTTGGTAAGTTTTGACATGTGTATATACAATACCATGAAGCCATCATCACAATTAAGATAATGAACATCTCCGTCAACCCCAAAAAGTTTTCTCATGCCCTGCTGTAGTCCTTCCTGCCAATCCCCCATCCCTAATTACTGATCTGCATATGGAGTTTGCATTTGCTAGAATTTTATGTGAATAAAATTATACAGTAATATATATTTTTTACTGCTTTAACTTAGTTTAATTATTGTGAGGTTCATTCATGTTGTTGCATGTATCAGTAGTTCATTCCTTCTTATTGCTGAGTAGTATTCTATTATATATCATAGTTTGTTTATCCACTTGTTAGAGCAGTTAGCTAGGCAGATATGAGCAAGGCAGGAGAGGGCCCCCACCTCCAGGCATGTTAGGTGACCAGCAGGTGGTTGTTAAACTGTCTCTCTAAAATAATAATTGGTCACAGCCAGTGCCAGAGCTTAAAGGCAGTCTCCCAATAGATAGAAAACACCTAAAGCTGGTGATCAGCCGCTTCCTGATAAGATCTCAGAAGTTGGGTGAGTGGGCTCAAGCATGTACACTAAGAAGCAACAGGGCAAAGTTTCACTGGTCTATAACCTTCCTCCAGGAACACTCAACTGATAAGGGAAGAATACCTCAAGTGAGCATGTGCAAAACTTCAATAAACACCTGTGCACACGGCCCCTTCCAGGTGCTGGCAGGCAACTGTGCATACAGACAGCCCACCCCAAGGGAAGAATCAGGGGAGCAGAGACACAAATCCCAGAACCATGCCAATTATAAAACCCCAAGTCAAAGGCTAAACAGCATACTTGGACTCAAGTCGCCCGCTTGGCCCTCTTCCAAGTGTACTTTACTTCCTTTTGTTCCTGCGCTAAAACTTTTTAATAAACTTTCACTCTTGCTCTGAAGAGTCTCTCACCACACCTTATGTCCCTCAGATGAATTCTTTCGCCTGAGGCGGCAAGAATCAAGCTGCCACAGACCCATATGGATTCACTGCTGCTGATACATTCACCTCTTGCTGGGCATTGGTTTGTTTCCAGTTTGGGTCTACTGCAAATAAAGTAGCTATGAACATTTGATTACCTGTTTCTTTTAACGTTGTTTAAAAATGAGGTTACTAGAAAATTTTAAATCTGACTCGCATTATTTCTATTGGACAGTGCACATCTAGATTCTCTTCCAGGCTGTCCACTTCCCTGAGTCAGGCAGACTGCCTACTTAATTGAATTCAGCAAATCAATACCCTGGGCCAGGTACAGAGTGGGGAGCTGTTGTTACAAAGGTGAACGGCCTGGGGAGACCCATTTCTGTCCCCCAGACTGGCCTTTTACCAGGTACAGTCTCAAGGAACTGGCAGTCCTGCGGAGGAGAGAGACGCATAAACCATCACCTAGAATTTAACAGGAGAAGCCAGGGAGAGATGCATAAAGACAGGGCTCTGGCCAGGCAGAGGAGGAAGCACGCACTTCCGTCTGGGGAGCTGAGGAAGGTTTCCCAGGAGATGATCTTTGAACTACATCTTAGAGGATGAGAATTCACCAAGCAGAGTAGAGGGAGTGTTTCTAAATGCAGAAAAAGGAACTGAAATGCCCCAGGGCAAGGCAGCTTCCAGGAACTGGAGACTAAGAGCAAAGAGGAGGGCATGAGAAGAGGAGGGCATGAAATGGGGGTGGCTGGAAAGGAGGCCAGAGAGGGGGCCAGCCATGCCGTGCTGAGGGTGACCTCTATGCAGTGACGCTACGGAGTCAGGAAAGAGCCAGACCAGAACCACACTTTAGGAGAACATAGGAGTAACGAATACCTGGACCACGTCAGTGGGAATAGACAGCAGGGACTAAATTCCGGAGCGTTCGGAAGCAGACTGTGCAGGAAATGGTGACTGACTAGATGGGAGTCATGTGGAAGGGCTGGATTCTGAAATCACGGCGGCTGCTGCTCCTGGGTAGATGCGTGCCTCTCTTGCCTGGACTCTGACTACAGCCTCCCCACAGGTGCCCCCTCAACCTGTCCAGACCAACCACCCCACTGCTGGCACAGAGAGAGTTAAACTCCCTGAGTGTCTTCTACCAGCTCAGTCTCCCCCATGGCGCTCTCTCCACCTCCGACCTCTCAGCTGTAGCCTGAAATCTCATTTCCCTTCACATGGGCACAAAGCTCTGGGCAAGCGGAACCTGCCGCAGGCCTGTGCAGCGTGGTCCTGCCAGCCCAGAGCACTCCAGCGGCTCTCCCCATTCCCCCTACTGACCCCCCTGCCGCTCCGCAACCGCCCCTCCCCCTCCCCACACCGCAATAGTGCATGTCCCTCCATCCTCATGTCCTCTCAGCCTATGTGCTTGGTTACACAGCTTGACCTAGACTGAAAAGCCTCCTCCCCTTCCAGGCATGGTTTGGAGGCTCCTTCTCCAGAAGCTCTCCCTGAGGCCTCTAGACCCATGAGCTCCTCTGCACCTTGGGGCACACTGTACACTGCCTTTTATAACCTCCTTCATGCCCACCAAACCATGACTCCTTGAGGGCAGCATCTAAGTCTTTTCATTTCTGGAACCGGACTGCCGGAGATAGAGATTTGAAAGTAATCTGAAGTTGGCAGGAATTGCCTTACGAAAGCTGAGATAAGGATGAGGGAGGGGCCCCAAGGACAAAGCCCCCTGCATGCACCAGGATTTCTGACCCAATACAGTGGTGAGAAGAGGTCTTTCCAGATCTTTCCAGATATAATCATTGCTCTCTATTCTGAAAGTCGTAGGGAAGGCTTACTTTGTCGAAGAGGAAAACAGCTATATGGAGACAAGAAAAAAACAGCAGGAGTTCTGGGCCTTTGATGCTGTGACCCCCTCCCTTCCCTTCCATCCTTGCTCTCTGAGACCTTGGCTCTACAAGCCTTTTAACCAGAGAGAGGAGTCTCAGATGAGCCAGCAACGTGAGGAGAGAAACCTCCTTCTACGGTTCTGCAGAGTCTTTCTTTCTCTCCATGGATGTATAAACAATTCAACAGCACATGATAAAAGTGAAGGGAGGGGAGAGCCACATTAATTTCCTTGAGGCAAATGATAAGCTGGCAGAATTGGCTCCATGGAAGGAGATAAAAGCTCCAAACACGGCTGAATGACTCTTGGGATTCGAGCCTGGTACGGATGCAAATTAAAATAAAAACTATATAAACAGCAGCACAATCGCACCATTCAGGACTCCTTCATTAGCAGCCAGCTCTCCAGTGCCACTACCCGCAAAGACAACTTCCCTTTCTTCTTCCTTCTAACTAATTTCCAAGCTGGTCAACAAAAGGATGCTAAGGACAAAAGCAGTTATAATTGATGAGGCTTTGGGGAGAGGGTTGTTGGGGAGATTCATTTTATGTGTGCAAATCAAAAAGCAAATGTGATGTGTCAGACCAGCTGAGGACAGGCCTCCTGCTGAGGTACCAAGTTCCTCCTCTCAAAGCTCAGGGCCGCTCGGGCTAATAACCCAACGGTCACATCCACTAATTCAGGCCTCCTGGTGCCCAATAGAGCCAACTTCCCAAAATGCTGCCTTGTATAGGGGGACCCCGTTTGATAGCCAGGCCCACGATGCAATGACACACTGCCATAAAGTACAATAAAGAGTACCCGCCTCTACTCTTCATGGCAGAGGACAAAGTTCATCCATTGTATTATCATGAAGCATCATTACGTTGGGCAGTCATTTGGTTAAGGAGACACGGTTTCCCCAAGTTCACCTCTTGTTGAATGTTCAGACTCCAGGAAGGACACTCTGCTCACAAACTACAGGTTTCTCTCATTTTCTTGCCATTTGGTCAGCATTCCCAGTCACCCCCAGCTGCCTCTCCAGGCACCTCTTCAAATCACAGAGCGTTCCCCCATGTCTTTCATCCACATGACCTGCTCTCTAGCCACGAAGATTTCTTGGCTGTTTCAGGCTCCTCCCCCAGCTTGAAATTCTCCCCTATTTTCCCACTATCCATCCCCTAAGCCTCATAAGCCTCAGTTCTCTCCCTTTAAAATGGGGTAATAATCCCTGCTCTACTCCTCTCATGGGCTATTGGGAGACTCAAATGAAATGAGAGACACAAAAGCAACCATACATGGCATAAATATGTTGACAGAAATGTCTTAACTGAGGCAATAGCACTGCACCATTTAGTGACTGCCAAAAATCTCTATTGTAAAATGAGAGAATTTTTTTTGCAATGAACAGAACAAATTAAGATCCTTACATGCCAACTACCAACATGAACTTTCAGCATTTAAACATTTTGAAAACCAAAACAGCCAAAGCGAGCCATGCCCCACCTTGGCCCTTCAAGGCCTGCCCCAGGGGATCTCACCTGCGCATGCCTGCTAGTCGCCCTCCACCTCACCCAGGTTACAGCTTTCAGCTGTGCTGCTCTGACATCAGGTGAAAGGGCTGGTGCCTGGGAGAGGAAAAGACCAAAGAGAATAGTGAGGGTGCGAGGATTTCTTTTCTCTGATTGTGAATGTTGCATTGCTTTGCCCCATAGAGAAAATTCTATCATTTAAGAAAAGGACAGCTGGGCACGGTGACTCATGCCTGTCATCCCAGCACTTTGGAAGGCCAAGGCGGGCAGATCATGAGGTCAGGAGATCGAGACCATCCTGGCTAAGATGGTGAAACCCCGTCTCTACTAAAAATACAAAAATTAGCTGGGCGTGGTGGCGCATGTCTGTAGTCCCAGCTACTTGGGAGGCTGAGACAGGAGAATCGCTTGAACCCAGGAGGCAGGGGTTGCAGTGAGCCAAGATCACACCACTGCAGTCCAGCCTGGGCAGTAGAGTGAGACTGTCTCAAAAAAAAAAAAAAAGAAAGAAAGAAAGAAAAGAAAAGGATTGTGTTTGCAGTCTAACTGGTGGCGGCTGCTGTGGACAGGGACACTGTTCTTTTCCTGCTTATGTGCTAAGCAAAAAGAAGTGGGGAGAGGAAAGTCCTGTGACCCTGCTCAAATGATTGCCCTTTCCACCCACTCCCCACCCAGCTGAGTGGTCCCTAAGCTGCATGGCTGTTCTCTCATTTTCTCAGGTGATAAGAATAAGAGAGGTGTTATCTGCCATGAACAGCCACTGGCTTTAGGGGCTGATGGTTAACAACACATGACCTAGCACTCTTCCTCAACACCTGCAAGTCCTGGTTGCATCAGCTTACACAATGCTGTTGAAAAGACAACGTGGGTAGATAACAACTCAGGTCTTAAAGGTCTTTTCCAAATTATACTCACTTAGTTTCCTGGCGTTGCCATAACAAATTAACAAACTGGGTGGCGGATCTTAAAGATCTTTTCCAAATTATACTCTCCTAGTTTCGTGGCGTTGCCATAACAAATTAACAAACTGGGTGGCGGAAAACAACAGAAACTTATTCTCTCATTTGGTGGAGGCCAGAAGTCCAAAGTGAAGGTGTTGTCAGGGCTGGCTCCTTCTGTAGGCTCTGAGGGAGAACATGTTCCATGCCTCTCTCTTAGCTTCTGGTGGCTGCTGGCCATCTTTGCTGTACCTTGGCTTGTGGTGCTCATCAATTCCTGACTCCATCTTCACATAACCTTTTCCTCTGGGTCTGTGTGTCCTCTCCTCTTCTTCAGGTGTCCTTGGATCTACGGTGCCCGGCTAAATCCTGGATGATTTGACCTCAAGATCCTTACATTACATTTGCAAAGAACTTTTTATCCAAAGGAAGTTACCTCCATAGGTTCCAGGGGTTAGGACTTAGACATACTTTTGTGGGGGGATGTGTTCAACCCACTACATCACTCAAGCAAAGGGGAAGGGAGAAGACCAGGAAACCACACTGAACCCCTACTGAAACCTGTTGAGAATTCATGGGACAAGGTGGGGACTGGAGTTATTCAGCCAAATTATGGTATGAAGGGCAATAGGGGTGCTGAAGGGGCCTTCAACATTGCTATAGTAGGGAAAAGGGGGCATTAGCTTGGGATCCGAAACCCACGGAGGACACCAGGTGGCTGGAATGACAAAATCACGTTGTATGAGCCCCGTCATCAATATGTCTGTTCCTGCTCACCTCCCCTTCCTCTCACTTACCCCTACTGAGTGAGCTATGGATAACCCAGAGCACTTTACCCTCCTGGGGGTGTGAACAAGACAGCAGCCTGGCTGAGCCCCAGGAAACTCTCCCAGTGGCCTTTTCTGTCCAGGACTTTGCTGTCCCGCTTTGTGAAGGTCAGCTAACTCTGTCCACTCTGAGACTGCTCAAGTGAGTGCACTTCCACAACTGGTGTATTAATACAGGATTTGGCACTTCACTTTCTTCTGCTGCTGTTAATGTTTACATTGTAGAAGGAAGAGGAAAAACCCTCAGTTAACAAAAGATCAGAAAAAGGTACACCAGGCTGGGCAGGGTGACTCACAACTGTAAACCCAGCACTCTGGGAGGTCGCAGAGGATTGTTTGAGACCAGGAGTTCAAGACCAGCCTGGCCAACATAGTGAGAATCCGTCTCTACCAAAGAAAAAAAATTTAGCGTGTCATGGTGGTGCACACCTGAAGTTCAAACTACTCTGGAGTTGAGGTGGGAGGATCACTTGAGCCCAGGAAGTCGAGGCTGAGGTAAGCCAAGATCATGCCACTGCACTGTAGCTTGAGTGACAGAGTGAGATCCTGTCTTGAAAACAAAAACAAAAAAGATTCTTAAAAGAAGAAGGCACACCAGGCACAAAAAGTTATACTCTCTGAGAAAGAGATTTAAAAAAGTATTGAATGAATAACTATTTCCAAGTTTCAAAGGAAGTGTTCCTGAAGTTCTTAATGTTATCTCCCTCCAATAAATCGTTGCCAATTGTGTAAATAAACAGAACAGCTTTTTATTTCCAGCTTATAGTTATAGTTACCAAGAAAACTTCTGAGGCCAGAGGTGGCAGGCCTTTGGTCAAAGCCAACACTATAACATATGTTTTGTTTTTCAGGTTTAGAGTCCATTAACAGTTGAAAATCAAACTTTTCCCTCACAGTGCTAGAAAGAAGAAGTCTGGTGAATGTAATCTGAGAAAGTTCTCTGGATGACTTGAGGGACTGAACTTTTACATTCATCATTTAGCAGGTATTTATTGCTGAGTGTGTATCTTGAGTCGATCCCTCTGCTAGATGCTATGTATACAGCCATGCACAGCAATTCAAACATGGCCCTACCTTCAGGGCGCTTTCTTGAGGGGTAGAGGGAAAGAAGGAAGGGAGACATTAAACTGATGATCACACAAATAATTATAGTTGATCTAAATGCTACAAACCAATGATATGGGGTATCATGGAGGCATATAACTGCACACCTAACAGATGATCAAATGGAAACACAGGACGTAGGTACTTTGCTCCCAATAATAAAGTCTTCAGGGGGCCTCCCCCAAAGGATTTGCACACATTCTCTCTCCCATCTCTCTCAAAAATGGTGGATAGAGCTCCCTGCCTCTCCAGAAGCCAAAACTACTTGAAGCAAATCTTCAGACAGGATTTGGGGCTATGTGCCCAGGTGACCCCTGAAGGGATCCTAGAACCCCCTGGGGTGAGAGAAAGATGCTCTTGGAAAAAGGAATGCAGCAGAAGCAAGTCCCCAGGGCTGAGATTAGAAAATAAGGTTCTAACCACCTCACACCTATTAGGATGGCTACCATGAAAAAAATAAAAGATAACAAGTGTTGGTGGGATGTGGAGAAATTGGAACCCTTGTACTCTGGTCTTAAGACTGTAAAATGGTAGAGCCCTGATGGAAAACAGTATGGAGGGTTCCTTAAAAAATTAAAAATAGAACTACCAGATGATTCAGCAGTCCTATTTCTAGGTATTTATCCAGAAGAACTGAAATCAAGATGTGGTGGAGATATTTGCACTCCCATGTTCATTGCAGCATTATCATTATATTATTATAGTCAAGATATGGAAACAACCTAAATGCCCATCAACAGATGAGTCAATAAATGTGGTAAGAGACCAGGTACGGCGGCTCATACCTGTAATCCCAGCACTTTGGGAGGTTGAGGTGGGTGGATCACCTGAGGCCAGGAGTTCAAGACCAGCCTGTGACTAACATGGTGAAACCCCGTGTCTACTAAAAATATAAAAATTAGCTGGGTGTGGTGGCATGCACCTGTAATCCCAGCTACTCAGGAGGCTGAGGCAAAAGAATCGCTTGAACATGGGAGGCAGAGGTTACAGTGAGCCAAGATAGTACCACTACACTCCAGCCTGGGCGACAGAACAAGACTCTGTCTAAAAAAAAAAAAAAAATGTGGTATGAATATAAATGGAATATTATTCAGCCTTGAAAAAGAAGAAAATCCTGCCACACATGACAACATGGATGAACTTTGAGGATATTATGCTAAGTGAAACAAACTAGTCACAGAAAGACAAATACCTCATGATTCCACTTACATGATGTATTTAAAATAGTCAAACTCATATAGAGAATAGAATGGTGGCTGCCAGGGGCTGTAAGGGGCTCAGGGAATGGTAGCTGTTATTCAGGGGGATAAAGCTTCAGTTACACAAGATGAACAAGTTCCAGAGATCTGTTGTACCACATCGTGACTATAGTTAACAATACTGTATTGTGCACTTAATAATTTGTTACGGTAGATTTTATGTTAAGTGTTTGTATCAGGCTGTTCTTGCATTGTTGTAAATAAATACCTGAGACTGGGTAATTTATAAAGAAAAGAGGTTTAAATGGCTCACAGTTCTGCAGGCTTTACAGGAAGCATGGTGCTGACATCTGCTCAGCTTCCAGGGAGGCCTTAGGGAGCATTTACTCATGGTGGAAGGTGAAGCAGGAGAAGCCATGTCACCTGGCAAGAAGAGGAGCAAGAGAGAGCGAGTCAGGAGGAGGCATCACACACTTAAGTGACCAGATCTTTTTTTCTTTCTTTTTTTTTTTTTTTCCTTGAGACGGAATTTCGCTCTTGTCATCCAGGCTGGACTGCAATGGCACAATCTGGGCTCCCTGCAAACTCCGCCTCCCAGGTTCAAGCGATTCTCCTGCCTCAGCCTCCCGAGTAGCTAGGATTACAGGCACGTGTCACTATGCCCAGCTAATTTTTGTATTTTTAGTAGAGATAGGGTTTCACCATATTGGCCAGGCTGGTCACAAACTCCTGACCTCAGGTGATCCGCCCACCTCGGCCTCCCAAAGTCCTGGGATTACAGACATGAGCTACCGCACGTGGCCAAATGACCAGATCTTGTGAGAACTCACTGATTATCTCAAGGACAACATCAAGCCCTGAGGAATACACCCCCGTGACCCACACAGCTCCCACCAGGCCCCACCTCCAACATTGGGGATTACATCTCAACATGAGATTTGAGTGGGGACAAATATTCAAACTATATCAATGCTCTTACCACAATTTTAAGAAAATAAGAAAGAAAATAAGACTCTAGATTGGGGGTTGACAACTATGGCCTGTGTGTCAAATCCAGCCTGCTGCCTGTTTTTGTAAATAAAGTTTTATTGGAACACAACCACACTGATTCATTTCATTATTGTCTATGACTGCTTTTGCACTCAAATATTACTGCTGAGTAGTAGCAGCAGGGTCTGTATAATCCACAAAGCTTTCTGAAATTCCTGTCTACCCTGCATGAGGGTGTCAGTGACTGGTCATTGTGGCATTCTCCACATTTCTGCTCTTAATATTCTCCGTTGGAAAACCTGAAATGTTTCCCAATTGCCCACTGGTCTGTCACTCAGTCCACAGACTGGGCTTAGCCTTACATGTCACAATTCTAATTCATGTGCTCTAAAGTTGCTATGTTGACTACAGTAGTCACTAGATACGTGGCTATTTAAATTTAAAGTAATCACATCTGGCCTTTTAAAAAGAGAACTTTGCCAACTCCCACTTTAGATTCTTCTGGGCTCTTACCACCACACCAGAATGACTTAACACCTTTACCTGGATTGCTTTGGAAGGAAGAAGGTAAACACAGTAAGTTAATTTGCTAACAACATCAGAGTTGGCCAGGTGCGGTGGCTCATGCCTGTAATCCCAGCACTGTGGGAGGCCAAGGCAGGCCAGGGCGATCAGGAGTCCGAGACCAGTCTGGCCAACATGGTGAAGCCCCATCTCTACTAAAAATACAAAAACTAGCCGGGCGTGGTGGCGCACGCCCGTAATCCAGCTACTCGGGAGGCTGAGGCAGGAGAATCACTTGAACCCGGGAGGTGGAGTTTGCAGTGAGCTGAAATTGCATCACTGCACTCCAGCCTGGGTGACAGAACAAGACTCTGCCTCAAAAGAAAAAACAAAAAACAAAAAAAGAACATCAGAGTTCACTCATAAGCACCTACTGTAATCCAGGCTCTGTTTTGAAAATAGTGCATTTAGTCCTCACATCAACTTCATGAGGCAGGAATCATCATCCTCATTTTACAAGTCAGAAAATGGAGACTCCAAGATGTAAAGTGCCAAAGTTTAAATTCATATTTGAACTTGGATCTGTCTGCCTGTGTGCTTCATCACTGCATCCAACTTCCTGCACCATCTCTGCTTAAACATTTGTACACATTTGTATGGAATTAATGGGAAGAATTCTATCACTTTAAATAAAGCAATGATCAGTAGAAACTAAATCAAGTGAATATATCCTGCATATCAGACAGTATCAGGCTGCCCTTGTAGCCCGATGTCACTGTATTGATTTCCTGAAGGCTTGAAATGCTGGACGTTCACAGTCACTGTTGGGTTTGAATTTTTGAATTCTTGTAGTTGTGTGCTGCAGTAAGGGTGTGGTGTGGGGGTGGGGGAAAGTTTGCTGAATTACAAGACCATCAAAGACCTAGTTACTCCCTGCCTGTCTATTATTACCCCAACAACCACATTACAAACATTCATGCTTCTCATTCAGAAGAGGGAACCAGGATTGTGAGGCAGTTTTGGAAACCATATCAACAAAACACAGTTACAAAACCAGGGTATGTTTAATTCAAACAAGAGAAGACCTGTTAGAAGCATGCTAGCTGGGTATTATGCCAGCAGAAAGCCCTGTCATATCAAGAAGGGAGCAGCCTTCAGTGTGTTCTCTCAGAGGTAAGAATGAAGACCCACACAGATGTTCCAATTTACAATGGTTCGACTTACCATTTTTGACTATGATGCAAAAGCGATATGCATTTGGTTCAAACTGTATGTCAAGTACCCATACACCCATTCTGTTTTTCACTTTCAGTACAGTGGTCAATAAACTACATGAGATATTCAACACTTTATTATTATAAATAGGCTTTGTGTTAGATGATTTTGCCCAAATGTTGGCTCATGTAAGTGTTCTGAGCATGTTTAAAGTAGGCTAGGCTAGGCTGTGATGTTAGGTAGGTTGGTTGTATTAAGTGCATTTTTTACTTACGATATTTTCAACTTGCAATGGGTTGAACACATATCCCCATTGTAAGTCAAGGAGCATCGGCAATTGGAAGTAAAACAGGCCAATTTTGGCTCAAAAGTTGAAAGGATATTCCAACAATTGGAAATATCAAAAAATAAAATGAGCTTCTGAGGGGAAGAGCCCATGGAACTCTAGAGGTATCCAAGCAAGACATTTGTCACGATGCCGTGGTATGGATTTCTGAAATGCTTGAAATCCTAGACTAGTTCACTGCTAATCCAAAAGCCCTAGTCCCTCCAATCCAAAGAGCCCACAGTTCTATAAACAAAGAGACTTGCCTAAGGATCACACCGGGAAAGTCAGTGCCCTGAATCAAATTTGTCCTTCCTAAGTCTTTCCATGTCCTAATCACCTCTCAAATAAATATCACAACCGAAAGCCAGTGCCCATTTCCAACCAAACCCCAGCCACCTTGGGTTATAATCCAGGACTAACTGAGTAATTTTTGAAATAAACATAAGAAATATCTTTCAGGCTGAGTGCAGTGGCTCATGCCTGTAATCCCAATACTTTGGGAGGCCAACACAGGCAGATCACTTGAGCTCAGGAGTTTGAGACCAGCCTGGGCAACATGGCGAAAACCTGTCTCATAAAATACAAAAATTAGTTCAGGTGTGGTGGCACAAACCTGTAGTTCCAGCTACTCTGGAGGCTAAGGCAAGAGGATCGCTTGAGCCCAGGAGGCAGAGATTAGAATCCAAGATCATGCCACTGCACTCCAGCCCAGGTGACGGAGCAAGACCCTGTCTCCAAAACAAAACAAAACAAAACAAAAACAAACAAAAAAAACCTTTCAGTTTGTCAGGTGAAACAGTAAGGTCTCTGGCTTTGGAATAGGCAGCAAGAAGTGAGTGATCAAAATAATAACATTAACTAACATTTCCATTATGCTTTGCCATTTACAAAGAGATCCATGATTCAGTTGATCTCCACAACGGCCCTGGAAAGGAAACAAGACATGTTAGATGTTAGCCATTATCATCCATTTGTAGAGTAAAAGGTGGCCTGGTTCCCCACAATTGCAAAGCTAATACATTGTGACATTGTGACTCAAACCCAAACTTCTACCTTCAAATGGCTGAAGACCTAATGAGTGACACCTTGAAGACAGTAGGGGTCACGTTGGTGGACACCATTTTGATCACTGCACTGCAGAGACCAGCTAAGAGTTCAGAATTTTTACTTCAAATTTGTTTGCAGTCTTTGTAATGCAGGCGGTCATTTGAACACATGAACCTTGGCAAAAGTGAATGTATTGCTGAGAACATCATGCAGTTAGAGTATGCACGTTTTATGAGACTAGTGCTTAAAATATTAGAATGTGTTTCACATCTTGAGGATGCATTCAGATTGAGAGGCTAGATACTCCAAGAGATAATTATCAAGATTCATGCCATTTAAATAGAGGTTGTCTTTACTGTTTATTGCTCACATCGGTGGTATTGAATTTCATATCCTGTTTTCCCATAAGGTCTGGACTGAATCATCTCCTCTTCTGTCACAACACTTGCCTTTGGAGGCTCCCAGAAGGGAAACAAGAAACAATGAGCAAATGATAGGTAGCCTATGTGCTGATTAGAGGCTGTTTGCATACTGTCACCTGCAGAAAGCCTTCAGTGTTCCTGGGGTTCTATTAGGGTGATTAATGGGCCTGTGAATAATTGGAGATAGCCATCTTTGCTTCTAAAACTGAAAAACATCCCTCATCAGAAACACGTCTGCCAGCATTTAAGGCAGTCAAAGCTTTGGGGTAAAGAATTGTTCAAATGGCTATAGGGTAGGTAAGGGGAGATAATTCCAGGCAGGGGAGCCATTTGAGTAAAGGCAGGAAGGCATGAAAACGGAAGGCCTTTTCTACTTAACCAGAGCACAGAACATGTACAGGAGAGCATCACAAGGCTGAATGGAAAACCAGTTCTTGTGGTCATTGATGACTAAAATAATAAATGTCTTTAGAAAAAGCGACACTAAGAAATGCATGTTTTGTGTTAAAAATTCTGCTCTAGAGCTTTATAAATAATTTTAAAGCTTCTGGTGCTCAGTGTTCTCCTTTGAGGAATACGGGTTTATGTGGTTCATCTCCCTTAGTCCCCACTGCAGCTAGGGGAAAAGTGGGATGCTCTCATCCCATCTCACCACTGAACATGGAGCCACTGCTTGGGCTAAATCCGTCTTTTACAAATTTTTTCCCCTACTTATCTTCTCACACAGTATGGACTCTCCAAATGGGTCAATTAAAGATGATAAATGCACAGCTCTTACTTCCCTACTCCAAACTGTTATTGGCTGCTGAATGACTGTACCAGTGGTTCCCAAAGAGTGGTCCTTGGGCCGTCATCACCTGGGGACTTGTTAGAAATGCAAATTCTTGGTGGGGCATGGTGGCTCCCGCCTGTAATCCCAGAACTTTGAGAGGTCGAGGTGGGCACATTTCTTGAGCCCAGGATTTGGGAAACCAGCCTGGCCAACATGGCAAAACCCTGTCTCTACAAAAACACACACACACACACACACACACACAAAACAAAAACAAACAAAAAACCCACAAAAATTAGCCAGGTGTGGTGGCACACATCTGTAGTCCCAGGTACTTGGGAGGCTGAGGTGAGAGGGATCACTTGAGCCTGGGAAGCAGAGGTTACAGTGAGCTGAGATCATGCCACTGCACTCCAGCCTGGGCGACAGAGCAAGACCCTGTCTCAAAAAAGAAAGAAATACAAATTCTTGGGCCCCACCCTGGAGCCACTGAATCAGAAGCTCTGTGGGTAGGCCCAGCAAGCTGTGTGTTAACAAGCCCTCATGTACAGGTGATTCCAGTGCACATTTAAGTTTGACAAACACTGGACTATAGCATTAAGTACCCTCTGGAGCTTGCCATCTGAGAGATCTTGTGTTCAGTCCTTATCGCGTCATCAGCAATATTGAGAGCATGGATGTCACAAAGAGGAACAAACACCATCCATCCCTTTAAAGGATTTCCAAGGAGGCCACAACATTACTCTTCCCATTCAGATCACTGAGGTTGGCCAATGCCATACTCTGCTCATACAACATTTCTCTCCTTTCCCATCGCCCCACCTCTGTTCACTCCCGTTATGTGTGTGTCAATTATCCTAACTGCCCCATCACACTGTGATTCCGAAAGCAAGAACCATAGTTTTTTTCTTCTTTATGTAATCTTTGTTTTCTGTGCCCATCAAACCCAGGGAAACAATTAATGGCAATACGACCGGGTCTTTGATTCCTGATTCTCCACCCAGTCACCACTGGGTTATTAGAAGTTCAAGCTCCACACTGGGTCCCCACTATTCCCAAACATGCCCCATGACTACACTGCTCAAGAGAATTATGAAGCCAGGTGCAGTGGCTCATGCCTGTAATCCCAGCACTTTGGGAGATCAAGGTGGGAAGATCACTTGAGTCCAGGAGTTTGAGACCAGCCTGGTAACATGGTGAAACCCCATCTCTACAAAAAATTAGCCAGGCATTATGGCACATGCCTGTAGTCCCAGCTGCTCAGGAGGTTGATGTGGGAGGACCGCTTGAGCCCAGGAGGTTGAGGCTGCAGTGAGCTGTGACTAATAAAAGAAAAGAAAAAAAAAAGGCGGGGCACAGTGGCCCATGCCTGTAACCCCAGCACTTTGGGAGGCTGAGGCGGGTGGATCACCTGAGGTCAGGAGTTTGAGACCAGCCTGGCCAACATGGAGAAACCCCATCTCTACTAAAAATACCAAAAATTAGCCAGATGTGGTGGCAGGCACCTGTAATCCCAGCTACTTAGGAGGCTGAGGCAGGAGAATCACTTGAGGTGGGGGTTGCAGTGAGCCGAGACTGTGCCACTGCACTCCAGCCTGGGCAACAGAGCAAGACTCCATCTCAAAAAAAAAAAAAAAAAAAGAAAGAGAGAGAGAGAGAGAGAGAGAATTATGGTCCCTCACTACTTCCCCTAGTGAAAAGAGGAGACCAACAGAGCCCACTGCTGCTGGCAGCAGAGACCAAGGCCTTGTCTCCCACTGGCCTGTCGCTCACCACGTCTCACAGCTCAGCTTTCACTTCTGTCTTTCATTGCAGAAGGGGAAGCATCTCTTTTCACCAGTGATGACAATTCCTGAGTCCTATAAGACTCCTCCCATCTGCCAAAGAAGTCTGATATTTTCAACACCTGTGAAAAGATGGGAAAAAAAGAAATCTGGTATTTATAGCTCTGTCTGCAGATGACTGAGGCATTCTCAGAACTAGACAAGACAGTATTGAACAATACCTTCCAATGTCTTACTCCCACCAACCGTGAGCTGGTTGTTCAAGGTCAGGATAAACAGAGATGTAAATTTCTTCCACCCCACAGTAAGTTCCTTCTCCATGTAGGGTATCAGGATCATCCACTCTCTCCCCTCTTGGTGTATAATTATGAATATACATGAAATTTTTACAATCCTAGGACTCAACTTAAGTTTCAAAGTAAATCTTAGGAGACTCTCAGAAAAAGATAAGCGCTGATGGCCTTTCCTGATGGCCTAGAGCTCCTGGAGAGGTGGATCCTCATTACATTCCTTCTCTGTGGTGCCTATCATGGCACTTTCACCATGTGAAAAAAGGGAAATGTTCGACAAGCAAATAAATGCATTATCAAAATTTCGTCTCATCTTAGAAAATGCAAAGCAAAGCCCAGAAGAGAAGGCCCATACGGGTAGTTAGTTTTTAGGAAAAAGTGAGTAGAAGGAAAGTTGGGCAGGTCCCTGCCTGGGCAGTGCATATTCAGATGTGCAACAGGCATGTAGGGGGAAGGGAGGCTGGAGGCCTGAGGCCTGGGCAGGTGGAGAAGGGCATGTGAAGAAAATGGACATATTGGGGCTGAAAGAGGGAAACAATAATGTGGAAAAATGAGACAGGAAAAGAAAAAGAAGTCAACATGGGAAGATGCCAAATATCTATTTTGCCAAGCCTGCAGCTAGCTCAACAGAGAGGACCAGAGTAGAGAAGTTTCAGTATAAACAAGTAAGAAAATGACCTGGGATTTCTGTACAAATGACTCTGTCCTCCAAAGACAGGCAGGGGTAAGAGTCTGTGTCACCCAAATATCTAAGAATCCACTGTGGAGGTCCTAGTCTTAGTTCTGGTCTACATTGTCTATCCTCTCTGGATCCCACAAGACTTAAGAGTATTTATCATACTTTGCCTATGAGAGTGCAGCTGCCTCCTGCTCTGGAGTATACACTTGTTCTTGGCAAGAGCAACATCTCACAATGAGTTTCCAGCCATCACAACACCTAGAAGGGTATGAGCACAGTGTAGACACTTGCTGATGGGACTGCAATCAGAGGTGAAAACCAGAAAAGTGGTGCAGACTTTTCAATCAGCCTTGCAGGAGACAGCACTAATTTTGCCACCCTAAAAACCTTTCTTCAAGCTCAAACACCTAGTCCAAAGGATATATCTGTCTGTTAAATATGCTCGCAGGGCTGCTCAGATGAGACAGTCAATGAAGTGCCCTTTCAAACTTAATCTAACAACTATTCTGAGTGCTCAGGATATGTTAGGCGCTTTGACGGCACTGGGGCTACAGTGAGAAGACACAGTCCCGATTTCTTGAAGCTCACAGTCTGTTGTGAAAGATCGCATTAAACAGGAAATTACATGCATGATGAGGGTTGCCAAAGCATCCTTGGAAGTGCTCAGAAATTCAGAGATTTCACTTCAGAGTGGTCGATTCTTTGCTGTGGTATCATGTTGGCATCTCCTGCTTACCTCAGGGGTAATACATAAGGCAAAACAGGTCATATTTCCCCCTTGAGACTGCAGGGAAAAAGCTTAGGTTGCTCTACCAACCACCAGCTGCTTGGTAAAGCAGAAATAAGAGCAGTAGCAAACCAAGAAGTAAAGGGCCCTCGCCTTCTGATATGTATGAGGCGTCTATAACCCGGGAGGTCCTCATACAGGCCAAAAGGTGTTTTCCCAAGTGGCAACTCTGCTTCATGTCAACTCCAGTAACACCTGGAAAACTGTGAGCGCCATCTTCCTCCACCCACCACCATAAACAGCAAAGAAATCTGGAGTAAACAAAGAGGACCTCTGAGCAGCGGGACTCCTGTGCTTAACTTCTCAAAAAAGGAGGGCCATGTCAAAGTTCTTACTCCTACTGTGTGAGAAATAAGGCTATGGATGAGAAGCAACAGAACATGAGGCAACAGGGAGAAATGAAAGTAGAGAGTGTGAAAGGCCCCAGGGGAATAAAAATATAGCTATTTGGGGACAGTTAGTGAAGGGGACAAAAGGCCAACTCCGTGTATCTCTACTGCCTTGCGAGTATCACCAAGCTGCAGCGTTATTGTACAGTCTCCTGTACTGACAGTCCCAAGTCATGAAAATAAAAATATTACATGAAATATATCACATTTAAAGAAGCCAAGGCTGTATCACAAAAGTTTAAAATCTTCAAATTTTGTACTTCAAGAGGTACAGGCTTTAGATTCTAGAAAAATATACTATTTGCAATATATCATTCCCTGAGAAGCCTAGAAAGTTAGAAAAGGAGAATGTTACCATATATAAGAACTGGCTCTTAATGCCTGCCTTATTGTGCATCTTTCCTGAGTTACTATTAAGGTAGCGATTGCCACAAATAGGGAAAATGTCTTACGCATGAAATATTGATGGTGATTACGTAATACAGAAATTTCACAAGTATTCTGAATGTTGTATACAAAAACTCCTCTGAAGAGCTAATGTTAGGGCCTGGGGAATTCTGGTCCTGGCAACACATCAATTAAAAACCAGCAGCTACTCCCCAGGTATCAAAGGCTGCGATCCCCTTGAGGGGTTGCTGACAGCCCAGCAGCTGAAAGAGCTACCCAAACCGGTACTGATCACTAGACAATGACATTTAAAGGGCATTGAATACTAGGATAACTCTGTCAGGGCGCCATTTGTTAGATCCAAATGCTTGCATTTTCAAATGGCAAACCCTTTTCAGGAGCAGATGTATGGCAATGCAGGCCTAGCTGTGCTGAGAGCCATGGAAACTGTTTTGCAAGCTGCTATCATTAAGCAAGTAATAACACTCCGAAACCGGGCTTCAGTGCATAATTAAGACAGGTTTTAACTCATCAGCCACCACACCCATCGTCTGAAAGTATCTTTAAAAGGGAAGTATGCATGTAATAAAATGAACTAGGGCAAAGTTAACAGCTTCCAGATAAGTGTTATTGCCAGAAATCTGGGCCTTCTGGAAGCCCCAGGACAGAAACCCAATCCTCAGCGACCCCTGCCTCTATTCTTCTGAACAAGTGGGTCACATGCATAACAGGAGACTTGCTGTATCCTCAAAGTGCAAGAGGGGAGAGGGACCTGGGTATGCAGTGAGTCTCCCCCAGACAAAGTCTTTCCTTTTCTGAGCTTTGTTGTCCTCTGCGGTGCTGGGAACCAGAAACATTGCAGGCTTCTACATGAAAAAGGGTGAGTTCAATTTCAGATGGTATTTCAGCCAAAGGCAGAGGTTAGGAAAAAAAGGGCACTGTGCTGTACCCACCACAACCAGCCTAAGTACACCTTGAGGTTAGTGTTGGTACCAGTGCTCTACACCAAGGGCTCTGCAGCCACCTTTTCTGCTAGGAGCCACCTTCTCTGGGCAGATTCCACTCCTTTGCCCTCAGATATCTGAGACAGGTGGCCAGGAGCCAATGGAGTTTTGTGGAAGGGAATGGCTTTGGAGCCAGGTGAGCCTGGCTTACAATCTGGCCCTACCACTTATTAGCCAGAGTTTGCCAACGGTCCCAGCTCATCTCCCACAGCACATGCTCTGACACCATCCTATGTCAATCCCTCCTCTTAGTTATGTCTGGTTCACATGGGACTGAGCAGGAGCACAAAGAGACTAAATCCCACAGCACACCTTCCTCCATATGGCCTTCTGAACTCAACCAACAGTGACCCTCCCCCACCCCGCCCCACGGGGAACTGTGTCCACTCCAAACATCTGTCTATCCCTCAAATCCTGGCTTTTGCATCACCATCGCCAGTTCTGGGGAAAGGTGTGTTACCTTTCTTCTCAGCAGGCTAATTCAGATGAGAGTCACTGAGCCTGGGTCAAGAACAGGCAGAGTGCTCCTGCTTGTTGTGTAAAAGGGACCGGCTTCATCAGAGGTGAGCCAGTTTCCACCACCTTGCAGGACTCCACATCAGGTCTTGTTCTCCACTTTGCAGATTATTCTCCCACCTCTCCTGGTTGAATGCCTCTGGATACCCAGCTCTGGATAAGGGCCTTTTCTTCTGAGACTTGGTAGCCTCACAAAGTACTGAGGGGGATGACGCTGCCAGAAATCACTGAAGAATTCCCTTGTCTCTGTGTCCTTCCCGTATGTGGACAGTTAATGTTTCCATTGGAAGACCTAGGGTCTGGAATTCCTTGTTCATTTAGCTGGATAGTGCCTGATGTTTAGCGTTAGTAGGATAGTACAAGTGTGGCTTTTATAAGTAGACATTTGCTTTTGTGCCAGCAGCGTGACTTGAACATAGTAGGGACAAAAGTATCTGTTGAATGAATGTTCATTTTATTGGCACTCCTATCCTCTCATTTCATGTCTGGCTGTTTTTAAAATTGTACCTTGAGTGAGGATATAGCAACTTTTATAAATACTAGTTCAAATTAAGTTGCTTTAGAAAAGCCATTAGAATTTAGCCACGCTCAGGAGAGCAAATGCAAGGACCAAAATTATCCATCTCATTAGTAATTTTTCCTGGTAAAATAGCACAGAGCAATGTCAACTGTTATTCCATTTCAGAGACCACAGGCATTCCTCTGTATTCAGGGAGAGGAAACCAAAGCAATTTTTTGGGACAAGTTCAAAAAGCCAAAGAATTTACCAAGCTAGAAAGGTCTCCCCAGGCCTATAAGACTTTGCTGCCACAGTCACTAAGACAATAGCAACATAATAGATATTGGGAGCATCAGCCCAGGCTGCAAAGATTGCTATTAAAATACATTCATGCTTGAACCCTGATTTCTTTTCTTTCCACTTTTGCTGGCTAATTCTACCGCAGCAATTCAGAAGCTCTGTAACACAGAACTGCTCACTCTCTCTGCACATTCCTCATGCCAATCCTCTTTGTAAATGTTTGCTTTAAACATAATCTGCAGCTTTACTAAGATTATGTCCTGAGCACACATTTTTTAGTCATCTGAATCTCTGGGATGGGAGAGCTGACACTTTCCTGCACCCTCAATTTTTGCCTCCAGCTTTATTCCTTAGACTTCTTCCAGGCTTTTCTGCTCTGATGGGGGCATTTCATAGTCAAAGACCTACAGAATTCTTGAAGACAAAGATCACTTGTTACCCTTTCTTTGTGTCTGCTATGTGCCTTGTGCATGGAAGGTGCTTGGTAAGTATTTTTAGCAAACCAGTCTACTCGTTGCTTCTTGAATTCATTAAGCACATTCCCATCTTGGAGCCCTTGCTGAAGCTTTTTCTCCTGCCAAGAATGCACTCACTCCCTGCTCCTTTCCATTTATGCAAATCCTGACTGTCTCTCAGGACCAAAATCAAGCCCTCTGAGATCTTACAGAACACTGCTCTTTTGGCAATTAACATGCTATTTAAAAAAGAAACAAAACATTGGTCTGTGTCTAGGTCTTGTCTCTTCAATTAGACCGAAGCCCTGTATTCTCAATGTCAGCCCAAGCAATTTGCCAGGAGCCAAACCAGGAGTCTGGCCAAGGTAAGAAAGGGGCCCAAAGCCTTGCCTCAGAGAGTAGTATCAGGGGTCTAAGTCAGACACTGAGATAACAAAGGAATGGCCCATGTGGAGAAGGGATCTATGCAAATGAGTTGGATTCAAAGGCAGGAACAAAAAAACAGAGTAGGTACAGAAGCTGAGGTTAGGTTGTGGTCATTCCAGAATGATGCCCTTGGACAAGGCTTGTTTGTCCTGATATTGGTATTGAAAGTCCAGTCCCTGCTCCTTCAGGTAGCATAGCTTGATAGTGCTCCTCAACTCTGGCACTGACACCCCTGCATAGAAACTGTTGAATCCCTTATTGGAACACATTAATCCCCACCCAGAACCTAGCACAGTGTTATACAAATAGTAGGCTTTCAATTAGGAAGGGAAGGAAGGAGGGAAGAAGAGAGACAGATTGTTATCTACTTCCTTCTGCTAGTTCAGAAGGCCAAAGTGAGCCCAAGGAAAATGCCATCCTCAGAGCCACGTACCCACCTAGTTGTTTTGTAAGAACTGCCACATCTTTCATGCTTTTGGGGATTATTTTAATCTCTGGTAGATCTTCAGCTCTTTATGCACAGAGACTCGATCTGCTTTTTTTGTATCTGCCACTGAGGAGTGGGTACTGATTCCAGCTTCCAAGCCAGGCATGGAGGTCTCACTGCATTGCTCACTGGTGGGGAGCCCTCTCTGGGTTTAGCCATTCTGCCTTTGTCTTTTGTTTACCACAGTTATCTCTTTCTCCACCTCCACCCCAAACACCCAAAGCCAACTCATGCCAAGAGGGGAGCAGGGTCTCCTCTGATAAGCCTCCCCCACCCCCTGCTTATACTAGTGAGAGGAGGTGGCAACTGTGCCCTCAAGGCTATTCCCATAGCCATCAGCAGAGGGATCAGGGCCGATGTTTATGACCCTGTCTGTCCTGCCAAATTCACCACTAATAGAGTGCACCAAAGAACAGGGATGATGTAAGCGTGACTTTGACTATGACTAGGTCTGTCCCTTCCCACTCTTTACTATTTTTCAAGGCAGAAACACACATAGGAGAAGGGAAAGTGACCTTCATACTGTTGTTCTTACTATGGCCTCTCCCTCTAATCACAAGCAAAGTGGGAAATGCAGAACATCAGGTAAATTCTGAACAGTAAAAACAAAATAAGATTAAGAAACAAAACAAAACCCACACCTCTCATAAACAAAAGAGTGGGAAATTCTGCTTCATTAGGTAAAATCCTATTTCAGATCAACTGATTGTGGAAAGAGAGAAAAACCCATTTGACAGAATGATGAATTAAAGCAGCCAAGCAAAACCCAAACAGCAAAGCAGGAAATTGCATGGTTATTCTTAAAATCAATGTGAAAGAGAGGCAGGGCTTGGGGAAGAGAGGCTGATCCAGTTGGAGCCGCAGAAAGGAAGCTCTATGTGAGGCTTGCCGGGGCTCACCTTTCCTGTTCCAGGCCCTGTGTGCATGTGTTATCTCTGAGCCACCACAAGCTTATCTCTTATTAGTTTGAGAAGTGTAAGGAGGGCACCTCACCCAGCACTGAATGCATACAAAGGCTACCTCTCTCGACCTACACTATAAACCTGTGAGTAGTCAGGACAAGGGCTGTTGCAGCCATTACACAGATGAGAAAACCAAGTCTCAGGAAGATTTGCTCCAGGCCCTGCAGACTGGCAATAACATTTGACTCTTCTATTGCCAAGCTTGGCGCTCCCAGCCTTGGGCTGCTGCAAGAAGGGAAGAAATCAGCAGGGTAGCCAGTGAAGCTCCTCAGGCTTCTTTCCTCTTTCAATCAGGGACTGCACAGACTTCTGTGCAACCACCACCCCTCTGTCACTCCAGTTAATCCCCAGGCTCAATGGCTATAAATTCCTTGGCTACAAACTGGCCCTACGACCACAGGTATCCAGTCAGTCACACTCTTTTTTATTTTTTTATTTTTTTTTGAGACGGAGTTTCACTCTTGTTGCCCAGGCTGGAGTGCAATGGCGCAATCTCGGCTCACCGCAACCTCTGCCTCCCAGGTTCAAGCGATTCTCCTGCTTCAGCCTCCTGAGTAGCTGGGATTACAGGTGCTTGCCACCACGCCCAGCTAATTTTTGTATTTTTAGTAGAGACAGGATTTCTCTGTGTTGGTCAGGCCAGTCTCGAACTCCCGACCTCAGGTGATCCACCCGCCTCGGCCTCCCAAAGTGCTGGGATTACAGGCGTGAGCCACCGCACCCAGCCAAGCCCCACTCTTTTTTGCCAAAGTTTCTTCTGGTAAAACATACCTATAAAGAGAGATTTATACTAAGGAGGCCCCCACCCAGCTCAGCTGAAGGAAGAGAATGGGTGGGTGCTGAGGCTTCCTATTTTGGGAAATCAGTCAGTTCTCTATGAGCAGAGCCTGGGCCTCTGGCCAACAAGTCCTTGGAGAGAGGGAGAGCAACAAGTCAGGGGCAGCTTTAGAGTACTCCAGGGAGAGGGCAGCCTCAGCCCCGTGAGCACATGCTAAAGTGACACCACTATGACCTTGCCCCCTCCACTTCCACTGGGCAGGGACCTGCTTCCCATGTGTGGCCCTGAGCCTACTGGGGAAGGGATTGAGGGTGTACTGCCCCTCCCCACAACAAGGTCGGAGGGAGAACAGGCCCAGATCTGTCCTCTGCTCCAATTTCCTCCTCAGAGAGGAAGAGGTGGCTCCGCACAGCAGCTGTGTGACCCTTGGCAGTTTCTCATCTGTAAAAAAGTGACAGCAACACCTGCTTCATAGAATATGGTGCTGACTCATTGAGATGATGTCTGTGAAACACCTAACATGCACTGGGTACTCAGCTAAGGGAGGGGGCATCCCTTCCTCCCAGCAGCAATTCATGAATTCTCAGGGAGCATCAGCCTCTCGTACATCTTGTTCTGCACCATCAATGACAACCTTCCCTAAACCCCAAATATAGCTCTCTCTATGCCAGCTGCATATGCCTATCTGCAGCTCCTCCAGTTCCATTCTGGCCATTGGTTCTGCTGTATATTTTATTATACAAAATATATATTATATACTTATATAGTATTTCCCACATACCCAGGACTCTTCTAAGACCTTTATGTCTGTTTCTTAAAAAGCACAACCCCTTTCTTTCTTATCTTTTTTTTTTTATGAAATAAAGTCTCACTGTCACTCAGGCTGGAGTGCAGTGGCGCAATCATAGCTCACTGCCATGTGAGAGTGAGCCTCAAACTCATGAGTTCAAGTACTCCTCCTGCCTCAGCCTCCTGAGTAGCTGGGACTGCAGGTGTGCATCACCACACCTGGCTAAGCCTGGCTAATTTTTTTTAATTTTTAGTAGAGGCAAGGTCTCACGATGTAGCCCAGGCTGGAACCCCTTTCACTTAATCATCAAATGCTCCCAACAGTATGGCTGAAGTGCTAATTTTGCAAAGAAAAACTTGGCCACTAATCCTTATTTTTATTTCCAAATACAGTATATTTCTTCTAACCAGGGTATTTTCAAACTCTTAAACACTGCAGGTTTCTGATGTAAATGCATGATCTTTCTTTAAGAACTTGCCTCGGCTCAGCCCCTTCCCACCATACATTCCAAAACTAAAGCAACTTTAAGAGCTGAAGCCAAGCTGCTGTGCCTAGCAAATCATCAGCATTGATGCCACTCTCAGACCTTTTCAAATGAGCCAGTAGGAAGAATGTCAGTGACAAGTTGGGAACCCCAGGAGACCTGGAAGGGACAGCCAAGGAAGAGAGAACCAGCACCTTCCAGAGAACAAATGTTTCAAGTTAAAAGGCCTGCCCAGGCCCTGGGCCAGTGCAGCATAATGCAGTGTGATTATGGGAGCAATCTAAAAATCAATACCGACTGGGCAGCCAACACAGCACCTATGGAAATAGCCAACCAATGGGTCCTCTCCTCCAAGAACCCGGCAGCCACCACCTCCTGCAGCACAAACAAGCAAACTTTCTAAACCCAAGTAGTATCCTGGATCTAAGAAACTGAAAAGACAAATTGCCAGAGCTCTGGGAGGGTCTTTATAAAGTCCTAAAGCACCTCTGCAAACAGAGGCTGAAATAAGATAAATCCCCTGAAGGGCTGTCAGTCATCATCATCATTCGGCCCCTCTTAAGTAATGATAGTGAGGAGGAGAAGGCTACTGTACCTTCCTCCTCATCCAGCATCAGCCCTGCTTAACCATTAGACATGGCTCCTACTCAACTACCTGGCCTGCCTGCAGATGAGGCAAATAAACAGACCAGATGTGTTTAAAGATGTTGCTGTGAGGATGACAAGAAGGCAGGATAAAAGGAGAGAGGTACAGAAGCACGAATTCCTAGCAGACAAGGCTCACTCTGAGGTATTTGAGACTCCACGGAGTCCTTGGCCTTCCTCTGGGAAAAATTAGGTGGTGGTGGGGCCCACAACAAGGACTTTGCTTCTGTCTCCCTCACCAGGTCGCAGGATCCTTGAGTTGGGGCATTTTTTAAAGTACCAAGGTACATCAAGTTCCCAAGACCCTGCCCTACATTTCTTTCCCTTTTCTGTTACAGTAAGGACACTATTTTATGCTTATTTAGTGATACTTTGCAAACAACTTTCTTCTGGATTAGGGCTAGTTTCATCAGATAACCCAGGCATATACTGGGCACCCACCATGTTTTACCAGGATATGAATGAGGTGGGAGGATTGATTTATTGACTAGAGAAAGAAACAGCAAAACATTACTCACCCAGAAGCAATGGGTCTAGGACATGGGGGAAGTGGGTGGTTTATCCAGGACCTGCTCAAAGGGGTTCCCCTTCAAGACAAGCAGGGATTCCTGAACTGCCCCACCAGGGGAAAGCCATCTACTCCTTTGATTCTTGCTCAAAGACAAACATCCTGACAGGACATCCTGGCATTTCATAACCCAAGCTAGGCATGTGTGCCTTTATCCATGCTAGGGCCCGGCATCCCAAGTTCCCAGCAAGCAGAGCTGCTATTGAAAGTGAAACGTCCTCGCTGACGCATGCATCCCTACTGACAGCACCCTGTCTGAGCTGTATCCATCACACTGACCTCCCTTCCCCTTTTCTCCACCTCACAGAATGGGAAAGCGTTTCTTTCTTTTCCTTCTTCTTCTTCTTCTTTTTTTTTTCTGAGCCCACAGTTGATGAGCTTCAAGGTACAACCTGACACGAACTCCCTAGTGGCAAACCTGTGTGGTTGCCATGGTGCCCTGCAGTGCCATTCAAGGCCTCGCTCCCTATGCAGACCCAGCCTGCAGCTCCTTAGCAAAAAGGCAGAATGCCAATGAGGCTGGAGGTAATGAGAAGCGGGTGTTGAAATCTCATTTCCGCCAACATATTTCCCGTCACTCCTTGACAAGCATTTTACTTTCTTCTATACTCCCCATCAACCCTAGACAGCACAGGTTAACATAAAACCTCTAAAGTTCAGGCTGGCTGAGTGGAAAAGAATATGCAAAGAACCCTGCCAATCCATAAGGCAGAAAATAAGCCCTTGGCATATGGCCGGTGCTCAATAAATACCTGTTAAATGAATGAATAAAAGCAGCTCAGCTATGGTTTAGACCTCCTGAGGGACATTTTCTGAAAAGACATGGTCGGTTTGTTATGATATTTTCTGCCTTCCAAAATGCTTTCACGTGTTATCGCATTTGATCTTTCTGAAAAGAAAAGAAGTCCTGAAAGGAAAACCCAGCCCCTGTCTCCTGACTCACCCCTTTCCCACCTCCTCTAATGGCTCAGCCCCAGCCCCGCCCCCTTCCCTGAACAGGGGTCGTTGGACTTCCGAGAGGAGGCAGAGGGCTCAGACATGCACAAAAGCCCTGTCCCTGCATCAGCTCAGAGGGGACTTGAATGATAAAATATTTATTTGGTGATAAGACCTTGTGTTCCAGATCAAATGTCCACTCTTGCCTGGATTACCTTACAGTAAAGTCAACTTAATGACAGTGTCGGCTGCCTGCTGCCCCCAAATCGCTGGAGGGTCACTCACACCAGCTTGCACAGAAGCCATCCCAGCCTCTCAGTTGGGGAAACAGACCAATCAACAGAGATCCATATCTTCGATAAGCCACGCACCCCATGTACCCGGCCCACATGTGCTGTTCAGGACCACCAGGCTTCAGGCCTTTCTGCTTCCCTTTCCTTCCTCAGTGATAACACCAGTGATGATGGGGTATCTTTCCTCCTCACCCCTTCCTTTCTTTGGTGCCTTGTCTCTGACAGTGGCTGAAAGCCATGTCCCTGCATCCCTGCCCTGCATGATGACAGCTCCCACAGAGGTTCCTTCTCAGAGTTCTAGCTCTTCCTGGTTCTGGTACTGTGATTTCCTTCCTCCTCGTGCCCTGTCTCCATGGGAGGTAATGGTTCCTGACTGAGGCAGCCTCTGGGTACTCAACATTCCTTAGTGGTTCTCTTAACCTTGCCCAAATCTCTGGCAATAATCTCTTTATTAACGTCTTTTTATTTGAACCTTTATGGATAAATTCTATTTTCCTGTAAGGCGGGCCCTGACTGATATATATACTCGGAGATACCCATGTCTGCATCTAATTAGCTGAAAGGGCCAGCCATATCCTCATTCGTCAGCAGGAGCAGAGAGACAGCAGTGCCCGGTGCTCATTCACTCATCTTCGACACAGAGCTTCCACATTCCAAGCAAGTCAAGCTTGCCCTTCCTTCCTCCCTCATCTTTCTAGAGGCAGTGGCCTAGCTGCACATTCTCATAAAGCAGCTCAGCGTGGGCTGCCAGCAATCTAACATCAGGATGGAAGAAAACAGAGGCCTCAGAGGTTCGGCATTTTCTGGAATCTAATGATTCTGCTGATTCTCCTGCGTTTAGCAATAGCCGTTTCAATTTCAGGATGCTTAGATCACTTCTTTGTTCTTTCTGCTGTGTAGCTACAGCATTACCGTGAGTCTGGGGGAATTCCTGTTTGGGGGTAGGCCTTTTTTAAGGTTTTGTTTTGGTTTTTGCCTTGTTCTGAATAAGTCAGGTCCATGTACTTGGTAGAAGGTCAAGTTTGTTTGGGATCGTCTCCTGCAGTGTGTCTACAGCTGACCTCTACTTCAAATGGTGCCTCTCTGTCCCTAGGCTCTGACATAACTCCCTCCTCTTACTTCAGGGTACCTGTCTAAGTCTGGGAGATCCAAAACTTCTCCTTCTCTTTTGTATTTACCTGCCTCCAACTTCCAGGTTGCTGCAACCTTCACTGCCAAGTCACTCAGCAGGTTACTCCGATGCTCATTCATTACCCATTTATTTACTGAAGGTCTGCCATGTGCCAAGGAAAACAACAGTGACCAAATACTTATCCTGGCTCTTCAGGACCTCAGAGTCTCGCGGGGAGGGGAAGACAAGTAAACAAGACGTTTTGGATTCTGCTGCTTCCACGGGGAATTACAGAGGTGAAATGGAAGGGCTTGGGAGTGGGGTCCCTGCCGGGCTCTGCCTCCTGACCATGAGCATTCTAGGCCAGGGATCAGGTTCACAGGTAGCCTATTTTCCACACCTCATAAGAAATGTGTTTCGTAAATAAGTAACCACACCTGAGTTACTATGCAAATAAACTCAGCTCTGTCCTCTGAACAGCCAAGTTCACTTTTCCACTAGCCTTTTCTCTCCTGCTTCTACCTCCTCTATCTTTACCCTGTGCTGCTAATTTCTCAGTCTGTCATTACTGAATGAGACACCCAGCCTGGAACAGAAAGGACAGTTTGAAGGGGGTCTCTACCTGGCATCTGAGCCGAGCTCCTTCTAAGCGCGTGTTTACGATGGCTCCGACTCATGCCTTAAAAAAAAAAAATCGCTACAGAAAATACCAAGACTGATAGCTAAATCCAATTAAATTAAGATTAATAAAAAGGGAGGGAGGCCAGCAGAATGAAGCCAGCAGGAAACCTCTCTTGCTGCAGTGTGCTGCTCCATGCATTTCAAATGCAGCCCAACACAAGTCCTGATTCACCTTCACTTACCCTTACACAGAAGCCTCGCAGACAGGCTAGGCGCAGCTGCAAGATGAGCTGCTAAGAACTTGCTGATTTCAATACAGACTGGTTTCCAAAATGTTCTGGGGTTTTAAAACTTCACTCCCCCAAACACTTCAGGCTATGCCATAACTAATCCCACATCTTGCGTTTAGTTGGGAAAAGAGACTTTGGTATTCTATGTGGGTGAGATAAGAAGCAAAGACTAACTAGGGAATCCGGCATCTCTTTTGTTGCCATTTCCTGTTGTGAAAATCCTTCAAATCAAAATATTATTGAACACTGGAGTTAGAAGGAGTGATGGAGATTACTCGGTTCCATGGCCTTTCCCTGTTTTGGAGAACTAATGGAGGAAACAGGCCTTGACTGAGCTCCTACAAACGAGTGCCTCAGCTAATGAAGGCTGCAGTCCAGTATGCTGTTGACTGCACTACTGCCATGGGGATTCATCCACAAGGTGTTTGCAAAGGACAGAGAAGGAATTCGCAGCCACGAAAGGGAGAATGGAAACTCTCCAAAGAGGAAGAAATCAGCTTGACATTTAGCTTGCCATCTAGTCTGGCTGTCACGAGGCCATGAATCTGCCTGATGAGAGGTAAAAGAGAGAAATGAAGAAGACGAGGAAAGAGGGAGGGAGGAATAAATTTCAAAACAAACAGAATCTGTGGCTCTGCACTCACTCCCTGTACTGGGGTGGCAAAGGGTTGGGTGGGAATGAGGGGAAGGGAAATATGTTCCTGGAGGAAAAGGCTTCTTATGTAAAGGGTGAAGGAAAGACTCAGACCCAAGTAGAAGCCAGGGGAAGCTGCTGTGGTGGACGCTGTGACGCTCCCCAGGTCCCGTTTCATGAATGAAGAGTTTAGTCCCCCACATGGTCGAAAAGCTGCTAGAGCAAGATCCATGGCCATCAGCACTCTTGGGGACTTCCTGGGCTGAAGGAAACTACCCTGCCCAAGTCATGCCTACTTCCAGTGGCAGCCCCCATCCAGTGACTCATCCACAGAAGTCTAAAGGCCTGGCTCCACACACCAACTGGGGATACCTCAGAAGGGCCCTCCCAGCTTCAGTGCATTCCAAGTGGTCAGCTGAGCTCTTTTCTGGGACTACTTCAGAGCTTAGCTTCTCCCTCTGCCCAACCCTGCTTTCTTCTCTTCCCTTCCACAGTGTGGATACGGAGAGCACTTCCTAATGAACAGCCTACACACAAACCTCTGTCTCAGAGTCAGCTTTTCAGGGAGCCCTACCCACAACACTGCTTATGAAGTAAATGTGCAGAGCCCTGCTGAAGGCAGAGAGAAGATTGTCATCTGTTGAGTCTGGTCAGGTAACTCACACCGTGAAGAACATTGCCCAAGTCCTTATTTAGAGAATTAAGTTTGGTGCCACCTTACAGTCAACCACAACATGTGTATTGGGCCATCCAAGCATCAGAGCAGGGGTACTGAAAAGGTGATCCCTTCCCTCACAGAACCTGCCCTTCCTCAACCAATCAGTCAGATATAGGTACAGCCAGTTCTTAAAGACCTTTAAAGAGCACTCCAAACCCACCCTCGGAACTGTCACCCCTTATAAAGTTCATAAACCTTAACTATCAAAAACATCTCCCTGCAATAATTTAAAGTTTTAACTTAAATTAAATTCCTGTGTGAATTTCTTTTTGTTGTCTTAAGCAGAAGTAGAAAACATGTATGAGGTTCTCTGTTCAGTAATCCTTTATGGTTCATCTGTAATATTTCTTCAAGGTTAATGATCCCATTTCCCACTAGCTTTCTGGCAAAAGGTCATGTTTTCAATCCTATCATCTCTGTAGCTTTCTGTAATAAAGCTTGGTTTGAATGTCAGTCAGTTTAATAGCTATGCCAATTTCTCACCTAATAGAGCCAAGTCTTTATCATCCTCTTTGACAAATGGCACAAGTGGATGCAATAACAAGTCACATTCTAAAGCCACTGAGGGCACTTTGGTTCCCACCCTTCCAGGCAAGCATTTCCACAGCCTGGGCTCCTAACTGAAGATACAAAGGGATCAAGGGAAGAAGAAAGGTTAAACCTAGGAACACGGAAGCCAATGTGCCCCCAGAGAACGGAAGAGGCGGTCTGCGAGTTCAGAAGGCAGGCAGCTCATGCTTGAAGGTGATAGCCTTCTGCCTACAAGAGAAATCTGAGCACATCAGTTACTTCTGTCTTACCAAGAATCCCTGAGATACTGAGATTTCTGAGTTGAAAGTGAGATAAGGCCTGTTTTGTTTTGTTTGTTTGTTTCCATGTACATAGCTCAAGATGTTTTCTTGGCCGGGTGCAGTGGCTCACTCCTGTAATCCCAGCACTTTGGGAGGCCGAGGCGGGTGGATCATGAGGTCAGGAGATTGAGACCATCCTGGCCAACATGGTGAAACCCCACCTTTACTAAAAATACAAAAATTAGCAGGGTGCGGTGGCACGTGCCTGTAATTCCAGCTACTCAAGAGGCTGAGGCAGGAGAATCGCTTGAACCAGGGAGTCGGAGGTTGTGTGAGCCCAGATGGCGCCACTGCACTCCAGCCTGGTGACAGAGTGAGACTCCATCTCAAAAAAAAAAAAAAAAAAAAAAAAGATGCTTTCTGGATCTGCAATGATAAGTAGTGATTTATGTTGGAGAAAGAAATAAGGGAGGTCCAGGCCCTTACTTTACTATCTCTGACCCTGTTTACAGAAGATCCACCCAGTAACTATGACATTTAACTGTGGAGTGGTAGAGTTTTTATACTCATGAGGAAAACTCACACTAGTGGCGCCAAACCACTGGGCGTGGCCTAACACAATTTCTGATAGCCAGGGGAGCTGGGGTTGGGGAGGGTGATTACTGGCATCTAGTGTCCTGCATCCACAAGGCCACAGGACAACCTCACATAACAAAGAATTATCCCGTCCAAACTGTCAGTAGTGCTGAGGTTGAGAAACCCTGACTTACAAATAATTCTCTGTCCTCCTAAATGTATTCACCTACTCAGGAATCATCAGGCCTTGTTTCTCCTCCTCTAGACACTCAGCTGACCTGGGAAAATTACAAGCTGCTTGACCAACAAGCTCATTATCTTGTTTTTGATGGAGACAGAGCTGAGGAACAAAGACAACAAATAAAACCCCAACTGTGGGGTGAAAGAAGACTTAACCTTGGCTCATAGGCTCCCTTCAAAAGCTAAGTGGTATGTGGAGATCCGTGAGCTGGCAGTTCTGGTCAGAAAATAACAAAGTCTCAGAATTGCTTCCTAGGCTAGGGTCTCTCCGGAGGCACACACAGACGCCTCTTGCCTTCACCTCTGCACTAATCTCATTGCCCCACTTTGAATCAAGGCTTGAAGACTGTGCAAGCAGAATAACCAGGCACTCTCTTCAGTTAGTTCTGAAACCATCTCAATGATTTTGGGAGAATACACTCCCCACAATCTGGCAACAAGTTGTCTGGCTTGGGTTATTTCTAAGTCTACATTTCTTAGTTTCCTGAAGAATACACTGAGCATGCCAAAAGGTTTCAAAGCTACAGTTACGGCATCAGCAACAACTCTTCAACTAGCCTGTGCTTCAGCCCAAAGCAGCACAAACAGAAAAGTCAGCCAAGCCACGAGGGGCCTGGTCAAGCGTCTAACAGTGTAGGATTGCTGCATAAAGAGCAGGATCCTACTACAATACATCCTTTGAAGTGCCTCGAAAATAAATGCTATGTTTAGAAAACAAAGTCCTCTCTCCAGGCCTGGACTCACCCCACTCACCCCACCCTCATCCCTATTTCACTGAAAAGCTAAATATGAAAAAGTGCTTGGATGTTTACATATTTTCATATAGAGTAAATTTTCCTTAAAGGGCCATCTTCTTAAGAATACAAATCCTCCAAGAATGGTCCTTGAGCTGCTCAAGCTTTCCAACCAGAAAATATGACTATATTGAAAAATACGACTAGAAACAATAGGACCAGCCTCACTTCTTCCCCATAAAAACAATTCCAATCACTGAAGGTCTTGCTGGCATCTCTGCCGCCATCTACTGAGTCAAACTGGCACATATTCTAGTAAATCCTAACCAAGAAAGGTCATTGTTCTGTTATGTTTCCATTTTAACTCTTACCATGTTGTATTACAATTGTTTGTATATAACTTTACTTCTAGATTGCAAGTACCCATGAGATACATAGGATGTCTTATTCCTCTCTTAGTAGCTAATCAGGAAATGGTTGTTGGATTAAGTAATTTTGAGTGTTGCACAGGGCTTCTCCAAAAAAGATCATCTCAAGAATTTTCTTTAGGACTCCTCTAAAACCCAGAAACTACCATAATTATATCAAACAGAAGAGAGCAACTAGTTTATTTTTTAAGGCTTTCAGAGTAGCTCCTTCTACAACTTTCTTTATTGACCCAATACCAGCCTTCACAATCTCCACCATCAGCAAATTATTCTGTCTCAAATAAAAATGGTTTATTATTTAGTTCTATGGCTCATGTGGCTTAGAGTTTGTTGTATCCTTAAGGTGAGGGCTTTTGGACACTCAAAGGCAGAACTGTGATTATATGTTTGTTTTTTTCTTCCCAAATTGAATAACCCCATTCCTTCAACTTTTCTTTCTACATCTTCACGATCTATACATGCTCAAAATTAGTAACAGTTTTCTTAATGTGAAGCCTCAAACTAGTTTCGATGCTCTATTTAGCATTTAAGCAAAGATGATTTCAACAAGTGTTTGTGGTGCCTGCTATTATCCCTATCAATGGGACACTTTGCATTAGGCAAACCTAACATTTACCAGGCAGATAAATTAGGAGTTGGTGATTCATCTCACAGAGCATTCCCAGGAAAATTTCTTCAAAATAACCATTTCAGTCCTGTTTCATTTAGAAAACATTCATTTTATAAGCAATTTTTCATGGATTACAAATCACAGAATGAGAGTAGCTGTAATCTTATTGATGTCTAATTTATGTGTCACTTGGGTTTAAGATATGCACCTTTTTCTGGTATCTGCTACTGGTGTTATGAGCTCTTCAAGACCTCTTGTTCCTTAGGGAAAGAGTCAGCATGAAAATCATCTCTTAGAAAATATTATCATGTTCATTTGACACCTGAAAAAGCATACCCAGAGGGTAGAAGAAACTTGGAGACTGTTTATACACACAAATAGCATAAAGGACTTTTTTCCATCTCTAGGGGACCAACCTGGGCAAAGGAATAGAAGGAATAGCCTTGGCAATTATTCTCCCTGTCCCTGCACCCTCAAGAAAACAGGGAGAGTCACATTCTCGGATGCCAAGATTAATACCTATGTTTGGTTTCTTGGCAAGCAGGCTCTCTGCACTGCAATCTGGAAGGCCACTGGAATCTCTCTGCCAATGTTTTTCGCATTCTCATTATTGATCCTAGTAGCAGCACAAACCTGTTTCTGGATGTTGTGTTCAGAAGCTGATCAACATTAAGTACTCACCTCAAGGAGGCTGGCCAAAAACAGCCTGCAGACTTTTCAAGCTGACTTTTCAAACTGTTTGCTCTTTGGGTTGGTCAGGGCCTGCAATCAAAACTCATCATCATTAATTCATAAACGCCTAACTCTTTAAGCAATTTGGCAAAAATCTTTTGACAATTCAGTCCCACTGCTGGGGGCTGCTTCCAAAATGTACATTACCAAAGTGTGTGAGCAGGCTGGACATGGTGGCTCACGCCTGTAATCCCAGCACTTTGGGAGGCCAAGGCGGGCAGATCACCTGAGGTCAGGAGTTTGAGACCAGTCTGGCCAACATGGTGAAACCCCATCTCTACTAAAAATACAAAAATTAGCCAGGCGTGGTGGGGGGCGCCTGTAATCTCAGCTACTTGGGAGGCTGAGGCAGGATAATCACTTGAACCCAGAAGGTGGAGGTTGCAGTGAGCCAAGATCGCACCACTGCCCTCCAGCCTGAGTGACAGAGGAAGACTCCGTCTCAAACAACAACAATAACAACAATATAGTCAAAATGTGTGAGCAGTATGAGGCGAAGGAAGAGTTCCAGGAGAAAATGGATGGGAATGTGTTGTCACACATTCTGATCTGTGTACAACCAAAGTGGTAGAAGGGTGACATGCCCTTCCTGTTAAGCACAAACCCACCTAAAGCTCACTCTATTTATGATAGTATTTTTATTATCTGACCTAATAAAACAAGATAACAGAATTTAACCCATACAACTGTTCCTTGAGTGGAAAAGATGGATCCTTCTCAGTGTGGCCCTAACACATTAATACACATGAAAGCTTAAAGGTAGAGTTTGCACCCAGTGGAGAGCTAAAAATGCTTGGTGGTGATTATTGCTGCAGTTTGATATATGACATGATAATGGAGACCCCCCACAGCCACAGTGGAATTTCCACTAAAGAGCTAACTGGATAGAGGCAAGGATCCATGTAGGCAAATCTTCAAAATGTAATTTTATAGCCTCTATTTTAAAACTGCAATACTGCTTCTTAACCAAGCTTATGGCATACAGTTGGGGAAGAATACTATAGATTAATTCTTTAGAGTGGGGTCGGGGGAAGTCAAAATTACTTAAGGACTCCGTACCTTTTCCTCTTTCTACACACAAATTACATCAGTGTTATCTTCCATGTTCCTCTGCATTAGAAATCAAAATGGCCTCCATACTGGATTGGCTTCCACATAGTAGCTCTACCCTTTATCCTCCCTTGTGTTACATCAGTAAATTGGGTAGTCCGCAGTAGGCTTTTCCAAATGAGAAAATATGGTAATTCTTTTTTTTTTTTTTTTTTTTTTTTTTAGTCGGAGTCTCACTCTGTCACGCAGGCTGCAGTGCAGTGGCACAATCTCAGCTCACTGCAAGCTCCACCTCCCGGGTTCACACCATTCTCCTGCCTCAGCCTCCCGAACAGCTGGGACTACAGGCGCCCGCCACCATGCCCGGCTAATTTTTTGTATTTTTAGTAGAGATGGGGTTTCACCGTGTTAGCCAGGATGGTCTCGATCTCCTGACCTCACGATCCACCTGCCTCGGCCTCCCAAAGTGCTGGGATTCAGGCGTGAGCCACTGCGCCTGGCACCAAATAAGAAAATATGGTAATTCTTTACTATCTTTATCCACTCAAAAAGCTTCATTTAAAGTTGATGGAGGCCAGGAATGATGACTCATGCCTGTAATCCCAGCACTTTGAGAGGCCAAAGCTGATGGATCACTTGAGGTCAGGAGTTTGAGACCAGCCTGGCCAACATGGTGAAAACCCATTTGTACTAAAAATACAAAAATTATCTGGGTGTGGTGGCGGGCACCTGTAATCCCAGCTACTCAGGAGGCTGAGGCAGGAGAATCGCTTGAACTCAGGAGGTGGAAGTTGTAGTGAGCTGAGATTGTGTCACTGTACTCCAGCCTGGGTGACAGAGCAAGACTGTCTCAATAAATAAATAAAAAAAAATAAAGTTGATGGAAACAAGAAATCAAATTTAGCCTCAGTTTAGGACAGAGGTTTCAAATTAGTGACCTGCAGGTCAAGTCTGGTCTGCAGATGTGTTTTGTTTGGCCCACACAGTACTGCTCACATCAAATCTGCATGTCCAGCTTCCAAGAAGGTAACACCGAGTCCACAGCCCTGCATAATAAAAGTTGCCTGGAATTTATCACAATTGTCCCTTTCAAAAAGTCCCCAGATCCTCCTTTCCCTGACTGTGATACATTTCACTCATTTACAGTAGTGCCAAAACCTCTATAGGTAGACGCAGATCCTCAAGGTAGGGAGGGTACTTGTAGAAAATTATCAATTAAAAAAAAAAACTAAAAAAACTATATAAATAATAGTGTCTTTTTTATGTACCCAATATATTTTTATTCAAGAACACAACAAATTATAACTACTAGCAAACTGACAGCTTTATACACCGAACATTTGTTAAATGCCATTTTTTTCTGAGAAAGAATGGAAGAAATGTATGAGCTTTCTATGAAATGTACAAAGTTAAAAAAAAAAAAAAAGGCCTCTGCTATGATTTTTGACTTAACATATGCTTTAGCAATCCAACAGAATTCCAGGCACCTAAAAAGTAACAGGTTTTCACCTTTTAAAGTTAAAAAAGTGATTAATTTAATGGTCATTTCTTAGTTAATTCAGGATTTAGGAAAAGTTCTAAATATTAAAAAAATTTTTTTCATTAGACTAGACTTCTGTTCAACATCTCTAAACCTTTCCAAATGAATGAATTTAATAGAAATTCATTTTGATACATGCTTGACTATAATAAACAAAAATGTAACTAGTTACAATTAAATCTTTCAGACCTTGGAAGAAATATCTTCCTTTCCTCACTGGTATGGTAGAAAGAAAACCTAATATGAAATCAGAGAAACTTAGTTCATCATGACCCTTGCTTTGCAACTGCTATGTAAAGCAATCAATGGCAAGAGGAAAAAAGGAGAGAAGACACGCTCAAGACAGCAAGACCTAATAGAACACATGAACGTTGGTTAAATCTTCATTGGAACAATTCAAATGTTAAAAGGCATTTTTAGCAACTGGTGAAATTTGAATATGGACTGGCTATTAGATAATGCTAAGGAATTATTATTAGTAACTTTTAAAATACGTTGTGTGTTTCCATTAAGGTTGTAATCTTGCTAGCAGAAATTGTGTGCAAAACAGGTATTCGGTAGATGTTGTTGATGCTGATGTTGAATTGTAGTATTTGAAATTTAGGCTGAAGGTCAAGAAGCATTGGGAAATAATTTGTACCTTTTCAGAATTACTGAATTTTAGAGTTGGAAATGACAAGAGGAGGTATCTAGTCAAAATAAATTTATCTTAAGCATGAGGAAAAGGACACATAGCTAGACAGTGGTGGGGCTGGTCTAGAATGCAGGTTTCTGTGCTGAGGCCCAGATTATACCTCCTTCAGTGTAGCTTACATGGAGGCTCTTATAGCTTCAAAGCCCTCTGTAGCTCACAACTCAATTCTTTCTCCTTCCTCATTTAACTTTGTAATCTTGCTCTTCCTCCCAACTCCATTTTCCATCACCAGGCATTTTAATTTATATTCACTTGACAACTTTTACTTTCCTTGGGAAAGCTGCCAAAGGCAATGCTAACTGAGAAGGAGTAATAATGAGAAAAGGAAAAACAAGGCAAAATTAGAATAACAACAACAACCGCTGTTTAAGCTTTCTCTAGATTTATATACCTACTTTATCCTCCTGGCTTTCATGAAGACATTTTTTTTTCTAAGCTCTGTCAATGGACACATAATAGCTTTCTATCAATCATATAGGTCTCAAAGGAAAAAAAAAAAAAAAAAGGTTTTAAGCCGTTGGCACACAAAGAACCAGTGCTGCCGAAATACCTCTCCCTTTCCATTCCTTTTTTCCATCCTTTATCTGCTCTTTTCAACAGCCTGTATGAAGGCCAAAAATCAAAATATTATTTTGATAAGGCTTTTAGTAATAAATTGCTTTTTAAACTATGCACATGTATTACTTTAAAAATGCTACGTTTTAGAAAGCTGAATTATAATTATCCAGTATTCTATTTAGCACCAAATGGAAAAATTAAAAACTCAGCTTGAATGCTTCTGAATTTATAAGATAAGCCAGGCAACCCTAATACAAGTGTGGACAGATAACTTAATCTCAGCAATAAGTTGTACCAATATATCAAATACTTTAAAGAAGGATAAACATATAAATACAAATGAGTAGACATATGGGATTTAGTAAGTACAAACTAAGTAGAGAAATGTGTGTTTCTGGGGCCGATTACAAAGGAATTACAGCTATCTTTTCCTAAGTTCCTCTATCATGTTATACACTTACACTACACATACATTATCACTAATCCTCACAACAAGCCTAAGGAAGACTGCCCATATTTTATAAGTGAGTAAGAGGTAGGACCAGAATTTTAATATGAAGCTGTCTGACTCCCCGTTCATCTTCTTTCCACTATAACATAAAAATACATATTCAATTTAAATTTAGGATGGGAAAAGTTATGCTCTTTGCTCTTATTCTAATAGCAGATCATTTTCATTTTTTACTTGAAATTTTTTTTTCTTTTTTTAATAACAGAGACGGGATCTCACTGTGTTACCTAGCTGGTCTCAAACTCCTGGGCTCAAGCGATCCTCCTGCCTCGACCTCCCAAAGTGCTGGGATTACAGACATGAGCTACCTTGCCCAGCCAGCAGCTCATTTTAACCATGTTCCATGGTCAAGGATGACATTTAGCTAGTAAGCTCTGGTGTGGCATAAGGGCTAAAGGCTGTTCTGATTAATTAGGTATCTGTTCTGCTTGATTTGTGCCCATGCCATACTAATCATTAAATATTTTTAATATTACACCTGTCCATGGCACAGAACTTTCAGAGTTTTCAATCAAATACTTATTCAGACACTTGAAATAATCCAAAACCACTTCTTATGACATATTTTCCATACCTATAGGTATCACAGGTCTACTTCTATGCAAAATTCGACTGGTCTTCTCTCTAAGTAATAACATGCCAAGAGTCCCAGCTTTTATACTAGAAGCCTAAGCTTTGCCATATTTATATATATCAAAGCATGGGGCGCATCTTTAAATCAGCAGTACAAAATTACTATACTCTAGGTTTTTGCCAGCAAGTCCAACCTTGAAATGATTTCCTGCTTTTCTGGTCAAGTCAGGCTTGTAGCATTTCATGTTTGGGAAGACAGTCTAACACACAGGATACTACCCACACCTTCCTCAGTTCTTGCTATCATATTACATCACCAGAAAGTAATATATCTGGACATTAGCTTATGTCCTTAGATAAAAATGCCCTACACTGTTTCACACAAAGTTATAATCTTGGATTTTATCAAGATTCAATATAAGAAATGACCATATGGGGAAAAGGAAGCAATAGTATAAATATTTCAAAGACAAATCTAAATGTCATCATAACAAAAGTGTGATTTATTTCTGAGATCTTCTTACTCTAGATTTATTTATAAGTTAGTTACGTTAAAATCAGTTTTTCCCAACCAGCATACATAAGGTGTTGTACAAGCTCCCTCAGCTGGTTAAGATATAGAACTACCAAAACACATGTTCCATTAGGTTGACTGCGTCATCCTCTTCAGAAATTTCTGTAACTGCAGCCTGAGATCGAAGAATAGACGTGATGTCATTAGATAATTTGTCAAAGCCATTCTGTGAACATATATTTGCCACTTCTTGCCACTTTTCTATGGAGCAAAAGGAATCATTTATCATAAGACTTTCTACTGCATCTGTGGGGAAAAAATACAATATTATAGTATGGCACTTATTTGATAATCTATACTTTAGTGATTCTTCAAAAATAGAAAAGGACATAATTTCAACTCAGTTACTGTTAAACTCTACCTGATTCCCCTAAGATTAATGATATAACATGCAGTGCTCAGTCAAGCTCATGGTAAGTACTCGTGTTAGTTCCTTCTCCTCCTCCCTTATCATTAACCTCTTCATGTCTCAATTCAACCCTCTACCACTTCTCACATTTCACATCTCCACTCATCTCCTTCTTGTTAAGGCAGCAGATGTTGAAGGCTATAAGGCAGGAGCTCAGAAAGTGATGAATGTGGGCTCATCCTTATTCACAGAGTCTATAAGGCACCACTAGAAACTATGAAATAACTGTAAACCTATAGGTCAAGTTTTCATGATTTCAAACACTTATATAAATGCCTTAGTGGAGCTAACCCAAGGACTGAAGAAACTCTTTGACAAACTCTTTATCCTGTCTCTAGCTGGAGAACTCTTAATGATGGGGCTTCTATAACAAATATTTTTCTTAAGGAAATAAAATCATTTTGTTTGTTAAAGAAATTTAATATTATTTACTTTTAAAAATATCTTAGTGATCTATCAATTTATGGAACTCATTTCTTATCTATTACCTGCATTACTTATGGTACTTCATAAAAGAGGATCACTTTTTAGAATACTGTCATCACTATAATTTTATTTCTACCATAATTATTATTTTTATATGAAAATATTTTAGTTGATATCTGTAATGATAATTTCAAAATATAAAGTTATCTTCCAAAATATGTTTTCAAGTAATTTAAAATGAAGTTGTCTGTTCAACTTCCTATATTAAATTAATGAAAAGAAAATAAAAGTGAGTTTTAATTATTCTCTCTCTCATTTTTTTTGAGGCAGTGTCTCACCCAGGCTGGAGTGCAGTGGCACAGTCACGGCTCACTGTAGCCTTGAGCTCCCTGGGCTCAGGCGATCCTTCCACCTCATCCTCTCAAGTAGCTGGGACTACAGGTGCATGCCACATGTGGCTAATTTTGGTATCTTTTTCATAGAGACACGGTTTTGCCATGTTGCCCTGGCTGGTCTTGAACTCCTGAGCTCAAGCGATCCACCCGCCTCAGCCCCCCAAAGTGCTGGGATTACAGGGGTGAGCCACTGCACCCAGCCTAATTAGTTATTCTCTAATTCACAGCAGAGTTAGGTTCAGAGTGAATAACATATGTAAATACACATACATTTGGTTTAGGAATTAAAACATATAGTTTATATCTACATAACATTTAAAATACATATAAAAGCTAAATATACACATATGTCAATATATACAAAGTTTTTAGTGTTAGTGATCATAATTATTGTAATATTCCCCTCAAGCTTCATAAAGATACTCCCTTCATTCTAATTCTCTCAAGAAATATATCCTATTACCAATAGATTATTATTTACATGGCAATCTTTACATTTATAAACTCCTAAAGTTAACTCTTGCTAAGAAGGAACTCTTAGGGAAATTTGAGTTAACTCATGCATAACCATCTTGAACCTCTCCCTAGATAACCCACTACTATTTCTCCCACAACATTTTATTCTACTTACCTATCCCACCTTTATTGATTTCTTGAAGTAGCTTAATGCCAACTTTTTTCATGTCTGCAGAGAACAGATGAAGTATAGCAAGACCAAAAGATAAAGATGGTTGTTTCTCATTCAACTCTTTAGTGAGACACTGAATTAATTCAACTTGGGGACATGACATTAATAGCTGCAACAGGTCATCTGAAGGCAAAAATGAAAAAGTTTATCTCAATGTCCTAATATCATAAATCAACTAGAAACTAGGACTAGCTAATGTCTATACCTGCCAATCAACAGTTTTTCTAATCCTTTCAAAGCCCTCAATGACCCACTCCAACCTAAACTCAACGGTACTATCCCCTAGCCCCCGTCAAAAAAAATCATGCTCAGCATAGCAAAAAACAAAGGAAAACTACCCATAAGAGTATCCAAAACATAATCAAATAATTATAATGAAAAAAATGTGGTATAATAAAAATACAGATTGGCTACTAGGAAACCTGAATTCTAATCATAGCTCCATCAGTCACTTACTCTTTTGGAACTCAGTTTTCACATCTGAAAAGTGTAGTATTAGAGGTCTCCATCTAATACTACAGTTTGTTTGTCTATATCTTGTTGCTCATATTTGGACCAAATTCTGGTGAGTATAATGTCTTTCTTTCTGTGCCTTGCACAGAAAAAGCAACTCAGTAATTTTTTTCCTAAAACTATCAAGCATTTAGAAATTCAAAAATGAAAACTTTAAGAAGCCAGTAGCTATTTCAAGTAGCCAGAGGTGGAACCATATGAAGTTTCCTATATTTGGCCACAAAAAGAACAATTCCATATGGGTTAATCTCTATTGGGTTAACCCAATAGTTAACCATTGAGGTAATCTAAAGCTACAATTATGATTTGTATTCTTAAATTTTTTCAAAACAAAGTCTCACTGTGTGGCCCAGGCTGGAGTGCATGGCTCACCATAGGCATAATGATTGTGTACTGTATCCTCAAACTCCTGGGCTCACGCAGTCTCCCGCCTCAGCCTTCCCAGTAGCTGAGATTACAGGCATGCCCCACTCTATACTCTCAAATTTATAAACTTGGTATTAACTTCCTAAATATTTTAAAGTAAAAATATTATTTTGCGGCCACAATAGAGGTAATTTTCAGAATAACTTCTGAGAGCCTTTCAAGGACTACCCGAAACATAATTTGAACTCTGAAAGCCTTGGGTTTTTAAAATGTATTTAATATATAGAGATGGGGTCCCACTATGTTGCTCCAGGCTACTCTTGAACTCCTCGTCTCCCTTTTTCTTACTACATTTCAAAATCCATTTTATTTTTTAAAAAATTATTATTATTATTATTATTATTATTATTGGATAAGGTCTCACTCTGATGCCCAGGCAGGAATGCAGTGCCACAATCACAGCTCACTGCAGCCTAGAACTCCTGGGCTCAAGCGATCTTCCCATCTCAGCCTCCTGAGTGGCTGGGACTACAGACCCATCCCTAAAATTTTTAAATTCTAAGAGTAATTAAAATCTATATCCCATGTCTAAACATTAACTAATATAATTCTTACATATGGAAAAATAATAGTTAACAACACAGAAACTGAAACTGTATACTTAGGTAATGGAATATTAATTAATACCTACTATGCCAGATTCTGTCCTGTCACTACATAACCAAATCACTTAGCTCTAGCTGTGCCTCAGCCTCTCTGTGGAAACATACTATTTTTGCATCTATAAAATGGGACAATAACAAAACCTACCTCATAGAGTCAACATAAGGATTAAGTGAGATAATCCATGAAAAAAAGCCTAGCTATTATTACAATAATAGTATAGGGCATGCTGTTATTAATGAAGAAATTTGTAACTTAAAAAAACAACAACATAGATTCTAAGAAAAAGTCAATTAATTGCTTGAAAATGACCAGATTCAACAACTACTAAAACTCCTTTTTCCTGGAATAATGTGACCTAAAAATGGCCATGTTTGGTTCCATTTTGCATCTTCTTAGAACTGGGATACATAGCCTGCAAATCAGGACAGGCACTGGCCTGGGGGATGGGGAGATGTCAGCAATGCCTGTACTTACAGTTATTGCCAAACTAGATCCAGAATAAGAGCTCTGCTCTTCCAACTAGGGTCACCCTAAGGTCCACAGTTCTCTCAGATTACCGTTCAATTGTAATCTCAGATTACTGTTCAATTGTGTTTTAAAATTTTGAAATAAATTAGAAATTCTTCATTTCTGATGCTTATATTACAGTTCAAAACATTATATATCACAGGCTGGGTGCGGTGGCTCACATCTGCAATCCCAGCACTTTGAGAGGCTGAGGCGGGCAGATCACAAGATCAGGAGATCAAGACCATCCTGGCTAACACGGTGAAACCCTGTCTCTACCAAAAATACAAAAAGTTAGCCGGGCGTAGTGGCGGGCACCTGTAGTCCCAGCTACTTGGGAGGCTGAGGCAGGAGAATGGTGTGAACCCAGGAGGCAGAGCTTGCAGTGAGCCAAGATCGCAGCACTGCACTCCAGCCTGGCAACAGAGTGAGACTCCATCTCAAAAAAAAATATATATATATATATCTCACAAATAAGTTATTTTTAAAAATCATATATGTAGTATGTTCTAGTATATCTGCTAAATCTATCTTTAAAACTGTATATTTCCAGGACTATCTGGCTTATTAAATGTTTGTATTTTGAGGAAATACATAATATTTTTGAATATCCAGCATGAAAGCCAATCAGCTCCAGCTTACTATGTTCATGAAAAATTACACAAGAAATCTCCTACTTATTGGTATATATAAAATTGATTTTATAACGTAAGTTTAAAGTAGTGCTTGCTATTATGGGTAATCTTACAATTAAAGCCCAGAATTCAAATGTATACAAATGGCAGACTTTTTAACTTACCGGTAGTAAAGTCCTTCAACTGCTGTATGTACTCCATGACCCTATGAGTCTGACCCTGTTTACACAAGCAAAGAATAGCTTTCTTGTGCAGGCCACATTCACTGTAGACAATCTGAGCTAAAGCCAGGCACTTGGCCTTGTTATAAGTATCCTGCTCCCCATAATCACAAATCACATCCCCAGCCTCCTCAGAAAATGTCAGTCTAGAACAAGCAGATCAATAAGACATATGTTAGAAAATTCCTGATGAGTGGCTGAGACTGAAATATTTGAAAATTCAGCACAGTAGGACTGGATTTTCTACTACCTGTAAGAATTCCAAGTTACAATTTAATAGGCAATTGATTATGTAATTGAAATGATTACTTGTCAATTTCTATCACCCCGATAATAGTCAATATGAAAATAAAGTTATTTGGAATGTAGTGGTGTATTTGCTAAGAAAATTAGATTTCTACAGGAAACTAAATGCATATATATATATATTTTTAGATTGAGTCTCGCTCTGTCACCCAGGCTGGAGTGCAGTGGCGCGATCTCGTCTCACTGAAACCTCTGCCTCCCTGGTTCACACGATTCTCCTGCCTCAGCTTCCTGAGTAGCAGGGACTACAGCCGTGCGCCACCATGCCTGGCTAATTTTTGTATTTTTAGTAGAGATGGGGTTTCACCATGTTGGCTAGGCTGGTCTTGAACTCCTGACCTCAAGTCATCTGCCCACCTCGGACTCCCAAAATGCTGGGATTACAGGTGTGAGCTGCTGCACCTGGCCACCACGTCTGGCTAATTTTTGTATTTTCAGTAGAGACAGGGTTTCACCATGTTGGCCAAGATGGTCTTGAATTCCTGACCTCAAGCGATCCTCCCACCTCTACCTCCCAAAGTGTTGGGATTAGAGGCATGAGCCACCACACCCGACCACTAAACACTTTCTGATTAATTGCAATAGGGACCTGAAGTAAATGTTCAAGTAACATATTGATAAAGCTATTAATATTTTTAGAACAAACAACTTTATTAACGAAATGTCAAAATTAAGTTAAAAGCTTAACTTTGCTTACCTTTCCTGTGTAACCCAATTGGTAACTAAATCTAACCGTTTTTCTGATAATCCACATTTGATTCCTTCCAGGGTTAGAGCTGCATCAACAGGACATGGAAAAGCATGACTTGTGATAAAGAGGGCCTCAAAAAATAAGAGTAATGGAAGAGGCTTTCCTCTAATTTTTCCAACAGCTACAGAAAGGAGAAAATTTTCTGAGTCAAATACTTTAAGAAATAGTTTGCTTTTTCTTATCTCATATTACTATTTTTGTGCCTTTGCTTTTCTAAAACTTTAACAATCTAAAATTACACATTTATAATTTTTAACTCATGCTTATAGATTAAACTTTATCTAAATGACTAAATATCACGTGCCATGTGAAGATGGAGGCAGAGATTGGAATGATCTGCTACAAGCCAAGGGAGGCTAAAAATCGCTGACAACCACCAGAAGCTAGGAGAGAGGCATGGAATGGAATCTCCCTTAGAGCCTCCAGAAGGAATGAACCCTTGACACCATGATTTCAGAGCTCTGGCCTCCAGAACTGTGAGCGAATATATTTTTCTTTTAAGTAATAGGGTTCTGCTGTTAATGAGGCCAATTTGCTATGACCGAAGAGAACAAAAGGTGCAGCTGCAGATACACAGAGGATAAAATTCCTAATGCAAACTATCCTGCTTTAATGACCAATCAAATGAGGCAAATATAAAACTGGACATTTAAAGGAATATACTTAGTCTAACATACCCTAACTTTGAAAATAATTCAATGAGGATGACAAATTAGGATCCTGAAATTTACATGTAGATTCAGCCAGTGACCAAAAAAGTATGTCAATCCCAAATCAGCATGACTACAATTCATTTTTTATTAAGCTGTATGTACACTCAATGCTTGAACTTGCAGGGGAGGAAGACTGTCAATTTGAACTCTTAATTAATCCATCAGATTATTTTCCTTTTTGTGAGCAGAAAATAAATTTACCACCATATCTTATTTCCTAGATTTTTCTTTAATTCTCCTCCTCAAAGTCAAGTGAGACAGTTTAGAGAGAACTACTGGATATGGATGTCTTGGAATTTAGAGAACAAAAAGACCAGAGCCTGATATTTGCCTGGAAAGTTTAAAGGTGAAAGGCTAGAGTGAGTAAAGAGAATTAAAGTACGAGCAAATTCTACTTTCACAAGATTGCATGTTCCTTAAGGGTGAAGGAGATTCCATGAAAGGCGGGTAGGCTGGTTGTCTTGAAAAGGCTCTCTCAGAGAGGTCTGCATGCAGACCAGATAACCCCACCTGAGAGAGTCTTTGGGGGTACACACCACCAGAATCATTAGCAGCCAGCTAAAGTAATACCTCCTGAATCAATAAAAGGCACAATGGAAAGTCCCCAGTGAGGGAAGGCCCTAAAAAACAAAGACTAAAGCAGTAAACTAGGAGGCAACATTGGGCATCTACCACACCCAAGAAACATCAAAGCCTAATGACCACTGCACCAGTTGAGTAAGACCTTTCCTGTCCCTTATATAACCCCACTGTAAAGCTGCCTAGTGATTAGAAGAGGAGAGAGTAGCAGAGTAAAGAAGAAGCAAACATGTCTCCTGAGCCTCAATAGGTTCTAGAGCCAAATCAGAGCCTAACCAGGGTAAGGGGAAAAATTTTAGATTAAACAAGAGATTGCAGTTTCTATTTAGTTTAGACTAGACTTTTGGGTACCTAAAAATAAAACTATTAATATCTAAAAGCGAGTGAAAAAAAGCTATGTGACATGACCAAGATATTATCCAGTAAAAGAAATAGGAACGCCAACACAGCCCTTTTAAAGGGCAATGGCGAGGAAGAATAAAGTTGTTTCTTGCTTTGTACTCTGTCAAGTCTAGCTTGAACTTTAGACTCTATCAAGTCTAACTGATCTATGATCCAGTTTCATAGATCAAAGCTTGGTAAAACCAGGTATGAAATAAAAAATAGATTCTGCGTCCGATTGAGGGTCTACTAATGAAATGTATGGATTTTCACAAGATAATATATAATACCTATTTTTTATTGTTCACAGACTTTTTAAACTTACTTCTCAACTCTCAGATATACTGTATTGTAAAGAAAATTAATTCTGAATAAGTGGCATGGTGCTAAAAACCCCTAAAGCTTGTATAGTGCTTTGAAATTATCAGCTGGTCTTAACCAATAACCCTAACAAGGTGGGTATCATTAACATTCCTAGTTTTCTTTTCTTTATTTCTTTTTTTGAGATGGAGTCTCGCTCCGTCGCCAGGCTGGAGTGCAATGGTGCGATCTCGGCTCACTGCAACCTCTGCCTCCCAGGTTCAAGCAATTCTCTTGCCTCAGCCTCCCATTTAGATGGGACTACAGGTGCGTGCTACCACGCCCGGCTAATTTTTGTATTTTTAGTAGAGACAGGGTGTCACCATGTTGGCCAGGATGGTCTCGATCTCTTGACCTCGTGATCCGCCTGCCTTGGCCACCCAAAGTGCTGGGATTACAGGCGTGAGCTACCATGCTCGGCCTGTTTTCTCTCTTTTCTTTCTTTCTTTATTTTTTTTTTTTTTTTCGAGACAGGGTCTCACTGTGTTGCCCAGGCTGGAGTGCAGTGGCACGATCACGGCTCACTGTAATCTTAACTTCCCAGGCTCAGGTGATCCTCCCACTTCAGCCTCCTGGGTAGCTGGGACTATAGTAATGTGCCACCACGGCCGGCTAATTTTTTGTATTTTTTGCAGTGACAGAGTTTCACCAGTTGCCCAGGCTGGTCTTGAACTTCTGGGCCAAGCAATCTGCCTGCCTCAGCCTCCCAAAGTGTTGCTATTACAGGCATGAGCCACCACACCTGGCCAACATTCCTGTTTTTCAAGTAATAAAACTGAGTTTCAAGTAGATAAAGTAGCTTGCTCAAAGAACACAATGCAAGTGTATAGTAAAGATAACATTGAAACAAAGATATTGTGCCTCCTATCCAACATTTTATAACATTCTATCTTCTTCATGTTTTGTGATAAGTTAAATATATATACATTTACACACACATATGATGGCAGAAGATGAAAGATTTCTTAGGCCAGGCGCGGTGGCTCACACCTGTAATCCCAGCACTTTGGGAGGCTAATGCAGGTGGATCACAGGGTCAGGAGTTCGAGACCAGTCTAACCAACAGGGTGAAACCCTGTCTCTACTAAAAATACAAAAATTAGCCAGGTGTGGTGGCACCTGCCTTTAATCTCACCTACTCAGGAGGCTGAGGCAGGAGAATCGCTTGAACCCAGGAAGCGGAGGTTGCAGTGAGCTGAGATCGTGCCACTGCACTCCAGCCTGGGTGACAGACTGAGACTCCATCTCAAAAAAAAAAACAAAACACACACACACACACACACACACACACACACACACACACACAAAGATTTCCTATACCTACTATAGATTAACAAGATTCACGACAATTCAATTAGACTTTCAGGTAAAGACGGTAGACTGAACACACACATTCAATTTTAGTTCATTAAAATCATTAAAATAATGGTAAAGGGATTTCATAAGAATAAATTTAAAAGGAAATAACAAAATTCTGAAAGCCAGAAAATAGAGAGTAGAAACTAGCATAGCAGACGCAGAGCCTTAAAAGTTTGATTCCTAAACTACCAATAAGGAAAACCAAGAAGAAGCTATCCAATTCACACCAAACAACACAGAAAGTCTCAGGAATTGCCAGCACCGGGAACCTCTGTAATGAGATGGGCTAAAACTAGAAATCATGGCTGAAAGGCTATTTAAAAAGCTATTCCTCACCCAGTCAGATGATACCCCCTTCCAGGACCTAGAAAAAGCTGAGGCTTATTCTCTGAAAAAGATAAAACAAAAGGTGTCTACATGAAGACAACAGGCACAGTTGAGGGTAGAAATACCAAACTATTAATATGCCTTTTTTGAATTTCCAGAGAACTTTCTTCATATCACTAGAATCACTCTACATGTAAGCTCCGTGATGCAAATCATTTTTGCAGGTTTCATTTTCTGCTGTATCCCCAGCACCTAGAACAATGCCCAGCACATATTAGATAATCAATTTTGTTGAATGAAGAGTAAATGAATAAACAAATGAATGAGCTGGCTCCACACTTGTCTGCCTCTTTATCTCTCTTCCCAATTAGTCCTTTATCTCATTGAAAGGATTGGGTCTTACTAATCTTTGTATCTTAGTACCTAGGTCATAACAGTTTAATCTACAGTTAAAAACAGTCTATTTATTAAAATTTTCTGAAAATGTTATAGGAAAATACTGCTGTGAACATTATTTTATTAGAAGTTCTGCTTCTACCAATGATATCTTTGAGCTTTAATATGTCTTAAAAACTAGGTTTTATACAAACTTTTAAAAACAGAAAGCAATTGTCTAAAAAATAAGTATTTTAAGATTTAAGTAATTTTAATTGATTCTAAGCTATCAAACTTGAGATGGGCCTTTAAAGATCTAAGACTCTGAAAACATGACAGTGTGGCTCACATGGACTACTATTCCTGGCTATATCTTTCCCTCTCCTTAGATAAAATAAAACAACCTACATCCACAGGGGAATGAAGTCTGAATTTCAGTTATGTATGTGATTCAGGAAGTCAAAGCCAACAAATTAACAAAGATCAGCTTCAGGCTGTTGAAACATTAGAGACCAGGCAGAGACAAACATAAAGCCTTTCCAGAGAATACACAGTAATCCCACAGTGGGGAAGAAATTAAGCTCACAATATTATCAATGTAAAAAGCTTACAATATTATAAATAAAAATTATCAGTCACACAAATCAAAGCACATCCATGAGCATGAGTTAGGATACCCAATAATCTGGAGAATTTATATACTTCAGAACTACAAACAACTGACTATAAAAGAGAGTATAAAATATCTATGTCTGGCTCAGCACAGTGGCTCACGTCTATAATTCCAACACTTCAGGAGGCCAAGGTGGGAGGAATGCTTGAGCCCAAAAGTTTGAGACCTGCCTGGGCAACACTGTGAGATGTCATCTCTACAACAACAACAACAACAAAAACACATTAACCAGGCATGGTGGGTATGCCTATACTCCCACCAGTATAGGGAGCTACTTGGGAGGCTGAGGTGGGAGGATCACTTGAGCCCAGAAGGTCAAGGCTGCAGTGAGCTGTGGTCACACCACTGCACTCCCACCTGGATGACAGAGTGAGACCCTGTCTCAAAAAAAATTATATGTTTAAAATTATTAGAAATATTAAAGGTAGAAATGGAAGCCATAATAAAGATGAACAGATTTTTAAAACAAGCAGATTTGAAATGTTCTAGAAACAAAAGATATGATCATTGAGGTGGCACTACAAATTAGTGGAGAAAGTACAGACTTTACATAAATAGTACTAGAACAGAGAAACTATATATTTAAAAAAATAAGGCCAGGCGCGGTGGCTCAGGCCTGTAATCCCAGCACTTTGGGAGGCTGCAACAGGTGGATCACCTGAGGTCAGGAGTTTGAGATCAACCTGGCTAACATGGTGAAACCCCGTTTCTACTAAAAACAACAACAAAAAAATAATAAAAGAAATTAGCCAGGCATGGTGGCATGCACCTGTACTCCCAGCTACTCCTGAAGCAGGAGAATCGCTTGAACCCGGGAGGCAGAGGTTGCAGTGGGCCGGGATCGCGCCATTGCACTCCAGCTTCGGCAACAAGAGCAAAACTCCATCTCAAATAAAATAAAATAAAATAAAATAAAATAAAATAAAATAAAATAAAACTGGGCCAGGCGTGGTGGCTCACGCTTGTAATCCCAGCACTTTGGGAGGCCAAGACAGGAAGATCACTTGGACTCAGAGGTTCCAGACCAGCCTGGTCAATATGGCAAAACCCCATCTCTACCAAAAATACAAAAATTAACTGGGTGTGGTGGTGCATGCCTCTAGTCCCAGCTACTCAGTGGTTGGGGCATAAGAATCACTTGAACCTGGGAGGAGGAGGAGGTTGCAGTGAGCTGAGATCAAGCCACTGCACTCCAGCTCAGGTGACAGAGCAAGACTGTCTCAAAAAAAAAAATTATTAAAGAAAAATACTGAACTCCCAAATCATACTGAACACAAAAACAAGTTTCAGGTAGCTTAAAAATCAAATGTAAACAGCAAAACGATGATATTTTCAGAGGAGAAAAAAGAAAAATGACTTAGGGTAGGGAAGGACTTTTACATAATACATAAAAATAATTAACCTCAGAGGAAAAGACTGATAAATTCCACTACATTAAAATTAAAAACTTCTGTTCATCTTAAGATATCATAATGAGAAAAGATTTTTGTAACTCATTTTAATTAACAAAAGATTAATATTTATAATACATAAGTAACTCCTAAAAATCATTGAGAAAAATATAGACAATCCAGCAGCAAAATGGGCAAAAGATCTTAAGTACTTCACAAAATGGGAAATCCAAATACAAAGATATATATGAGCTGAGTGCAGTGGCTCACACCTGTAATCCCAGCATTTTGGGAGGCCAAGGTGGGAGGATGGCTTAAGGCCAGGAGTTTGAGACCAGCCTGGGCAACATAGCAAGTCTCCATCTGTACAAAAAATTTTTAAATATTAGCCAGGCGTGGTGGCTCACAGCTGTAGTCCCAATGACTAGAGACGCTGAAGTGGGAAGATCACTTGAGCCCAGGAGGTTGAGGCTGCAGTGAGCCATGTTTGTACCACTGCACTCCAGCCTAGGTGACAGAGCAAGACCCTGTCTTAACAAAAGGGTATATGTGTATACATATATATGAAAAGATACTCAATTTCACTGGTAATGAGGCAAGTTCATATTAAAACCATAATAAATTTACATGACCACAAGAATGATAAACATTTAAAGGTCTAACACTACCAACCATTGTCAAAGATATAGAACATAGGAAATCGCATACGTTACCATTGGGAATATAAATTAATACAAACACTTTGGGAAAATGTTTGTTATTATCTTCAAAAGCTGAAGATATGCATACCTTATGACTCAGAGAGTTCAATCTTAGATACATATCCCAGAGAAGTTTACATACATGCACCAGGATATATTTTCATAGCAAAATTGTTTATAATAGCCCCAAACTAGAAACCACCTACATGTCAATCCACCGCAGAACAGATAAATACATTGTAGTACATTTCAATCTAGAAGATTTAAAATAAACCACAGCTACATGTAGAAACAAGGCTAAATTTCACAACTAATGTTGAGTGAAAAAAAGACATAAAACAATATAATTATAAGCAATAGTATAATTCAGGAACACATGCAGGATTAAAGAATATATGCAGTATAATTCAATTCACATTTAAGTGCAGTGGATTACAAGGATGTGATCCAGCTGCCTATCTCAGTAAATATAAAAGACATATTTTTATTTTCATAATTTCCTTAAGACACAAGTGAATATTTAAGGCAAAAATAGTAACAATGTATATGATAATAGCACAAAAGAAGAAAGGTGATGGTAAGGTTCATGCATTATATGTAGAGTAGTAAATTATTAATTCAAGGTAGACTCTAGCAAGCAGTGAATATTATAATCCTTAGAATAACAACTAAAACAATAATACAAAGAAGTGTAGCCAAAAAGCCAAGATAGGAGAAAAGAGGGAATTCTTAAAAACTACTCAATTAACACAATATAAGATTGAAAAGAAGAAACTAAGGAACAAAGAACTGATGAAAATAATTGAGAAAAATATAGCAAAATGATAGGCTTAAGACCAAATATATCAATAATTTTGTTAAATAGTTATTATGTTAATTATGTTTAGTCATAGCAAATGAACTAAACTCTTGCTTCTGGCATGAAACCAGATAAAATATATAAAATAACAGCCTTCAAGTCATTGGACATAAGGCAGTGAAGGATAGTGATCCTTGAAAGATGGGAGAAAAAGATCAAGGTGAACCCAACAATAGCCTCAGTTTACTGCCTGGAGAAAGTTTCCAAGCCAGAGTACAAAGATGGAGAAGCCAGTTAGAGTCTGAGTTCCTGAATTGAGGACACGGAGCTGGAAGTCTGGTGAGGTCAATGCATATAAAGATCATAGGGCAGAGTACCAGAAGAAAGAGAGCTGCCTAGGGTAAGAGCTTCAGAGATCTGTACAGCGTTCCCCACAGGTCATCAGCTGAGTACTGATTAGCACATACCGGTGAGGAAGCTACCTAAGGCCAGGGAAAGAACTATTCAGAAGGATTAGAGGGACTAATCCCTAGAGTTCAGAAATAGCTGAGAATAACTCTTCCACCAGAATGGCAAACTTCATAATCCTCAGGTATGAGGTAGAATATTCAGAAGGGTTTTGCTTCCAACCAAACACTGCTCCAGTCCTGCCTAACAAAATTTGAAAACAAGCTCCAGAAGGATCACATTGCTTCCAGGTAACTTACCTATATCCCAGAACAAAGGTTAAGAAGAGTTTACCAAAATTCAGCACCATTAAGGTAAAATTCTTTTTTTTTTTGAGACGGAGTCTCACTCTGTGGCCCAGGCTGGAGTGCAGTGGCGTGATCTCGGCTCACTGCAAGCTCTGCCTCCCAGGTTCACGCCATTCTCCTGCCTCAGCCTCCCGAGTAGCTGGGACTACAGGCGCCCACCACCACACCCGGCTAATTTTTTTGTATTTTTTTAGTAGAGACGTGGTTTCACCATGTTAGCCAGGTTGGTCTCGATCTCCTGACCTCGTGATCCACCTGCCTCAGCCTCCCAAAGTGCTGGGATTACAGGCATGAGCCACCATGCCCAGCCTAAAATTCTTAATGTCTTGCATCCAATCAAAAATTTAACTTGCAAAAAAGCAAGAAAATATTACCCATACTGAGAAAAAAATGTAATAAATCAAAATTGACATGATAGAATTTGTAGAAAAGGATATTAAAAGTTATTATAACTGTATTATTTCACACTTACGAGGGAGAGGAAAGATGGAATATGTTAAGTAGAGACATGAGCTATATAAGAGAAACTCAAATCAAAGTTACAGAGATGAAAACTACAATGTCTGAAATGAAAAATACACTGGATGGGATTAACTGCAGATTAGATACTGAAGATTAGTCAATTTAAAAACAGCAATAGAAAATATCCAAAATAAAATGTAAAAGACTAAAACTTGGACAAAGAATAAATGAGCTGTAGGACAACTTCAGGCATATAACTGACATCCCTGAATCGGTGAGTGGGGAGAAGGGAGGCTGGGGCAGAAACATATTTGAAAAATAATGGCTATGTATTTTCATATATGAGGAAAACCATAACCCACAGATCCAAGAATCTCAATGGACTCCAAGCATAAGAAGCATGAAAATAAAACTATACTAACACTCACAATCAAAGTGCCAAAAAAAAAGTAAAAATGAGAAAATCTTAAAAGTAGTCATAGAGAAAAGACACATATGTACGGAAGTACAAAGATAAAGATGAAATAACATTTCTCGGCAAAAGTAATGCAAACCAGAAGACAGTGAAACAAAATCCTTTAACTACAGAAAAAGTCTATCTAGCATTCTATACCTAGTAAAAATACCTTTCAAAAGCGAAGGTAAAATGTAGAATTTAAAAGCTGAATGAATTTGTCACCAGCAGATCTGCACTAAAAGATTAAAGGTAGTTTTAGCAGAAGTAAAATGATGCCAGATGGAAAAATATACATATGTTTTTGCAGACGGAGTCTCTCTCTGTCACTCAGGCTGGAGAGCAGTGATCTTGGCTCACTGCACCTCCACCTCCTGGATTCTAGTGATTCTCCTGCCTCAGTCTCTCAAGTAGCTGGGATTACAGGTGCAGGCCACCATGCATGGCTAATTTTTGTATTTTTAGTAGAGACGGGGTTTCACCATGTTGGCCAGGCTGGTCTCGAACTTCTGACCTTGTGATCTGCCCACCTCAGCCTCCCAAAGTGCTGGGATTACAGGCGTGAGCCACTGCGCCCAGCCAGAAAAATAGATGTACACAAAGAAATGAAGAATAGATACGGTATATGCTATGAATGTAAGTATTTAGATGTGTAGTGTTTTTATTCTATACATCAAGTGGTATAATATCACTTGAGAATAGAATGGAGTAAGTTAAAGATACAATCTATAAAACCTACAGCACAACCAAAATAAGACAATAATGAGTTATATAGCTCCTAAGTCAACAAAGGAGAAAAATATTCAATTAATCCAAAAGAAGCCAGAAAAAGTAGAAAAAAGGTTTCAAAAAAAAAGAAGAGATAAGAGAAATGGAAACAAAATAAAACACACCAGTGAAGTGTGGTGGTGTGGTGGTGCACACCTGCACTCCCAGTTACTCTAGAGGCTGAGGAAGGAGGATCCCTTGAGTCCAGAAGTTTGGGTTGTAATGCACTAAGATTGTTCCTATGAATAACCACTGCACTCCAGCCTGGGCAACATAGCAAAATCCTGACTCTAAAAATAAATAAATAAAAACAAAACAAACATGTCAACAACAACATTAAATGTAAATAATCTAAGCACCCCAACTAAAAGGCAAAGACTGTCAGATTGTTGTTGTTGCTGTTGTTGTTGTTGTTTTGAGATGGAGTCTTGCTCTGTCACCCAGGCTGGAGTGCAGTAGTGTGATCTTGGCTCACTGCAACCTTTGCCTCCTGGGTTCAAGCGATTCTCCTGCTTCAGCCTCCCGAATACCTGGGATTACAGGCACTCACCACCATGCCCAGCTAATTTTTGTATTTTTAGTAGAGACAGGTTTTCACCATGTTGGCCAGGCTGGTCTCGAACTCCTGACCTCAAGTGATCCACCCACCTCGGCCTCCTAAAGTGCTGGGATTACAGGTGCACTGCTTCTGGCCTCAAATTGTATTTTTAAAAAGTAGGATCCAAGTATATGTTGCTTAGAAGAAACTGATCTTATATATGAAGACACTAATAGATTAAAAGTTAGAGGACTGAAGAAGATAAACCATGCTAATACTAATCTAAAGAAAGAAGGAATCACTCTTCTGATTTCAAAACTTACTACTAAGCTACAGTAATCAAGATAGTATACTACTGGCGTGGGGTGGACATCTAGAGCAATGGGATAGAACTGAAAGTCAAGAAATAAACTCTAAATATTTATAGTCAATTGATTTTTGACAAAGAGGTCAAAATTCAATGGATACAAAGTATTTTCCCAACAAGGTGCTGGGAAAACCAGATTATCCTTAAGCAAAAGAATGAAACTGGACCCCTACCTCACATCATACAGAAAAATTAACCAAAAGTAGATCATGTATCTGAATGTGTAAAACTCTTAGAAGAAAACAGGAGTAGATCTCTGTGACTTTTTTTTTTTTTTTTTTTTGAGATGGAGTCTTACTCTGTCACCCAGGCTGGAGTGCAGTGGCATGATATCAGCTCACTGCAACCTCCGCCTCCTGGGTTCAAGCGATTCTCCTGCCTCAGCCTCCCGAGTAGCTGGGATTCCAGGTACCCGCCACCACACCCGGCGGCTAATTTTTGTATATTTAGTAGAGACAGGGTTTCACCACTTGGGCCAGGCTAGTCTTGAACTCCTGACCTTGTGATCCACCCGCCTCAGCCTCCCAAAGTGCTGGGATTATAGGCGTGAACCACCGCGCCTGGACAGATCTCTATGATCTTAAGTTAGGCAAAGATTTCATAGCTACAACACAAAAGGCAAAGCCATAAAAGAGAAAATTCATAAGTGGAACTTATCAAAATTAAAAACTTTTAACTTCAAAAGAAACCAGTGAAACACTTTTTTTTTTAAATTAAAAAGAGTGAAAAGACAACCCACAGTTGGGAAAAAAATATTTGCAAATCAAGTATCAAATAGGGTTTTAATTCAGACTATATAAGGAACTCTTAAAACTCAATAATAAAAACACAAAAAACACAATTTACAAATGAGCAAAGGACAGACATTTCTCCAAAGAAGACATACAAATGGCCAAGAGACAAGTGAAAAGATGCCTAACATTACTAGTCATTATGGACATGTAAATAAAAACCACAATGAGATACCACTTCACACTTATTAGAAAGTCTATAATCAAAAGATAGATAAAAACACACCCTGTTCATAAGGAACCCTTATACATTACTAGCAGGAATGGAAAACGGTGCAACCAAACAGATTAGCAATTCCTCAAAGTGTTAATACAGAGCTACCATATAATTTAGCTTGGCAATTTCACTCCTAAGTCTCTACCTAAAAGAAATAAAAATATGTAACCACACAAAAACTTGTATACAAATGTTCATAGCAGCATTATTCATAATAGCCAAAAAGTGGGAAAAGCCCAATGACCATCAACTGATGAATGTATAGACAAAATGCAGTACATTCATACAATGGAATACTATTTAGCCATATAAAGAAATGATACATGCTACAGCATGAACAAACCTCAAAAACATTATGCTAAGTGAAAGAAACCTGTAACAAAAAGACCACATAGTGTATGATCCCATTCACACAAAAGGACCAAAGCAGGTAAATCTATACTGACAGCAAATAGATGAGTGGTTGCCTGCAGTTTGGAGAGGAAGAAGAGGCCAGGGAATGAGGAGTTAATGGGTACAAAGTTTATTTTTGTAATGATGAAAATGTTCTAAAATTAGGTTATGGTAATGGTTTCCCAACTCTGTATTACAGTAAAATCATTAAATTTTGTGGAGTTTTTCCCACAAAGGCAACATATTCATTATACTAATAGAAAAGAACAAAACTAACATAATCCTCTCAATAAATGTAAAAAAAAAGTATTTGACAAATCTAATATCCATTTCTGATCAAAGTTCTCAGCAACCATGAATACAAGAGAATTTCTTCAACCTCATAAATGGCATATATGAAAAACCTATAGCTAATAATTAATAATGAAAAACTAAATGCTTTATCCCTAAGATCATGAACAAGGCAGAAATATCTCCTTTTATCACTTCTATTCAAAACTGTATTGGAGAATTTAGCCAGTACAATAAAGCAAGAAAAAAAAAAAGTCACCCAGATTTGAAAAAAAGTAAAACTGTCTTTATTAGCTGATGACATGATCACTTACACAGAACATCCTAAGAAAGCCACAGAAGTACTAGAACTAACAAAGATTTAGCGAAGTCACAGGATACAAGACCAATATACAAAAGTCAACTGAATTTTTTTAAATCTCTTTTTTAAAAATAGAAACTGTATATCTGTATATATTTAAGGTCTACAACACGATGTTTGATATACATAGTGAAACGATTAATATGTCAAGCTAAATTAACATATCCATTACCTCTGTGTGTGTGTGTGTTTGTGCATGTGTATTGAGAACACTTACACTCCACTCTCTTAGCAACTTTTTTTTTTCTTTTTTTTGGGGGATGGGGTATCATTCTGTCGCCAGTCTGGAGTACAGTGGTGTGATCATAGCTCACTGCAGCCTCAAACTCCTGGGCTCAAGCAATCCTCCTGCCTCAGCCACCCAACTAGCTGGTACTACAGGTATGTGCCACCATGCCTAGCTATGCAATTTCGATTATGCAATATAGTATTATTAACTATAGTCAACATGCTGTGCATTTATCCTACATAACTCAAACTTAGTATCCTCTGACCAACATTTCCCTATTTCCCCCACCTACCCTGTCCTTAGTTACCACCATTCCACTCTCCGCTTCTATGAATTCAACTTTTTTGGATTCCACATATAAATGAGATCATGTACTATTTGTGTTTCTGTGCCTGGCTTAGTTCACTTAGTATAATGTGCTCCAGGTTTATCCATGTTGTTGTATCTGATGAAAGAAATTAAAGAAGACACAAATAAATGGAGAGATATGCCATGCTATGAACTGGAAGAATTAATATTGTTAAAATATCCAGGAAGGCAGAGCAAGATGACTGAATAGAAGCCTCCAGTGATTGTCCTCCCCACAGGAACAACAAATTTAACTGTCTACATGGCCGGGCATGGCGGCTCACACCTGTAATCCCAGCACTTTCGGAGGCCAAGGCAGGCAGATCACTTGAGGTCAGGAATTCGAGACCAGCCTGGCCAACATGGTGAAACCCCATCTCTACTAAAAATACAAAAATTAGCCAGGCATGGTGGCAGGCACCTGTAATCCCAGCTATTGGGGAGGCTGAGGCAGGAGAATCACTTGAACCCAGGAGGCGGAGGATGCAGTGAGCCGTTGCACCACTGCACTCCAGCCTGGGTGACAGAGTGAGACTCTTGTCTCAAAAACAAACAAACAAACAAACAAAGAACAAAAACAAAAAAAACTACCTACACAAAAAAGCACCTTCATAAGAACAAAAATCAGTTGTGTAGTCACAGCACCTGATTATAGCTTCATGTTACTGAAAGAGGCACTGAAGAGGGTAGAAAGACAGTATTGAATTGCCAACTCACCACTCCCCCATCCTTTGGCAGTGGCCACGTGCCATGGAGAACCTGTGCTTGGTGGAGGAAGAGTGCAGTGATTGTAGGACTTCGCATCCGAACTCAGTGCCACCCTTCCACAGTGGAAAGCAACATCAGGCAGAACTCAGCCAATTCTCATGCAGGAAGCACTTAGACCAGCCCTAGCCAGAAGAGAATCATCTATCCCAGCAGGTTGGAATTTGAGTTCTGGCAAGCCTCACCACCACAGGCTCAAGTGCTTTGGGGTCCTAAATAAACTTGAAAGGCGGTCTGCACCACAAGGACTGCAACTCCTAGGTAAGTACTAGTGCTGTGCTGGACTCACAGTCAGTGGACTTGGAAGGCATATTACCTAGTAAGAAATCAGATGATGTGGCCGAAGGAGTGTTTGTGCCACCACTCCCCCAACCCAGAGAGTGCAGCTCACAACTGTGAAAAAGAGTCCTTCCTTCCACTTGAGGAGAGGAGATGGAAGAGTAAAGAGGACTTTGTCTTGCAATTTGGATACCAGCTCAGCCATAATAGCATAGGAAACCAGGCAGAGTCATGAGGCCCCTATTCCAGGCCCCCCAAACTCCGGGACAACATTTCTAGACACACACTTGTCAGAAGGGAAGCCACTGTCTTGAAAGGAAGGACCCAATCCTGGCAGGACTCATCACCTGCTGACTAAACAGCCCCTTGGGCCCTGAATGACCAGCAGCAGTAGCCAGGTAGTACATGCTGTGGGTCTTGGGTAAGACTCTGAGATATGCTGACTTCAGGTGTGACCCAGCACATTCCCAGCTGTAATGGCTATCAGCTGGGTGATCAGCTTCTTCTTGAGAAAAGCAGAAGAGTAAAAAAGACTTTGTCTTGCAGCTTAGGTACCAGCTTGGCCATAGTGAGGAAGAGCACCAAGCAGGCTATTGGGGTCCCCAATTCCAGCACTTCGTTCTTGGATGGCATTTATGGACCTAGCCTGAACTAGAGGGGAGCCCACTGCCCTGAGGGGTGAGTTTCAGGCCTGGTAGCATTCACCACTAGCTGACTGAAGAGGCTTTGGGCCTTGACTGAACATTGGTGGTAGCCTGGCAGTACTTCCTGTGGGCCTGTGGCAGTGCTATCCGTAGGGAGAGACTCCTCTGCCTGCGGGAAGGAGAGGAAAAAATAGGAAGGACTTTGTCTTATGGTCTGGGTCCAAGCTCAGCCATAATAGAAAACAGTGCCAGGTAGATTCCTAAAGTTTCCAACTCTAAACCCTGGCTCCTGATGGTATCTCTGGAGCCACCCAGGCCTAGGGAACTCACTACCATGAAGGAAAAAAAACAAGCCTGGATGGCTTCACCACCTGTTGATTGTAGAGCCCTAGGGCCTTCAGCAAATGTAGGAGGTAGCCATGTAGTGATTACAGTGGGCCTTGGACAAGACCCAGTGCTGTGCTGGCTTCAGGTCTGACCTACTACATTCCCAGAGCTGGTGACCACAGTGGTGCTTGTGTTCCACCCCTTCTCCAGCTCCAGGCAGCTCAGCACAGATTTGATGCAGTCTAGATCACAAGGACTGCAACTTGGAGAGACTCCATTTTAGGGGAGAAAGTAATGGAAAAGAACAAGAATTCTCTGGTAATACAGAGAATTCTTCTGGATCTTATCCAAAACCGCAAAGGTGGTACCTCTAATGCAGATATGGTTGCAGTAACCAAAAATTTAGATCACAACACCCAAGTCTCCTTCAATATCTGGAAAGCCTTCCCAAAAAGGACAGGTTCAAACAAGCCCACACTGTGAAGACTACAATAAATACCCAGTTCTTCAATGCCCAGACACAGATAAACAGCCACAAGCATCAAGACCAACCAGGAAAACATGACCTCACCAAACAAACTAAATAAGGTAACAGGGCCAATCCTAGAAAGACAAAGATATGTAACCTTTCAGGCAGAGAATTCAAAATAGCTGTTTTGAGGAAACTCAACAAAATTTAAGATAACACAGAGAAGGAATCCAGAATCCTATCGGAAAAATTTAACTAAGAGATTGAAATAATTAGAAAGAGACAGGCATAAATTCTGGAGTTGAAAAATGCAATTGACATGCTGAAGAATGCATCAAAGTCTCTCAGCAGCAGAATTAATCAAGCAGATTAGTGATCTTGAAGCCAGACTATCTGAAAATATACAGTGAGAGGAAACAAAAGAAAAGAGAATAAAAAAGAATAAGGCACAACTTCAAGATCTAGAAAATAACCTCAAAAGTGCAAATCAAGGAGTTATTGGTCTTAAAGAGGAGGTAGAAAGACAGAGATGGGGTAGAAAGTTTATTCAAAGGGATAATACCTGGCTGGGTGTGGTGGCTCACGCCTATAATCCCAACACTTTGGGAGGCTGAGGAGGGTGGATCACCTGAGGTCAGGAGTTTGAGACTGGCTGGACCAACATGGCAAAACCATGTCTGTACTAAAAAATACAAAAATTAGCTGGGTATGGTGGCACACCTGTAGTTTCAGCTATTCAGGAGGCTGAGCCAGGAGAATCGCTTGAACCCAGGAGGCAGAGGTTGCAGTGAGCCGAGATCACACCACTGCACGTGAGCCTGGGTGACAGAGCATGACACCGTCTCAAAAAATCCAAAACAAAAAAAAGGGATAATACCAGAGAACTTTCCAAACCTAGAGAAAGCTATCAATATTCAAGTACAAGGTTATAGAACAGCAAGCAGATTTAACCCAAAGAAGACTCTCAAGGCATTTAATAATCAAACTCCCAAAGGTCAAGGATAAAGAAAAGATCCTAAAAGCAGCAAGAGAAAATAAATGACATACAATGGAGTTCCAATATGTCTGGCAGCAGACATTTTAGTGGAAACCTCACAGGCCAGGAGAGAGTGGCAGGACATGTTTAAAATGTTGAAGAAAAAAAACATTTACCCTAGAATAATATATCTGGCAAAAAATATCCTTCAAACACGAAGGAGAAATAAAGACTCTCCCAGACAAACAAGCTGAGGGATTTCATCAACATCATACTTGTCCCTTAAGAAATGCTGAGGTGGCCAGGTGCAGTGGCTCATGCCTATAATCCCAGCACTTTGGGAGACCGAGGTGGGAGGACTGCCTGAGTTCAGGAGTTCACAACCAGCCTGGGCAACATGGTGAAACCCCATCTCTACTAAAATACAAAAAACTAGCTGGGTGTGGCAGGGTGCACCTGTAGTCCCATCTATTTGGGAGGCTGAGGCAGGAGACTTGCTTGAACCCAGGAGGTGGAGGTTGCAGTGAGCTGAGATCATGCCACTGCACTCCAGCCTGGACAAAAGAGTGAGACTCCATCTCAAAAAAAAAAAAAAAAAAAAAAAAAGAAATGCTGAGGGGAGTACTTCAATCAGAAAGAAAAGGATATTAACGAACAATAAGAAATTAAAGGTACAAAACTCACTGCTAATAGTAAGTTCACACAAAAAAGGCAGTATTATAACACTGTAATTGTGTGTAAATTACTCATATCTTAAGTAGAAAGGCTAAAAGATGAACTGATCAAAAATAATTACTACAAAAACTTTTCAAGACATTGACAGTACAATAAGATATAGATAGAAACAACAAAAAATTAAAAAGCTAGGGGACAAAGTTAAAGTCTAGAATTTTTATTAGTTTTCTCTTTGCTTGTTAGTTTTTTATTTGTTTATGCAATCAGTGTTGTAATCAGTTTATAATAATGGGTTATAAGATATTATTTGCAAGTCTCATGATAACCTCAAATCAAAAAGCATACAATGGACACTCAAAAAATAAAAAGCAAGAAATTCAAACATACCACCAGAGAAAATCATCTTCACTAAAAGAAAGACAGGAAGGAAGGAAAGAAGGAAGAGAAGACCATAAAACAACCAAAAAATAACAAAATGACAGGAGTGAGTCCTTACTTAATATCAAGTGAATGTTAGCAGACTAAACTTTCCAATCAAAAGACATAGAGTGGGCCAGACACAGTGGCTCACACCTGTAATCTCAGCATTTTGGGAGGCCAAGGCAGGAGGATTACCTGAACCCAGGAGTTCAAGATCAGCCCAGGCAACATGGTGAGACCTTGTCTCCACAAAAATTTAAAAAATTAGCCAAGTGTGGTGGTGCATGCCTGTGATCCCAGCTACTTGACAGGGTGAGTGAGATGGTAGGATCACTTGAGCCCAGGAGGTTGAGACTGCAGTGTGCTGTGTTCATACCACTGCACTAAAGCCTGGGTGACAGAAAAAGACTGTCTTAAAAAAAAAAAAAAAAAAAACAGTGGCTGAGTAGATAAAAAAAAAAGACCCAATGATCTGTTGCCTACAAGAAACACTTCATCTTTAAAGACACATATAGACTGAAAACACAGGAATGGAAAAAGATATTCCATTCAAATGGAAACCAAAAAAGAGCAGAAGTAGACAAAATAGATTTCAAGACAAAAACTATAAAAAGAGACAAAGAAAGTCATTATATAATGATAAAGGGGTCAATTCAACAAGAGGACATAACAATTGTAAATATATATGCCCCTAACACTGGAGTACCCAGATACATAAAGCAAATATTATTAGTGCTAAAGAGAGAAATAGACCCCAATATAATAATAGTTGGAGAATTCAACACCCTCACTTTCAGCACTGGACAGATCATCCAGACAGAAAATCAACACAGAATCATCAGACTTGATCTGCACTATAGACAAAATGGATCTAATAGATGTTTACAGAACGTATCACCCAACAGCTGAAAAATACACATTCTTCTTCTTAGCACATGGGTCATTCTCAAGGAAAGACCATATGTTAGGCCACAAAGCAAGTATTAAAACATTCAAAAAATTGAAATAATATCAAGCATCTTCTCTGATCACAGTGAAATAAAACTAGAAATCAATAAGAAGAGGAATTTTGGAAACCATACAAATATGGAAACTAAACAATACGCTCCTGACTGACCATACACAGGTCAATGAAGAGATTAACAAGGAAATTTAGAGATTTCTTGAAACAAACAATAATGGAAACACAACATACCAAAACCTATAGGATAACAATGAAAGCAGTACTAAGAAAAAAGTTTATAGCTATAAGTGCTTACATCAAAAAAGAAGAAAAACTTCAAATAAACACCCTAATGATGCATCTTAAAGAACTAGAAAAGCAAGAGTAAACCAAACCCAAAGTTTTTAGATGAAAAGAAACAATGAAGATCAGAGCAGAAATAAATGAAATTGAAATGAAGAAAACAATTATAAAAATCAATGAAGAGTTTAAAAAAAAAAAATTGACAAATCCTTAGCCAAACTAAGTAAGAAAAAAAGAGAGAAGACCTGAGTAAATAAAATCAGAGATGAAAAAGGAGACATTACAACCAATACCACAGAAATTCAAAGGAGCCTTATAGGTTACTATGAGCAACTATATGCCAATAAACTGGAAAACCTAGAAGAAATGAATAAATTCTTAAGACACATACAACCCACCAATATTGAACCATGAAGAAATCCAAAACCTGAACAGACCAATAAGTAATGAGATTGAAGCTGTAATATAAGGTCTTCCTGAAAAGAAAAGCCCAGGACCTGATGGCTTCACTTCTGACTCTACCAAACATCTAAAAAAGAACTAATACATATCCTACTCAAGCTATTCCAAAAAATAGAGGCAGAGGAAATACTTCTAAACTCATTCTACAAGTCCAGTATTACCCTGATACCAAAACCAGACAAAGACACATCAGAAAAGAAAACTACATGTCAATAATTCTGATAAACATTGATGCAAAAATCATCAACAAAATACTAGCAAACCCCAATAACACATTAAAAAAATCATTCATCATAACCAAGTGGGATTTATCCTAGGGATGTAAGGATGGTTCAACATACACAAATGAATCAATGTAATGTATCCTATATCAACAGAATGAAGGACAAAAACCATATGATAATTTCAAGAGATGCTGAAAAAGCATTTAATAAAATTCAACATTCTTCATGATAAAAACCAGAAAAAAATCTGGGGATAGAAGGAATATACCTCAACTAATAAAAGCCATATATGACAGAACCACAGCTAGAATCACACTGAATGGGAGGAAACTGAAAGCCTTTCCTGTAAGATCTGGAACACAACAAAGATGCCCACTTTCACCACTGGTATTCAACACAGTACTGGAAGTCCTAGTTAAAGCAATCAGACAAGAAAAAGAAATAAAGGGCATCCAAATTGGAAAGGAAGAAGTTAAATTATCTTTGTTTTCTGATGATGTAATCTTATATTTGAAAAAAAAAAAAAAACCTAGCTGGGTGCGGTGGCTCATGCCTGTAATTCCAGCACTTTGGGAGACCGAGGTGTGCGGATCACCTGAGGTCAGGAGTTCGAGATCAGCCTGATCAACATGGAGAAACCCTGTCCCTACTAAAAATACAAAAATTAGCCGGGCCTGGTGGCAGGTGCCTGTAATCCCAGGTACTCGGGAGGCTGAGGCAGGAGAATTGCTTGAACCCAGGAGGCGGAGTTTGCAGTGAGCTGAGATCGCGCCATTGCACTCCAGCCTGGGGGACAAGAGTGAGACTCTGTCTCAAAAAAAAAAAAAAAGTAAAAGAAAAAAATCTAGAGACTCCACCAAAAAACTATTAGAGGCCAAGCATGGTGGCTAACACCTGTAATCCCAACACTTTGGGAGGTCAAGGCGGGCTGATCACTTGAGGTCAGGAGTTCAAGACCAGACTGGCCAACATGGCAAAACTCCGTCTCTACTGATAATACAAAAAAGTTAGCTGGGCATGGTGGTGCACACCTGTTGGCCCAGCGACTCGGGAGGCTGAGGCAGGAGAATCACTTGAACCTGGGAGGCAGAGGTTGTAGTGAGCTGAGATTGCACCACTGCACTCCAGCCTGGGTGACAGAGTGAGACTCATCTCAAAAAAAAAAAAAAAAAACTATTAGAACTGATAAACTCAGTGAAGTTGAAAGATACAAAATCAACATATAAAAATCAGTGCATTTCTATATGCCAACAACAAACAATCTGAAAAAGAAATTTAAAAAAGTAATCCTGCTTATAATAGCCACAAATTAAATACCTAGAATTAACCAAAGCACTGAAACAGCTCTAGAATTAACCAAAGCACTGAAACAGCTCTACAATTAAAACTATAAAACACGGATGAAAGAAACTGAAGAGGACACACAAAAAATGGAAACATATGCCATATTCATGGATTGGAAGAATCAGTATTGTTAAAATGTCTATACTACCCAAAGCAATCTACAGATTTAATGCAATCCCTATCAAAATACCATGAAATTCTTCACAGAAATAGAAGAATCAACTCCCAAATTTATATGGAACCACAAAAGACCCAGAATAGCCAAAAACCATCCTAAGCAAAAAGAACAAAACTGGAGGAATCACATTATCTAACTTCAAATTCTACTACAGAGCTATAGTAACCAAAACAGCACGGTAATGGAATAAAAACAGATGCACAGTCCAATGGAACAGAATAGAGAACCCAGAAACAAATGCACATACCTAAAGTGAACTCACTTTTGACAAAGGTGACAAGAACATATACTGGGGAAAAGACAGTCTCTTCAGTAAATGGTGCTGGGAAAACTGGATATCCATATGCAGAAAAATGAAACTAGGCCCCTATCTCTTGTCATAGAAAAAACCAAATCAAAATGGATTAAATATTTAAATCTAAGACCTCAAACTATGAAACCATACAAGAAAACATTGGGGAAATTCTCCAGGACATTGGTCTCGGCAAAAATTTCTTGCATAATACCCCATAAGCACAGGCAATTGAAGAAAAAAATGGACAAATGGGATCACATCAAGGTAAAAAGCTTCTGCACAGAAAGGATACAATCAACGAAGTGAAGAGACAACCCACAGAATGGGAGAAAATATTTGCAAACTACCCACCTAACAAGGAGTTCATAACCAGAATACATAAGGAGCTCAAACAACTCCATAGGAAAAAAATCTAATAATCTGATTAAAAATGGGCAAAAGATGGCCAGGTGAGGTGGTTCACACCTGTAATCCCAACACTTTGGGAGGCCAAGGCAGGTGGATCACCTAAGGTCAGGAGTTAGAGACCAGCCTGACCAACATGATGAAACCCCATCTCTTCTAAAAATACAAAATTAGCTGGGCATGGTGGTGCATGCTTGTAATCCCAGCTACTAGGGAGTTTAAGGTAGGAGAATCACTTGGACCTGGGAGGCGGAGGTTGTGGTGAGCCGAGATCACGCCATTGCATTCCAGCCTGGGCAACAAGAGGGAAACTCTGTCAAAAAAAGAAAAGGCAAAAGATTTGAATAGACATTTCTCAAAAGAAGACATACAAATGGCAACCAGGCATATGAAAATGTGCTCCACATCATTGATCATTAGAGACATACAAATCAAAACTACAATGAGATATCATCTCAGCCCACTTAAAACAGTAGCTTTTATCCAAGAGTCAGGCAATAAGAAATGCTGGCAAGAATGTGGAGAAAAGGGAACCCTTGTACACTGTTGGTGGGAATGTAAATTAGTACAACCACTACGGAAAACACTTTGGAGGTTCCTCAAAAAATGAAAACTTGGGTTACCATATGATCCAGCAATCCTATGATTATACCATATGATCAACAATCCTATGATTAATGCAGTGCTATTCACAATAGCCAAGATTTGGAAGCAACCTAAGTGTCCATCAACAGACAAATGGAAAGAAAATGTGGTACGTATAGGCAATGGAGTACTATTCAGTCATAAAAAAGAATGAGATCCTATCATTTACAACAACATGGATGGAACCGGAGGTCATTATGTTAGGTGAAATAAGCCAGGCACTGAAGGACAAACTTCACATGTTCTCACTTGTTGGTGGAGTTAAAAATAAAAACAATTGAACTCATGAACACAGTAGAAGGATGGTTACCAGAGGCTATGAAGGGTAGTAGGGGAGTTGGGTGGGGGAGTTGGGCTGTTTAATGGGTTAAAAAAAATAGTTAAATTGTTAAAATGGCCATACTGCCCAAAGCAGGGAAATCTACAAAGCAGGGAACTACAAAATCACAATGAGATACCATCTTACACCAATCAGAATGGCTATTAATAAAAAGTCAAAAGGCAACAGATGTTGGAGAGGATGTGGAGAAAAGGGAACGCTTTTACATTTTTGGTGGGAATGTAAATTAGTACAATCTCTATGGAATACAGTATGGAAATTTCTCAAAGAGCTAAAAATAGAACTACCATTCAATCCAGCAATCCCGCTACTGGGTATCTACCCAAAGGAAAATAAACTATTATATGAAAAAGACACCTGCATTCATTATGTTTATCACAGCACTATTCACAATAGCAAAGTCAGAGAATCAACCTAAGTGTCCATCAAGGGATGATTGGATAAAGAAAATACACACACACACACACACACACGCACACACACACACACACCACAGAATACTACTCAGCCATAAAATAAAACTGAACGCCATTATCCTAAGTAAAATAAATTAGGGCGAGAGAACTAGGAAGTAGCAGGAAGAGAGGGATACTGAGGGGCATGAGGGAACTTTTGAGTGATAATCTCATGGGTGTATGCATATGTCAAAACTTACCAAATTGGGCTGGGCACGATGGTTCACACCTGTAATTCCAGTACTTTGGGAGGCCAAAGCAGGTGGATTGCCTGAGGTTAGGAGTTTGAAACCAGTCTGGCCAACATGGGAAACCCTGTCTCAACTAAAAATACAAAAAATTTAGATGGGTGTGGTGGCACACACCTGTAATCCCAGCTACTCGGGAGGCTGAAACGGGAGAATCGTTTGAACCTGGGAGGCAGAGGTGGCAGTGAGCCAAGACTGTGCACTGCACTCCAGCCTGGACAACAAGAATGAAACTCTGTCTCAAAAAAAAAAAAACTTACCAAATTGTGTACTTTAATATGTACAATTTGTTGTATTATGTCAATTTACCACAAGGAAGCTGTGTTTTAAAAGGATGTGGAGCAAATTTGACAAAGTATTAACATTTATTAAATCTTGATAGTGAGTACATGGGTGTTAATGTTTCTCCATACTTTTCTGTATACTTAAAATCGTTCATAATGTAATTTAGAAAATCTAATCAAATCCCTAATGTTACTGCTAAGCAAACTGAGTAAATGGTAGAGATAGGGCTGGGGCCTAGATCTTTAGTCTCCCAGTTTAATGCTTTTTCTATTTTATGAGAGAAAAAGTAGTAAATTTTCATACATATATAAGGTTCAGAGAGAAATGCTTACCCTTAAATGTATTCATTGTACCAATGTTTCGAAGAATTCTTCTAGGACTGTTTGCTGCATAACAAGCTGCCTTTTCATATTCACCAAGTGAGATTAACTCATTAAACCTATAGCCATCACATTTTAAAATGCATTATAATGACACAAAGAAAAAGAGAAAAAACTGATTAGAAATGTTTAATACAGACTAAATATAGCGGCATAACGATATGGAAAAACAAAAAGGAATTCTAATAAACTATAACTAGAATCATTCACACTGTAAGATGTTCCTTGAAATCCTTCTCTAGTACTCTGTTGGGTTTTTTTTAAGTCTCAGAATAAAACTCCCACCTGCTAGCTGACTTTGAACATGATCCTAAACTTTATTCCTATAGCACTTACAGCAAGCCATAGAGGATGGAAGAAAGAACTTGAATTTATTATGAACTCAGATTTTTTTCCCTGCATATCATCTCCACATGAAAAAGTACTGGCATCAGAGGAAAGAAGGGCAATCTGCTTAGAAACATCGCCTAAAGGAAATATTAATTGAAGATAGAACCTACCAAATTGGGCCGGGCATGGTGGTTCATGCCTGTAATCCCAGCACTTTGGGAGACCGAGGATGGGGGATCACGAGGTCAGGAGATCGAGACCATCCTGGCTAAGATGGTGAAACCCTGTCTCTACTAAAAATACAAAAAAAAAAAAAAATTAGCCAGGCGTGGTGGCATGTGCCTGTAGTCCCAGCTGCTCAGGAGGCTGAAGCAGGAGAATCACTTGAACCCGGGAGGCAGAGGTTGCAGTGAGCCAAGATTGTGCCACTGCACTCCAGCCTGGGCGACAGAGTGAGACTCCGTCTGAAAAAAAAAAAAATGAAGCTGCCAAACTGGAGATCAAGAGGTGTCCTTGGTATTCAGAAGCCTATGTTGTTCTGCCAGGCAACAGGTTCCCAATCGAAGATTAGCACAAGAAGGAAAGATAATAGTTAAGATAACTTAAGCCTCTACTCCTCTTCCTATGGCAAAAGGTCTTCAAATCAGTCCTTACCTCACAATTAATAAAACTATGATAAACAGAAGTTACACAGTGTTGCAAATGAATGTGGAGCCCCAGGCGGAAAACCCACTAAAGTAATATTAAGCAAAATACATAAAACTTTCAATCTCAACAAGGGTTTTTCTCTCATATCAAACTGTCAGACTTACAGAAGCATTACAGTGTAAGGAAATAACATGAGCTTTTGTGCTCTGCCCAAAATTATATTTACCCCCTTCTTTTTACCATACCAACAATCCAATTAACAGTTGAAAACTGTTTAACATATAAAGACCAGGAATATTACATATGTTCATTACAGATAAGCGTCATAGCCTATGAATTAACCTCTTAAAGAATATAGTCTTACTATGTATTAAAAATGTTTAAAAATGCTCCTGCATGTTAAACACCAGGGGAGCAACTGTGAGGGGAAAAAAGGAGGGAAAAGGAATTGAAGATAGCAGGAATGATACACAGTAGGATGTCAACTGTAACAAACTTCTACAAAAAGAGCTGAAGTAAATACGGCAAAATGTTAATTTCTTGCTAAGTTGGTACACAGAATAACATTTTGTTAATGTTATTGTCTGTATTTTTATGTATACTTGAAATATTTGATGAAAGTAATGTTTGATAAAAAGTAAACAAAGTAAAAAAGAATATAGTCTTAAATCTCTTTAATCTTATATACTATGTATAATAACTTAAGTATTAGGGAGAAATATGCCTCCTTAATAAGTCAGGGGATAGAAGTAATGAGAAAGAAAGGACTGAATTGGCTAGAATAATCTGAATCAGGAAGACATTCTCAAAAACATTTTGTAACATCAGGTTGATAGCTAGGAAATGTAAGAAAAATACAGGCTGGGTTTCCCTTATCCTAAATGCGTGGGACCAGAAGTGTTTTGGATTTCAGATTTTTTCATATTTTGGAATATATGCATGTACATAATGAGATATCTTGGGGATGGGATCCAAGTCTAAACACAAAATTTATATTTCATATATACCATATACACATAGCCTGAAGGCAATTTTATATAATATTTCTAATAATTTTGTGCATGAAACAAAATTTGTGTACATATTGATCTATCACAAAACAGAGGTATCACTATCTCATGTCAGTGCTCAAAATTTTTCGGATTTTGGAGCATTTCAGATTTCAAATTTTTGGATTAGGAATGCTTAACCTGTATAAATAAAACATATCAACATTATAATCCTCTTATCTCCTCTGAAAAATCTCCTAGATTCCCAATCTGGTATGTTATTCACAAAGAATCTATGAAAAAATATAATTCTGAAAAATTAAAGCTTTTAAAATATTTGCCTTTCAATGTAGTGAAGCATAATTTCAGCTTCTTTTGCCCTGCGTGGATCATCTTCCATTAGTTCTTCAACAATGCCTTGGTCACCTGTAAATATTGAAAGTACTACTGGAAGATATTTAAGGTTACTTACCAATAGAAAACAATAAACATACATGTGTTTAATACCAACAGCTTATTGCTATGGCTCCTAACAGCAGCAACCTCTTCCTAAACTTAGTGGCCTCCCCGTCCCTTTCCTCTTTTTTTTTTTTTTTTTTTTTTTGAGACGGAGTCTGGCTCTGTCACCCAGGCTGGAGTGCAGTGGCCCTATCTTGGCTCACTGCAAGCTCCGCCTCCCGGGTTCACACCATTCTCCTGCCTCAGCCTCCCGAGTAGCTGGGACTACAGGTGCCTGCAACCACACCCGGCTAATTTTTTGTATTTTTTTTAGTAGAGACGGGGTTTCACTGTGTTACCCAGGATGGTCTCGATCTTCTGACCTCGTGATCTGCCCGTCTCAGCCTCCCAAAGTGCTGGGATTACAGGCATGAGCCACCGTGCCCGGCCTCCTCTTTATTTTGATGTACATTTTCAGGCATTCTGTCTTTGGCTCACCAAGTCTATTCTTTACTAATTATCTGTTAGCTGTTGAAGGAAGAAACCCATAGCGTAACAGACAACCAGCTGAAGTATGATCTTGCTTTATTTAAACTCAGCCTAAGAAAACCCCATTCTAACTAGCTAGCGAAAAAAATGTCTTCCATTATTGGTACTAATTTAAAAATATAGATAATCTACCTTGTAAATATTTGGTTTTCTGAATTTGCTCCACAAAGTCTTGAAATGGGCTGCTCATATCAGATTTTACCCATGAACTAAGTGCCTGTGAAATTATCTGCAGTCTTTGATGACTAAAAAGATAAAAAACGTCAATAACACACTGAGCCTAAAATCAAATGGTGGAATATTAGAATAAACACAAATAAAACTCCAAACTTTAAAAACATATAATCAACTTCCATACCAAAACTGCAATTTTTTGTTCAGATTTTCAGCTACATCTCGCCGTTTTAATAACACAATCATTTCTTCATCTAAATCAGCCTTCCTCTGAGCTGGCACATATTTTATCAACATAGCTTGTTTAATTTCTGCATATTTATCTTCAAGATGTTTCATGTATTTAGTGAGAGCATCTAGATTCATGGATTCTTGAAGAGTCATGCCTATGGGGAAAGGGAACAAATCAAACACGACAAGCCATGTGTGGGACGCTTGTGCTCAAAGAGCAAGTCTTAGAAAGACAGTTCACTATGTTAAGAAACAATTTAGAAATGATAGTATGTACTTATAGCTTACTGAACATAAGTAAAATTAGCATAAACTTGTGAATGGCTAGCAGGTTATTTATTTATTTATTTATTCATTTATTTAATACAGACAGGGTCTTGTTATGTTGCCCAGGCTAGTCTTAAAACTCCTGGGCTCAAGCAATCTGCCCACTTCAGCCTCCCAAAGTGCTGGGATTACAGGCGTGAGCCACTGTGCCAGGCCAGGCTAGCAGTTTTATTTTATTTTATTTTATTTTATTTTTATTTTTATTTTTTTTGAGATGGAGTCGCACTCTGTCGCCCAGGCTGGAGTGCAGTGGTGCAATCTCAGCTCACTGCAACCTCTGCCTCCCAGGTTCAAGCAATTCTCCTGCCTCAACTTCTGAGTAGCTGGGACTATAGGCGCCTGCCACCATGCCCGGCTAATTTTTGTATTTTTAGTAGAGATGGGGTTTCACCATGTTGGCCAGGCTGGTCTTGAACTCCTGACCTCAAGTGATTCGCTCGCCTCGGCCTCTCAAAGTGCTGGGATTACAGGTGTGAGCCACCACACCCAGCCTCAGGCTAGCAGTTTTAAACATTATCAATGAAGACTCGGTGAAGACTGAGAACACATAAACCTTAGCATCTGAAAAAAAATTTTTTAGTGATTTCATTAACACACCCTGAAGACCCGTAAATATCACTGTTACTCAGTAACGCCACGAGCTTCTGCCTAACAATTCAGGATTTGTCAACAGATTTCTCTCTAAACAAATCTCTCATTACCCTATTATAGCTAACCCCAGAGTAATCAGTTTATTATTCTCAACACAAAATATAAATGCCTGCCAAATCTTCAGTCCTCTCTCTCACTCTCCCGTCTACTTATTATTCATAACTCTCTCTCTTTCTCTTCAAATGCCTTTAAAAAATATGTAGATATATATATAGAGAGAGAGAGAGAGGCTCTCACAGGGTCTGCCCAGGCTGGTCTCAAACTCCTGGACTCAAGAGATCCTCTCACTTCAGCATTCCAAAGTGCTAGTATTACAGGCATGAGCCACTGTGCCCAGCCCTAAATAATCCTCCTTTCTCATCTGGGCCAATTGTTGACTTTAGTACATATCACAAAATACTCCTCCCCCAGAAACTTACCTGCATTGATTCTACTTAATTTTAACCAGTCCCTTACCCAGAATTTTCTCAGCACTTAGTCCCAATTTGTCAGTTATACTGTACTTATTAATATGTATCTTATTCGTCATTTGCTAGTCACAATTTTATATTTGAAAGTGAATCTAGGCCAGGTGCAGTGGCTCACGCCTGTAATCCCAGCACTTTGGGAGGCCGAGATGGGCAGATCACAAGGTCAGGAGATCAAGACCATCATGGCTAACACGGTGAAACCCCGTCTCTCCTAAAAATACAAAAAAATTAGCCGGGCGTGGTGGCAGGCGCCTGTAGTCCCAGCTACTCAGGAGGCTGAGGCAAGAGAATGGTGTGAACCCAGGAGGCGGAGCTTGCAGTGAGCCAAGATCAGGCCACTGCACTACAGCCTGGGTGACAGAGCGAGACTATGTCTCCAAAAAAAAAAAAAAAAAAAAGAAAGTGAATCTAGTCCCTACTTTTATGAAACACAAGATGATTATTCAACCTCATTTGAAATCCTTTAGTATAGAGTAGCTCATTACTTCAACACACAGCTTCTTCCACCAAGACCAAATCTGGCTTCCTAAAATTTCTACCTATTAATCCTGCCTCAGAATAAACACTAGCCAAAATCTTTAAAAGTTTGGAATACCATTATCTTTTCTCAAAGTCTTTCTTTTTTCCAGGATGAATATCTGTAATTCCTCTATCCACTCATCGTAAAAACCTCTCCATATCCTAGATGAATTCCAGGATATACTACAATTTCTTAAAATGTGGTAACAGTATTATGCTGAAGATGTGGAAGCAGTGAATGCTGACATCAACATGAATCAACAATATCCACCAAAACTTAATACACTACAGTTTTCCTTATATTATACCAGTCGTTCTCAAACTTTAGAGTGCATCAAAAAAACCTGAAGCGGCTGGGCACAGTGGCTCATGCCTTTAATCCCAGCACTCTGGGAGGCTGAGGCGGGTGGATCGCTTGAGCCCAGGAGTTTGAGACCAGCGTGGACAACATGATGAAACCTCATCTCCACTAAAAACACAAAAATTATCTGGGCACAGTGGCACGCGCCTGTAATCCCAGCTACTTGGGAGGCCAAGGCACGAGAATCGCTTAAACCCTGGAGAGGGAGGTTGCTGTGGGCCGAGATCACACCACTGCACACCCAGCCTGGGTGACGGAGAGAGACTAGGTCTCAAAAAAGAAAAGAAAAGAAAAACCTGAAGGTCTTGTTAAGACACTGCTGAACTCCACCCACTGAGTTTCTGACACAGTTAAGTCTCTGATCTGATGGGAATCAGGAATTTGCATTTCTAAGAGGTCTTTAGGTGATGCTGATGTTGATACAGGAAACCATACTTCAGGAGCCACTGCATTACACTTTATATAACCCAGCTGACTGAAACTCAATCTTTTAGAGTTCGTTTTTCCATTCCCTTGAATCTACCTACAGTCCTGACTAAAATTATGTGTACAACACACACACATGTGCAAGATGCACATACATCAGCACATTTATATTAATGCATGCCTTAGGTAAAAATTGGAAATAATCAGGATTTCTCTCAAATATTTTAAACAAAATACAATACCTGGAATAGGTTTTGAAGGATCTTTGGAGAAAGTACAATATTTTACTTCTTTTGTGTCATACTCTGCCCTACACTGCTTGATGTGATCTATTTGAGATTGAATCTTCGAGGAATTACTTTCGATAATCCTCATTCTGGAAAACAGAAAGGCTTTCTTATGTCTTTCAACTAACTTAATTCTTGAACCACAAAACCTAAAGTCAAACAGGTTAAATCATTACTTTATTTTGAACCATTATGGACTAGGTGAAATGCCCTGAAAAAGTTATCTAGCCTCACAAATGAGGAAGAATTTTCTTTCTGAGCATCAATAAAATCTCATACTATGATTCTGAACCCTATTGGAAATTCGTTAAGTGCTAATCACAATAATATGGCCACAAACTATTCTCTTTAGTAGAAAATTACTTTTGTAATTTAAAAAATATTTTGGTAAGTAATTATATTAGTTTCCTGTGGCAACTGTAATAAATTACCACTAACCTGGTGACTACAAACAACAGAAATTTATTCTCTTACAATTCTGGAAGCCAGAAATTCAAAATCAGTATCACCGGACCAAAATCAAAGTGTTGGCAGAGCCGTGCTTCCTTCAGAATCTGTTCCTTGCCTTTTCCAGCCTTGGGGCTGCAGGCATTCTGACTTCATCACTTCAGTCTCTGCCTCTATGGTCATACTGCCTTCTCCTCTGCCTATGGCAAAGCTCCTGTTTCCCTCTTATTAGGACATTTATGATCATATTTAGGGCTTACTTTTATAACCTCCCTATCTCAAAATCTTTAATCACATCTGCAAAGACCCTTTTTCCAAATACGGTTAACATTTAGGGGTTCTAGAGACTAGGACCTGATGTCTTTGAAAAACTTTATTGAGCCTACTACAGTAATTTTGATCCTAGAGCTAGAGGAAGGACAGCACTTCCCTGAGATAAAACTAAGTTTATCCAGAAATGAAAATTTTAAAGACCAAAAGGTAGTATAAACTTCTCTTAAGCATTATTTGAAGTTTTCTTCCTAGTTATGTTGGCCCAAGGGAGAAATAACATATTAAAATACACACAGAAAAATTATTTTTGACACTTGTTAAAGCATAGTAAGGAAGACTTTTTTCAAGAGGGGCCATGCCAATAGCTATAGGAACCACTACAATGGAGAATGATTGGACTCAATCTGAATATGACATGGGCAAGTGGGAAGTGGTAGCTAAGGAGCAGGGTGGGGTCAGTGGATGACAAATTACTAAAAGAAAACATCAGATGTGAGGAGAGATTCTGGATAAATTGACCTAAGAGGATTCTAGTTGAAGGCAGGTCACAGTAACTAGGCATCACCTGGAGGATGGTTGGGGGATCACATGTCATGGATGGGGGGTTCTGGCTAAACTTGCTTCACAGGATTCTTGCTAAAACTGAATGGTGCAGAGATGAATGTGGAAGTCCAAAAGTCAGGCCTAGTTGAAAAGGGTTCAGGAGAGCCTGAGTAAAATTTGATCAGGAAGAGAATTTTTGTCAATACATAAATGTCACAGGGTTTTTGGCAAATTAAAAACAAGTTTGGGCTGGGCGCGGTGGCTCATGCCTGTAATCCCAGCACTGTGGGAGGCCAAGGAGGGCAGATCACGAGGTCAGGAGTTTGAGACCAGCCTGACCAACATGGTGAAACCCCATCTCTACTAAGAATACAAAAATTAGCTGGGTGTGGTGGTGGGCACCTGTAATCCCAGCCACTCGGAAGGCTGAGGCAGGAGAATAATTTGAGCCCGGGAGGCAGAGGTTGCGGTGAGCCAAGATCATGCCATTGCACTCCAGCCTGGAAGACAGGGCAAGATTCCGTCTCAAAAAATAAAATAAAATAAAAAACGAGTTTGTCAGTAGATAACTGCTGGCTGCTGCTTCTGATTATTATATAGTGCTCTTGGTAACTATTGATGGCTCAGAGTAAGAGCTTACAGTATTTATGAAAGGATTGTGGAAATAAAATATCCACTGGCTTTATTCTAAATAGATTTGTGCTTATAAACAAAAGATATGTCAAAAATAAGCAGGTTTTCAAAAGAAACTGAAAGCAGATACTTGTATATGAATTTTCAGAGTGGCATTATTCACATAGCCAAAAATGGAAACAATCCAAGTGTCCAAAAAACAGATGAATGGATAAACAAAATGTAGTATATACATACAATGGAGTATTATTCAGCCATAAAAAGGAATTAAGTTCTAATACATTACCACATGGACGAGAAAGTATCTAATTTTTGCTGCTTTCTATGCTAATTTTATGATCTCTATTTTTGACAACTTCACTGAGATGAATCTAGTTGAGTATTTCTTCGTATTTATGATGCTTGGGATTCTTTGGGTTTGTTGAATCTGTGAATCAGTATCTTTCACATATTTTCAGTATTACATTTGGTAAATGATAGATAAATTATTTTCATAGAGAATTTTAACTCAACTTGGAAAACTATGCAAAGTTTGACCTCCATTTCTGGCAATATGACTGGCCAGATGTTGAGATGGACCTTCCTACTGAAGAAAAGTACTACAGAATATATTTTTAAAAAATCTTTCCAAAAGCATCAGAAAGTCAAAATCAGGGCAAAATCTAACAGAATAGAGAAAACTCTCAGCTGTTATTTCTTCAAATATTGTCTTTGTCCCATATTCTCTTCATTGTAGAGCTGTGATTAGACATAACAATATGACCTTCCCACTCTGCCTTCCATCTTTTTATAATAGCTTCATTGAGATATAGTTCACATACTTCAAGAATCATCCTTGTATATATAGTTCAAGGAATTTTAGTATAGTTGTGCAACCACAACCACTATTTAATTCCAGAACATTTCGTTGGCCCCAGATAAACTGCATACCCATCAATGATCAGCTGAGTAAAGGGCAATTTTCCTTGCGGTCCCAGGGGTGGAGCAGTTTACCTCTGGTTCACCCTATGATGATAGCCTTTTAGCATCCTAGCTTTATATGGTGAGTGTTTCCCAATAGACTATACCAGGTGGAGCGATCTTGGGCTGTGCTTTTTATTCTGCATGCCGTAGTAAAAACTGAAAATTATGGTCACTAGCTTTTAAAAAAATGTTCTCGGGTCCAAAGCAGTTTTAGTGCTCCACTTATCTTTTGTCTTCTGTTAGATTTTGCCCTGATTTTGACTTTCTGATGCTTTTCGGAAGATTTTTGAAAAAATGTATTAGGTAGTATTTTTCCCCAGTAGGAAGGTCTATCTCAACATCTAGCCAGCCATATTACCAGAAATGGAGGTCAAACTTTGCATAGTTTCCAAGTTGACTTAAAATTATCTGTAAAAGGCCGGGCACGGTGGCTCATGCCTGTAATTCCAGCACTTTGGGAGGCCGAGGCGGGCGGATCACCTGAGGTCAGGAGTTCGAGACCAGCCTGGCCAACGTGGTGAAACCCCATCTCTACTAAAAAAAAAAAAAAAAAAAAAAAATTAGCCGGGCATGGTGGCAAGAGCCTGTTAATCCCAGCTACTTGGGATGTTCAGGCAGGAGAATCGGTTGAATCTGGGAGACGGAGGTTGCACTGAGCCATGAGCCAAGATCACACCATTGCACTCCGACCTGAAAAAGAGCGAAACTCCGTCTCAAAAAAAAAAAAAGAAAATTATCTATAAAAATAATTTATCCATCAGTGACCAAATGTAACACTGAAAATATAAGACTACTTAACAAGATTGAGCATCTTATCCTCTCCCAGTAGGTTACTTACCTTTGTGAATAACAGGATTAAGTGCTCTAATTCAGATAGTAATCATGAAATTGTACTATTAAATCTTCCATGGAGGAAATTACCTGGAGCAATTACCTGCATCCCTTATTTATTTTATTTTATTCCTTTTTTTTTTCTTGAGATGGCGTCTCGCTCTGTCACCCAGGCTGGAGTGCAGTGGCGCAATCATGGCTCATTTGTATCCATCTCTCAAGCTCAACCAATCCTTCCACCTCAGCCTTCCAAGCAACTGGGACCACACCCAGCTAATTTTTTTTTAAACTTTTTTGTAACGACAGGGACTCACTATATTGCCCAGGCTGATTTCAAACTCCTGGCCTCAAGCAATCCTCCTACCTTGGCCTCCCAAAGTGCTGGGATTACAGGTGTGAGCCACCCTGTGCGGACCCTCATTTTATGATACAAAATGTGCTTTCAATTATACTAAGAGGGCCAGGAGTGGTGGCTCATGCCTGTAATCCCAGCGCTTTGGGAGGCTGGGGCATGCAGATCGCTTGAGCTCACAAGTTGGAGACCAGCCTGGGTAACATGGTGAGACCCCAGTCTCTACAGAAAATACAAAAATTAGTCTGACATAGCAAAACTCCATCTCTACAAAAAAATACAAAAATTAGCCAGGCGTGGTAGCTTGTGCCTGTAGCCCCAGCTACTTGGGAGGCTGAGGTGGGAGGATCACTTGTACCTGGGAGGCAGAGGTGGCAGTGGGCCAAGATCAAGCTACTGTACTCCAGCCTGGGCAACAGAGCAAGCCCTGCTTCAAACAAACAAAAAGACTATAACTGCCCACTCTTGCCTTTTTGGCCAGCACAGTGGTTCACACCTTTAATCTTAGCACTTTGGGAGGCTGAGGCAGGAGGACTGCTTGAGCTCAGCAATTCGAGACCAGCCTGGGCAACATAGTGAGACCCCATCTCTATTTTTAATATTAAAAAAAAAAATTAGCTGGGCATGGTGGCATGCACCTGTAGTCCCAGCTATTCAGGAGGCTGAGGCAAGACAACTGCTTGAGACCAGGAGGCAGAGGTTGCAGCGAGCCAAGATTGCGCCATTGCACTCCAGCCTGGGCAACAAGAGTGAAACCCTGTCTCAAAAAAAAAAAAAAAAAAAAAAAAAAAAAATATATATATATATATATATATATATATATATACTAAGAGGTACTATAAACGTTCTCAAACAAAAGTAATATTTTTTAATTGAAGTAAGTAAACAATACAGTAACTTCAAGTTACTAGGAGAAGGTAACATAAAAATGCATCATTTAAATAAAATTGAAATTCAATAAGACTAAGAACCACCAGCTAGAGTTACACTGGCTAGTTATTATAATCAAGCAACAACTACCATCTTTTGGGCTAGTTACTAAAATACTTACTTTGCTTCAAGTTGGATTGTTCTTTTCCTGTAATATACCAAAGCTGTAGGCTCTGCTGCCAAACCTTTAAGTTTTCCATGAAGACAAAATGTAGTTCTTCGGTCTTTCTTTATTGTCTCAATAAAGGCATCATATTCTTTTTTGATTGAAGTAAGAATGGATTTGTATGCAGTGATATGCTCTATTACCTGAAATATTATTTTTCTGCCTATGGTATTGATTTTTTTTCTAGGAGGCTATGGATTGAAATTCTTGCAAATAACATTATAGATTATTTTAAAAATGAAACATGATTAGCAATTAGAAATCTAAACTCTACAGCAAGCTCAAACATAATTGGACACTAAAGGCAATATTTACTAAACATGTGCTCTTTGTGGAACATTACAGTAGATAATGTGGAGTTTAAATATGAGAGAAAAAAAGGCCATTTTTGTTCTACTTGGTATGAACACATGCATTATATGATTTCAGTTAAAACTAATGCTAGTTCTAATTTTCCCAGTTCTGAATCTTTTAAATAGAATTCTGTATCTTCTCTTACTCGCTCCAAATCTAGTCTCTAACTTCACTTAAACCTTAAAATCCTGGATTCTCTTCACCTCCTTATTTTTCTAACCCATCAGCTCCTATTGGCTCATCAATATTCTCAATATCTAATTGCATTTCTATTCCCAGTCATGTGCAACTGTAAAAAACCCCTCATCACTATACATTCATGGCTTCAAATGGTGTTTAGGCATAGAAAATCTCTGGAAGGATAACAGAAGAAAACAGAAACGGTGGGTGCCTGCAGAGAAGGACAGGAGAAGTAGAATCTGAGATGAGAAGGTCCAGACTTTCCATTGTACAATCTCCTTTACTGGTTTATTTATTCATTTATTTTTTGTTAATCTTATATATGCATTACCCATGCAAAAATAAACATTTTTAAATAAGTCAAAAAATAAAAATAGAAAAGTTATAAATAATGTATGGTTTCTAAATTCTGCACATGAGGATTTCAGAGGGATTGAAGAATACAGAGAATAGACAGGCTCAATTCCTAATTTTCTCAGAAAGCTGCAATTATGCTTTCTATTCCTGCTACATCTCTAGCCTCTGGTATCCCCCACTGGCTTTCTTTACCTAGGCAATATCTAGAAAAAATTATCTAGGAAGGCATCTGGTCTATGAGCAAATGATATAAGGAGATTATTGATCTCCTGGCAAGTGCCAGGAGAGGATATTTGAGTGGGTGATACTTGTGGTCTTTTAGACATGACCTTACTACCTATCCACCCAAATCAAGAATCCTTAATAAAATAGAGGTCATCAATCTGCGGCTTTCCAAATTAAGTACCCTGTTGCTCCTGGCCATCTACTTCATGAACTCCTCTGATATGCTCCAACAATCCAAGACAACTCAGATATATTAATGAGTAGGTAATAAATATGTAGTGGTATCATGATCAGCTCCCAAGTCTGTTTGTTAGAAAAAACAGATTTCAGAAGAGCACTCATGGGAACCTTTAAGAATGCACAGAAAATACACTAAAGTAGAAATATGCAAACTGGCATATCACAGGTTGAATTCAGCTGGCAATTTTGCTTAACCAACAAAATATTTTAAAATTTAGGGAATTTTAACCCAAAATCACATTTTCAGCTTCTCTTACAAACTCTGAAAAATCTACCTACATGGAATCCCTATTCCTTAATGGCAATAATAGCTGGAGCTTTCGATTACAATCTCCTTTACTGGTTTATTTATTCATGGTTTTATTTATTTATTTATTTATTGTGGTTTTTCATTTTACCACAATCCCCACCATTCCTTATTCTCTTATAGTCAGCCCACTTAACTCTTTTATATTACCTTGGTGGCCTCTGCAGGCATTTAAGTTTGAGACCCCAGCATTAAGGCTGCTACTAAATCCAAGAAAATAACCATAGCTATATTTACCAGGTACAGGGGTCTAAGGAAGAAGAGGAATGGTTTCCATTCCACCTCAGCTCCTCCATATGGATCTGAACTATTTGTACAATATGCTACAGGAACACAAAAGGTCAGCAACTTTACAGAGTCCAGCTACCTCCATATCCCTGCCCACCTTTTCTTTTTTGGTAGAGACAGAGTGTTGCTATGTTGCCCAGGATGGTCTCAAACTCCTGGCCTCAAGCGATGCTCCTACCAATCCTCCCAAAGTTCTAGGATTACAGACATGAGCTACTACACCTAGCCCAGTAAGTCATCCATTTCTAAAAAAGTTCATTCTTCCAAGCTTTGGTCTTCTCTGCTTACTAGGTTTTTCACTCACCCTACAGTCCACCCCCAACTCTTGGTATGAGTTTCAAGTCCTCCTTGCTTTGATTCAGGTATGATTCTCCAGGTCAAACCATCTATCTTTGATTTTAAACACAATTTGGTATTTGTTCCCTAGTTCCAAATACCCAGAGATGCAAGCTGACACTTTTATCTTCTGCCCAACTAGTTCCTTTTAAGAGGGTAGGAAGAGCAAAGAAGACAGTCATTAATAGTTCATTAACAATCAAATGTGCTAAAATAATGTGAAAATGAAGAAGGTAAATTATGTTATCAAGAAGCTAGAAGAAAAGTTTCTCAAAGTACCAAATGATTTCCATTTCTAGATCCCCTCTCAGTCCTGAAGAACAGAATTCTTTACAAGGTAAAATTTACAATTATGCAATGTGCAAATAGTACAAACAGAAATCTTTTCTCCTCACCAGGAGAAAAGAAACAGGGACCATATATGTCAATATTATTTTCTATTTAACACCATATGTTTTCTCTAGGAATTAAATTTACCAACAATACCTCCAAAATGACTTCACTATAACTATATTAATGTAAAGCAGAGAGCTCTTCATGTAAGAAAAATTCTGACAAGTGTTAACACTTGGGCATGCAAAGATAAACATGTTACAGTTATGACTTTCCTTTGCTAATTTCACACAGTAGAGTCGCAGCATGACTCTTGATATTTATAAAACCTATTCAATACCTTACCTTTATTTAAACATTCATTCAATGCATTCCTTAATAACTAAAACACCAAGAGCAATATCATTGATCCTAACAGCATATAAAATGAAGCTAACCTGCCAATGTACCACTTCTAAAGGATAGATTTTCTGTATGATATAAAAAGAAGGAAAGACCCTGTTTCTCTATTTTATACTCCTATGAATACGTATCAACTTTCCTTATTCTACTGGTAGGTATATATCACTATCTGAACCTCACTTTCTCTTAGAGTGAGGCACTAGGTTTTTATTTAGAGGAGAAATAAGAGTCATAGTGTGTAATGTTTAAAAATTAAAAGACTGAGTTTCTATTTTGCCTGTGACTGTTTTCTCAGAGACCAACAGTTTACTGAAGCCTTAAGGTAAGTACTTCCTGTGGCAAAGAGGAAAGATGCTGATTTCACTTATTTCACTGTCAAGGCATCTTCCGGGGATGGGGTGGAAAAAAAAAGCTGCATAAATAAATTAGGATTGGTGGGCAAACTGCAATTGTTTAGAAGGATAATAGGTATTTCTAAAACCGTAAAAAGCAAAATCAAATATGTTCCACAAAGTCAGAGCATTTTCTAAGCTGATCTCCCTATTTCCAATATTAATTCCAGTCTAATTCCTTGTAAACCATGACTAGATAATTCTAGATAGAACTCCAATCTACAAGGAACCTCAATTTAATGTTAGATCAAATCTAAACCAAGATTTTAATGATACCACAAACAAACTCAAAATAACAAGGAAGTATCATGTTTCTGCTTGCAGCCCAATTCCTAACAAATCAGATGATACTTTTAGATGAAAAGGTGAAAATTATTATCAGAGGGTACATACAGCCAGGTAGTTGATCAAAAACTGATAGTCTGGGCTAGGCACTGGTAGTTCATGCTTGTAATCCCAGCACTTTGGGAGGCCAAGATAGGAGGATTGCTTGAGGCCAGGAGTGCAAGACCAGCCTAGGCAACACAGAGACCTTGTCTCTACAAAAAATTTTAAAAATTAGTCAGGAGTGGTGGCACAAGTCTGTAGTCCCAGCTATACAGGAGGCTGAGGCAAGAGGATAACTTGAACCCAGGAGTTTGAGGCTGCAGTGAGATATGAGTGTGCCACTGCACTCCAGCCTGGGTGATACAGTGAGACTCTCTCTTTAAAAAATATATAAAGGAAACTTATAATCTGCTCTCAAGCTAAAATAACTGAAACACTCATTCACAGTCAGGAAATACAAATCCAGAATTGCATTTTTCCCATTCATGCCTTTCTGAGAAATTGGATGAACTTCTCAAAATCAGCAAATGGAATGTTATCATTCAAACAGTGGTGTTACTAAGGCAGGAATATTGGTTGTCAACATAGATCATTGCTATCCTCATGAAAACTTAATTGTCTTAAAAGCTTTATGATACCTTATCAAAAACATTTCGGTATATGATGTAATATTCATCAGCAGGTCCTTCCTCACTACAGCCCAGTCTTTCAGTTTCTGTAATTATGTATCTTTGCACACTTTCCAAAAATTCCTTGTCACTTCTACAAATGATAGGTGGGAGAACTGCATGTTTTCTTATTTGATGAACTGACATATTTGACAATCTGCACACTTGTTCACTGAAGAACAGCTAAATCTTGACCTGCTCTTGCAACAAAGCCAAAACTTTGATAAGCCTGAAAGAAAAAAAGAGCATCAATTAATATAATAATTTTTTAACTTAAGTCAAATATTGATCTAAAAATGTATTTTTTTTAGAAAAAAATTTCCTATCTGTCTCTGTGATAAATACTTCAACCTATGTATTAAAAGGTCTATGCTGCCAAGCGTGGTGGCTCATGCCTGTAATCCCAGCTCTTTGGGAGGCCGAGGCAGGTGGATCATCTGAGGTCCGGGAGTTCGAGACCAGCCTGACCAACATGGAGAAACCCCGTCTCTACTAAAAAAGACAAAATTAGCCAGGCGTGGTGGCGCATGCCTGTAATCCCAGCTACTCGGGAGGCTGAGGCAGGAGGATCGCTTGAACCCCGGAGGCGGAGTTGCGGTGAGCCGAGATCGCGCCATTGCACTCCAGCCTGGGCAACAAGAGCGAAACTGTCTCAAAAAAAAAAAAAAAAAAAAAAAAGTCTATGCTATTCCACTGCCATATGCTGCTGCTCTGGGACAGAAATACCAAACACCAGTCAATGAAGAGCTCTTCTCTTGCTAACTATGCACAACTCCTCTCACATGTATCATATAATCGATGGTTTCTTATGTATAATTCACACTTTCTAATAGAAGGTTTGGTATTTTATATTTATTTGTGTCATGTGGGAAAACTAATTTGTAAGCCTCTTGACACAAACAAGGTCAACTATTTTACGACCCCGGCGCTTATCTGGCCTAGCTTCACCCAGCACACAATAGCAATAAATAATGTATTTATTTTTATAATAAACTTTATTTTAATTCTCATCTTTAATATTAAAGTACCAAGCAAAAAGAGGTCCGGACTTCTGCTAAAATCCATCCCTCAATGATGTCAAAAGTAACAGTATTTTTCAGAGTATAGCTTTCAAGCAGCCGCATTATGCCGCTTTCAGTAAAGAATCATGGGCGGCGGCGGCCTGGCGGGGGCGAGCGCGCTGTGGGCCGGCCCCGCGCAGCCTCAGGGCACCTCCCGCTCGCCGGGACTGAGTTCCGCGCCGGCGTGGCCTGCTGTGCTCCGAGCGCCAAGGGTCGGCGCGACCGCTCTCGGCTTTGGGGACCGGATGGAGGAGCGGCGTGTCGGCCTCGGGGGACGGTTCCCCCGACCTCAGACGGCTCTGGGGCGAGGGAGGGCGCGCGGAGGCTCGCGGGGACCACTGGCGCCCCCGGACCCGCTCAGCGGTCCCTGCTCACAGGCACCGCCCCCAGGAGCCTCGGCAGGGGCCTAGGACGCCCCGGTGTTCAGAAGAGAAGCAGGGTCAGGTTCACGCACACCCGCGATCGGATCGTAACTTTTTTTTTTTTTTGAGACGGAGTCTCGCTCTGCCGCCCAGGCTGGAGTGCAGCGGCGAGATCTCAGCTCACTGCAAGCTCCGCCTCCCGAGTTCACGCGATTCTCCTGCCTCAGCCTCTTGAGTAGCTGGGACTACAGGCGCCCGCCACCACGCCCGGCTAATTTTTGTATTTTTAGTAGAGATGGGGGTTTCACCATGTTGGCCAGGCTGGTCTTGAACTCCTGACCTCGTGATCCATTCGCCTCGACCTCCCAAAGTGCTGGGATTACAGGCGTCAGCCACCGCGCCCAGCTGATCGTTAACCTTAAAGTCATTGGTAACCCATGCTTCCTGGAGTTGCATTTGGGGTCACCCAGCGGCGAAGCCCATACAACTTGATACGCCCTTACACACAAGGCTCAGTTCAAGCGAAGGGAGGTCACAGCCAGGAGCCAGGGGCCAGCTGATAATGTACTTGATTCCACAGTCAAAGGAGCTGGATGGCGTCCCATGCAGAGTGCCGTCCTCTGGGAGTGTTTGAGTGTGAACTCCACGCCTTGACAGCTCCCTCCTGCTACTTGGGGCAGAAGCTCCCCCGACACCCAGTGGATGGTCCTCCTGGAGGAAAGCTATGTCACAAAGGATCCCTTCACCTCCGACAATGTCAGATTCCTGGTCCTTAGCTGGCGCTGCAGTTTGTGCAGCAGGCTGTGTGGCCAGTGTACTCGGAGTGATCCTGGAGTCTGAGAAGTCCCTGAGCATCTGCCACAGGGCGACATGCACACAGGGGAGCTGTATCAACAGCCAAGGGGGATGAGATGGGCCAGGGCGGGAGGAACCCCCGCAGTGCGGCGTTGGGAGTGTCTGAGGCGCATGGAGGAGCTGGCGGTCCAGGAGAAGCTGAGAAAGGAAGACTGGAAAGGAGTGCAGTTTATTCTACTTCAAGAGATTCTGCCTCCCTTGTGTCCATGAGAACATCAGTGCTTTTCCTCAGGAAATTCAGCAAGACTTGGAGTAAAGCTCCGTCAAAGAGGCCCCCCAGCCAGCCCGGTTCTCGGACATTGAGTGCAGCCGGGGCTGGGTCAACTGGCAGCACCCTGCACGGAGCTCCTGGGCCAGCCTGCGCCAAGGATGCTGCTGAGCCAGGAGCCGCTGTGCCCAGCCTCTTTTCTGGACCACTGCGAGCAGCACTGCAGCCCAGGGGAGCTGGAGTCCAGCTTGTAGCAGCCACAGGCCCAGGGAGCTGTGCCGAAAAGGTAGCCCAAAGGCAGACAGATGCCAGACCAGACAGAGCCGGGAACCCGGCCAGGTGCCCCCGCATGACCCTCGGGGCCGAGGCCTAAGTGAGTGCTGCTCAGATGTGACTAAGAGGGATGACCTCCTTCAGCGAGAAAGCTCCTAAGAGGCCACCTGCAGGTCCGTGTGGGGGAAGACGCCATGCTGTCTCGGGACCATGGCGCAAGGTAGGTGGCTGCAATGGTCTGTAAGGAAAATCACTGACAGCAGCTGCCTTCTGGAGCCAATCTGGAAGGTCTAGAGCGGGATAGAATTACTTCCCATCCTTATGTGATGCTTGGAAAATGGTTTAACCTTGATCATGTACTATGTTTATAATTAAAAATCCAAAGAACCAGCTAATGTTTGAAAAAGGAATCTTCCACTGAAACATCTGGGTACCTGACATTCTCCCAGGGCACTCTGGACCCGGCAGTGGTTGGGGTCTCCCGGGAAGCTGAGTGCTGGCTTACAGCCTCTCTGTAAGCTCTGGCTTCATCTCGGGCCCCTCCAATCTGTCTCCCCTGACCCCAAGTCAGGAATGCTGTGGGCTTCCTGCCCTCACCCCGCACCTCATGACCGTCACGCTGCCTGCCTGCTTGCCCCCTGCCACCTCGAATTCAGTCCTGGATGCCTTCGAAGCCCAGCCCCACTGCGTGCCAGGGGGTTCCTGCAGCATCCCCTCCTCCAGGCTCCCCATCTCCCTGAAGCTTCCAGGTAGCAGTTGGTGGGGCACTGATCTGTGAGCTCTGGAATGTCTGCTTAGATTTCTGAGAGGCAGGAACTGCTGTCTTTGTAAGTACTCAAGGCCAACTGTCACGTGATGAAGGAATGAATAAAGAATTTTTACTGAAAGGCCGGGAGCGGTAGCTCACGCCTGTAGTCCCAGCATTTTGGGAGGCCGAGGCGGGCGGTTCACGAGGTCAGGAGATCGAGACCATCTGGCTAACATGGTAAAACCCCGTCTCTACTAAAAGTACAAAAAAATTAGCCGGGTGTGGTGGCGGGCGCCTGTAGTCCCAGCTACTCAGGAGGCTGAGGCAGGAGAGTGGCGTGAACCCGGGAGGCGGAGGTTGCAGTGAGCCAAGATCGCACCACTGCACTCCAGCCTGGGCAACTGAGCGAGACTCCATTTCAAAAAAAAAAAAAGAGAAAGAGTTTTTACTGAAAAAAAAAAAATTGTCCAACTGAAGTTGGATACAGAAGTTGGTGCCTAAGATTTAGTCACATTAACTTCAAACAGAACTCTTGGCTTGCTTAATAATGGCTGGCAAGGCAACATCGTAACTTTTTCCCTAATTACAGAAGCATACTCCTGGTATAAAATTCGGAAAATATAAACCAGACAAAATTAATGAAATAAATATCTATTTAATATTTTGGAATATTTCCTTCCAAACATTACAAAACTTGAAATTAAACTCTATATTCAGTTGTGCATCCCATTTTTTTCACTTAATATTAAAAGCACTTTTTCATGTTGTTAAATCGTTTTTTAAAACATGACTTCTAAAGCTTACACAGTATTTCATAGTATGATGTTCCATTAATTTATTCCCCCATTGTCAGATATTTTCACTATTTTTGTTTTGTTTTGAGACAGTCTTGCTCTGTCGCCCAGGCTGGAGTGCAGTGGCACGATCTCAGCTCACTGCAACCTTCACTTTCTGAATTCAAGTGATTCTCCTGCCTTAGCCTCCCGAGTAGCTGAAACTAGAGGTGCAGGGCACCATGTCTGGGTAATTTTTTGTAATTTTAGTAGAGATGGGGTTTCACCCTGTTGGCCAGGCTGATCTTGAACTCCTGGCCTCAAGTGATCAGCCTGCTTTGGCCTCCCAAAGTGCTGGGATTACAGGCATGAGCCACTGCACCTGGCTGCTATTTTCACTAATATAAACAATGCCATGATAAGTAAGTGTCTCAATCAATTGTATCATGTTCTGGCAATATAACTGATACCTGATTATGTGAATAACATATACAGCCTGTAAATACTGCCCATAGCCATATACAGAAGAGGAGACACCAAAATAATTCTGAAGATTAAAAGGCCAAAATTATCTTCATGTTGATGAACTGGATAGCAAAAAGTCAATTTATGAATTAATATAAAGTAGTTCCAGCAAGGGAATAACTCATTAATTAATCAAGTTTTCCTAAATGAGAAATACATTTGTTTATTCATTCATTCAGTCAGTATTTATTGAGTGTCAACAAAGCACCAGGCACCATTTCACAGCTAGGAATTCGGCAATAAGTAAGATAAGGTCCCTGGCTCCTTGAAGCTTATGATCTAGTAGGGGAGACAAACTATAAATAAATAATTTCAAATAGTAAAAGATAACCAGGCGCGGTGGCTCACGCCTATAATCCCAGCACTTTGGGAGGCCGAGGCAGGCAGATCACGAGATCAGGAGTTCAAGACCAGTCTGACCAACATGGTGAAACCACATCTCTACTAAAAATACAAAAATTAGCTGGGAGTGGTGGCACACGCCTATAATCCCAGCTACTCAGGAGGCTGAGGCAGGAGAATCACTTGAACCCAGGAGGTGGAGGTTGCAGTGAGCCGAGATTGAGCCACTGCACTCCAGCCTGGGCAATAGAGCAAGACTCCATCTCAAAAAAAAAAAAAAAGTAAAAGATAAAAGTCAAAAGAGGAAGAAACGGGTGTTATCATTAGAGAGGGGGTAGTGACATTTGGACACCAGTGGCTTCCTACCGTATTACCCTTAGGATAAAATCCAAGTTCCTTTACTTGGCCTATTAGTGCCCTTCAGAAACTAATGACTCTTTTTCTTTGACCAAATTTACTCTCTTCATGTCCCTGTCCTTTGCCCCATATCCCCATTCCCACACCCATGAACTTCCTCTCTTACCTTAGGATCTTACATAATTCTCTCCCCCTCCCTGCAGACCATCCTCCTATATTACCCCCAACCCCCAAAACACATACATACTATCACTTTGATTCACCTGGCTTTTACTCTTTCTTCAGCTTCAGGAAAGCTGTCCTGGATTCCCTTAAAATTGGTCAGATGCCACTGCTATGTTCTCCCATAATACTGTGCACTTCCTCCATCATGGTATTATCCTTCCACCACACTGCCTTAGAGACTTCCTGTTTATATTCTGTCTCATCTGTTAGGCTGTAAGCGTGACAAGATCAGGAAACAAAATGTTCTCTTTCCCCATCATCCCTCCTCTACCATATGCATTCAAGTGCATAATGCAGTTTCTAGCAGAGCAGTACTCAAACATATGTTTGCTGAATAATCAATAATCACTGAACAATAATCTAGTCTATTCATAAGACATTGGACTTGTGGTGCTCTCAAACCAGAACACAGCTAAAGGGATTGTTCCTTAACATCTACAAAATGCCATTGAGTTACATAAACCAACCAAGATTACCATTCATTCATTCATTCATTCATATTAGACATTTAGGGATGTGTTGACAAGTCACAAGGGTTCCCAGTCAAGTGTTCCAGGTCTAGTAAATGAGCCACTGCTACAAAGCAGAAAAGGCAGTGTGACAGAGGTAAGCACAATAGGCTACAGAAGGCCAGAGGGGCATCTCATCAGCCTACGGAAGGGGGCAAGGAAACATTAGGGAAAACATCTAGTAAAACAAAATCTAGGGCAATGCTTAAGTTGTGCTACATTTATTTATTCAATATTTGGGGGACACCTATTGTTTGTCTGCCATTATTCTAGACAATGGAGACACAGTATTGAACAAAACAAAGTCCCTAATCTCACAAAGGTTACATTCATGTAGAAACAGACAACACACAAGAAAAAAAATAGTCCAGGCACAGCGGCTCATGCCTGTAATCCCAGCACTTTGGAAAGCCGAGGCAGGTGGATCACTTGAGGTTAGGAGTTTGAGATCAGTCTGGCCAACATGGCAAAACCCAGTCTCTATTAAAGAATATAAAAATTAGCTGGGCGCAGGGGCTCACACCTATAATCCCAGCTACTTAGGTGGCTGAGGTATGAGAATCATTTGGACCAGAGAGGTGGAGGTTGCAGTGGGCTAAGATCATACCACTGCAATCCAGCCTGGGCGACAGAGGGAGATTCTGTCTCAAAAAAAAAAAAAAAAAAAGAAAGAAAAAAATTATATATATATAGAAATATAGTATGACAGATAGGGGTTAAGTTGTATGAAGAAAAATAAAACAAGGTATGGGGGATAGAGAGTAAGGAAGGTGGGAGGATACCATTTTCTATAAGGGCAGTAAGTCAGGAAAGACAAAAGAGCTTACTGATAAGGTGACATTTCAGAAATCTGAAAATAGCAGGTCATGTAGATTCCTGGGAGATGAGTGGTTGAGGCAAAGAGAGTAGCCAGTCCAAAGGCCTCAGGGTGGGACAACACATTTGAGGAACAGCTAGAGGGCCCGTGGGGCTAGAAGAGAATGAGAAAGGGAGAGAAGAGATGAGATCAGAGAGGTAACTGCCAGATTATGTAGCATGTAGGGTCTTGAGGGCAGAACTACTATCAGCCTAGGGGGTACCTTTGTGCGGTTTAGAAAAAGAGGTCCCTTTCTCTGGGCAGACTTGGCAAGAGGAGCAACACTGGACTGTGGCCTCTACTTGTTCCAGCACTGGAGCAACAGCCTCACTTGTAAGAATTTAGGCTTTCCTCTGAGTGAGATTCGAAGCCTTTAGAGGCCTGTGTGCAGAAGAGTGGGAGAGCTGACTTAACATTTTAAAGAATTGTTCTTGGCCAGGCATGGTGGCTCATGCCTGTAATCCCAGCACTCTGGGAGGCCAAGGCGGGCAGATCACCTGACGTCGGGAGTTCCAGACCAGCCTGACCAACATGGAAAAACCCTGTCTCTGCTAAAAATACAAAATTAGCTGGGCGTGGTGGCGCATGCCTGTAATCCCAGCTACTGGAGAGGCTGAGGCAGGAGAATCACCTAACCCGGGAAGCAGAGTTTGCGGTGAGCCAAGATTGTGCCATTGCACTCCAGCCTGGGCAACAACAGCGAAACTCCATCTCAAAAAAAAGAAAAAAAAGAATTGTTCTTGTTGCTCTGTGGAAAACAGATTATAGGACGCAAGGGTCAAAGCTGGAAGTGCTGTTACGAAGCTACTGCAATAATCAAGGCAAAAGATGATGGTGGCTTGAATCAGGGTGCTAACAATGGAGGTGGTAGGAAGTGTTCTGCATATATTTTGAAAATAAAGCCAAGATCTGCCAAGGTAGATAAGATGTGGGATATAAAAGAACAGTCAAGGATAATCATAAAGTTTTTGGCCTTAGTGACTGGAGAAATGGGAATTGCCATATATAAACATGGGAAGAGCAATTTCATGAGATTAAGTGTTTGGGGCCTGTCCATTAGAGATGTTGAGTAGATAGCTGGATATGTGAAGATGAAGTTGTGACATATCTGTGACATATCTGGTCTGACAGATAAGTTTATGAGTCATTTGCATATGATGATACTTTAAAAGTTATTAAACAAAAATGAGATAACCAAGAAAATGCAGACAAAGCAGAGGTCCAAGGACTGGGCCTTGGGGATACTCCATGGTTAGAGGTCTTGCAGATCAAGAGGAAGCAGCAAATGAGCCTGGAAAAGAGCCTCCAGGGTGGCAGAAAAACTGAGAGGTGAAGTCTTTGAAAGGTTTTCAAAGAGAGATGGAATGAGCAACTGTGTCAAATACTGCTGACAGATCAAATAAGATGAAATGACCATTGAATTTAGCAACATGGAGGTCATTAGTGACCATTACAAGAGCTATCCGATCAGAATGGTGGGGACAAAAGCCTGACAGGAGTGGGTTCAGACAACGGAAGGGAAAGATTAGAGACAATATGTACAAGCAACTCTAGGAAATTTTGTTGTAGAGACTAGTTGGCGGACTAGGGGATGAAAAATGTTCCAGGAGGCAGGGCGTGGTGGCTCACGCCTGTAATCTCACCACTTTGGGAGGCCAAGGAGGATGGATCATTTGAGGTCAGGAGCTAGAGAACAGCCTGGCCAACATGGTGAAACCCCATCTCTACTAAAAATACAAAAATTAGCCGGGTGTGGTGGTGGGCGCCTGTAATCCCAGCTACTCGGGAGGCTGAGGCAGAAGAATTGCTTGAACCTGGGAGGCGGAGTTTACAGTGAGCCGAGACCGCGCCACTGCACTCCAGCCTGGGCAACAGAGCGAAATTCCGTCTCACGAAAAAAAAAAAAAAAAGTTCCAGGAAGAATAAACGACTGGATTCTTCAGAAATGCCAAAACACGGGAGGGCATAGGTCAGGAAATTAAATTAGCTTCATTTACTAAAATGTAGAGTAATGGGTTTAGCAGATTAGGTTGTAAGGAAGGCAGAGGCTGAATGTCATTCTAAGAAATTTGAATTGTATCCTGAAGGTGAGGTATAAAATAATAACACACATTTACCTTTCAGAATGAATATTTTGGAGGCAATAGTGAAGGTGGGTTAGAAAGGAGGAAAGACTGGAGAGAGATAAGGAGTTAGATTCGGAACCCCTACAAGAGAAAATTAAGGTCTGAATTTGGGGATGGGGTCGCAGAGGGCAGAGGATGAAGAAATAAATACAGAAGACATTAGAAAGGACTCTGGTTTGTGGAGTGGAGAAAGGACAGGGAGAACTTGCTTCTAATTGGCCTCCTTGCCGGAAGAAGCACCCCATACATACTCCAAAAACTTCCTCTCAGATCCAAGACTCCCAATGCCCAAATTTGGAAATTCTACAACTAAATAACCATTCTGCAGGTTTCTTTTCCGTACGGCTTCACTTTAAAATTTGAAAACTCCTGAGATTTTTCAACATATTAAAGCGTGTCACACTAAGGAGTGACACACAAGACCCAGACTCTTCCCTAGGCTGGGAGAGACTCGGCGGTTGAAAGCAGGGAGGCGCTACAGGAGAGAAAGGGCTGAACCCCCGCTTCCGCAGATTTCACCTATTTTTCAGTTTGCCTGGAGCAGGCCACGCAAATTCCCTTCCCTTGAAGGCCCAAGGAGCGTCTGGTAGATTGCTGATTCTCTGCCCATCACCGCTTCTGGAAGTGAGTGAAGGACACCTTTCGTGCCCCGCACCCTTTGCCCCCCGCTTAACATTTGCTCTAGTCACTTCCGGCCCGTTCCCACGCTCCGGAAACCATTATTCCGCTTCATCCTACCTCCAGTCCTCACCTGAGTCCTTTTCTCCAAACACCGACTTCAGTGCTTAGAGATAGTAACTAGGGAATCTGGGAGGTGGAACTGCATCTTGGGACAAGTAGTCCAAGGTAGAAGAAAGCAGTGGAGAACTACAGTTCCCAGAATGCACTTCCATTTCCTACCTCTTCCCCAAGAGGCCCCCCTCGACCTCCTTTTAAAAATTCTCTTAGCCACGTTGATTGTACGGGAAAAGCCTTTTTAAAACATCTTTTACGTTGCTTAAACCTACAGTTTCGAAAGCATTCCGAAGGCTAAAGTGAGAAATAAGCCCAGGCTAGGGAGAGGAGAAACGAAGTTCACGTCCTAGTCTGGCACCGGGTTGGATTGTCGCTGGGACGGCAGTCAGGCATTTGGTGTGGTCGCCTAAGGGGTGGGTCCTTCGGCGGGAGCTCCGGGAAACCCCGTGGGCCTGCGCGGCGTTCTTCCTTTTCGATCCGCCATCTGCGGTGGGTGTCTGCACTTCGGCTGCTCTCGGGTTAGCACCCTATGGTGCCTTCTCTTGTGATCCCTGACCTAACCTGTCTCTTCCTTTTCCTCAACCTCAGGTGGAGCCGCCACCAAAATGCAGATTTTCGTGAAAACCCTTACGGGGAAGACCATCACCCTCGAGGTACGGGCCGGGTGGTCATGAGGAAGCCAAGGTCCGAATAAGGTCCTGAGGTGGATTTTAGGACCGGCGCTGCTTTCCATGTCTTAGACCATGATTCCGAATTTGGGTTCTAAAACTTAAGCTTTGAAATGAGTACCTTTTGCTGAGCAACGACCTAGAGGTGATTTTCGGTGGCCAAAGGCTGGACCTGTCTCCTCTCGAGGGGTTCCAGCTAGTTAGTTAAAACGGAGGAGCTGCGGTGGGGAAGGAGACGCTCTGCCCGCCGGGTGCGAGCACGTGTGGCCCTGCGGCCGCCGCCCGCTCTGGGCTGGGGAGATGAAGGTGCTTTCCGGTAGCCGACTTGGGAGGTTGCCCACTGGGTGGGTAATAGGTCTCTCGAGTAGGTCTCAGCCCTGTCGCTGGTTCGGTTCAGTGGTAATTGTCAAACTAAATGAGTTCTGCTGTAGTTCCTTAATGTGTAACCAACATGCTTTCACTTTAACACTCATAGGTTGAACCCTCGGATACGATAGAAAATGTAAAGGCCAAGATCCAGGATAAGGAAGGCAAGTAGTATTTTGTAGTTAAGAAAACTTAACCTGCGGAGACTTCGGCCTACCTGTAGGTGCTAGACATACCTGCTCTTGGTGATGGGGGAAGGGGTCAGATTGACAAAGCGAAATACTTGTGGAATAACACAATAGACATTGGTGATCGGGGAGCACAGTACCTAGATTGGAATCCTTGAGGTGTATTTCACTTGCGTGAATTTGGACACTTATTTATTTATTTTGTGTGAGATGGAGTCTCCTCTGTCGCCCAGGCTGGAGTGCATTCGCTTGTCCCGGCTTACTGCAGCCTCCGCCTCCCGGGTTCAAGTGATTTTTGTGCTTCAGCCTCCCTATTAGTGGGGATTACAGGCGTGCACCACCATGCCTGGCTAATTTATTGTATTTTTAGTAGAGACTGGGTTTTACCTTGTTGGCCAGGCTGGTTTTGAACTTTTCACATCAAGTGATCTGCCCACCTCGACCTCCCAAAGTATTGGTATTACAGGTGTCAGCCACTGCAGACAACCAAGTATTGTCCCTAATATTAAATGCGGTAAAATGTGACATGTAAAGATTTAGAACCATGCCTAACCTCTAGTAAGGGCTTATTGTCAGCCTTTAGTATCATGTATTTGATTAAGGGGTGTTACCTTATAAGTCTGGAGCACATCACAGGCTTGGTGTGCTGTGACTTAATTTTTGTTTTTTGTCATTAGGAATTCCTCCTGATCAGCAGAGACTGATCTTTGCTGGCAAGCAGCTGGAAGATGGACGTACTTTGTCTGACTACAATATTCAAAAGGTCTGTCTAGGGGAAGAGCAGCCTCTTTTAAAAAAAAAATGTTATTTTGGAAATTTTTTATTTTACTTTTTTTGAGACAGGCTCTGACTCTGTCACCTAGGGTGGAGTGAGTGGCGCAGTCACTGCAACCTCCACCTCTCAGACTCAGGTGGTCCTCCCACCTCAGCCTCCTGTAGTTGGAACTATAGGCACCCGCCACCATGCCCAGGCTGGTCTCAAACTCCTGGGCATAAGTGATCTTCCCACCGTGGCCTCCCAGCGCTGGGATTACAGACGTGAGCCACTCCATGTGGTGTATTCTGGACATTTTGACACACAAAAAGGGAAAATGGCATTCGAATAGCAGTAGATTTTTAGGTAACTCCTATACTGATACTTGAGAAGCACTGCTATAGTTCTCCCATTATGAATTTTGCAAGTTGTATCCCATGGTGTAATGTAATGCATTCTTTAATGTCCCTATAAACTGTCAGTTAAGAATCTGATACTTTATTGGGTTTGGGGGCTGCAAGATTCCCTCAAATGTTATTGTGTGCTGCTACTGCTTTTAATTAGAAAATGCATAATGTTGGGTGTGCCCATTCTTAGTGGAATCATGAAAGCTTGCTTCATTCTTCCATTAACAGGAGTCTACTCTTCATCTTGTGTTGAGACTTCGTGGTGGTGCTAAGAAAAGGAAGAAGAAGTCTTACACCACTCCCAAGAAGAATAAGCACAAGAGAAAGAAGGTTAAGCTGGCTGTCCTGAAATATTATAAGGTGAGCCAGTTAAAGGGCAGAATGTCAGCAAAGTCTTGGCTTATTTGGAAAACTTAATCTTTATAGTACTTGTCAATATTTTCTTGGACTTAAACACCCAATATTATCCCACTTTGGTTTAAATGAGGTATTCTGGAAATGAGAAATTCAGACTTTCTGGGGTTTTTCCTGTTTGGTATTTGAAATCAGTTATGTAATAGGGTTCTGAGTTTAAAGTCGGGTTTGGGTTCAGGTCTTTACCTTTGTCTACCACTTGCAAAGCTGGCCTTTAGTGTTCAAAAGTCCCAAGACTTCTGAATGTTTTCATTGTAGCAATGATAACTGGTGAGAATTTAGGGTGCTTTGGTTTGTAAGCACCAAAACCACCAGTATTACACAGTTAAAAGCTTAAATATTTTGAGTCACTTAAATTAGACTTCAGAATGTGTTGTAAAATTATCTTAACAGCAGGTTTGTGCTTTTCAGGTGGATGAGAATGGCAAAATTAGTCGCCTTCGTCGAGAGTGCCCTTCTGATGAATGTGGTGCTGGGGTGTTTATGGCAAGTCACTTTGACAGACATTATTGTGGCAAATGTTGTCTGACTTACTGTTTCAACAAACCAGAAGACAAGTAACTGTATGAGTTAATAAAAGACATGAACTAACATTTATTGTTGGGTTTTATTGCAGTAAAAAGAATGGTTTTTAAGCACCAAATTGATGGTCACACCATTTCCTTTTAGTAGTGCTACTGCTATCGCTGTGTGAATGTTGCCTCTGGGGATTATGTGACCCAGTGGTTCTGTATACCTGCCAGGTGCCAACCACTTGTAAAGGTCTTGATATTTTCAATTCTTAGACTACCTATACTTTGGCAGAAGTTATATTTAATGTAAGTTGTCTAAATATAAGCCAGTTTGTGTTTCTGTCCATTTCTTGACCTCAACACAACAGACATTTGGGGCCAGGTAATTCTTTGTTGTGGGGTGCCTGTAATCCCTATGCTTTGGGAGGATCACTTGAGTGTCCAGGAGTTCAAGAGCAGCCTGGGCACCATAGCAAGACCCCCATCTCTGTAAAAAAAAAAAAAAAAAAAAAAAAAGTAGGCTGACTCCTATGGTCCTGCCTACTGGGAAGTCTGAGACAAAAGGATCCCTTGAGCCCAGGAGTTGTAATTAATTATGCATTGCATTTCAGCCTGGACAAAACCCTGCTTCCAAAAAAAACAAAATGCATCCTCAGTCTCTGGGTGTTTCAGTGGAATGCTTGCTGTCTGTTGTACAACGCTTGGGAATTTAATGTTTGTTCAGGATGGATCCCTATAAAGGAATGATTACTTATTTGTACTGTTAACAGTAAAAGACAGTTTAGTTTCAAGCAGGACTGGGGTAGCCTATCTTCCTTCGGAGCTCAATTCAGGGAAAGCTGGTTCACTTGATAAGCCTCTTAACTAAAGCATACACTTGAAAGAAATCGGTGATGTATAAATAACAATTCACTTTTACCATATTGCCAGTCTTTCCATTCAAGGATTTCTAGTTGGAGGCATCCTTAAATAAGGTTTCCTATTTCTGAGCACTTTGACAGTTTGTGCAAATGCATATGAACACATGGTAAAACAACTTAGATACTTTTTGGCCAGTAGTAGTGCATTTCTACCTTCAAACAAACAACACGTTGAGTTATTTACATTTTTAATGTAATTTTAAAATCCTGGATCCCAAGAAGTCTTGGCTTGAATTTGCTTTTCTTCATAACAAACAATTCTGTCTCCCACTTGAAATTCCATATTGTCTTCATCTAAACTGAGACCACAATCCATTCCCGTTTTGACAATTGAAATGTCATCTTTATGGTGTTTCAATGAGGTTAATGAGCCTTAAAAAAGATAATTTAAGGTTAGTATATTCAATAAATGATAAGTACCTACTAAATACTACATTATGTGGTGTTAACCAGGAAATTACACTGAAATTCTTAAAAATTTTATGGTCTTGTCAAGTTAAATGATGGGACTAAATACCAGGGGAACCCCCTCAAAAATGAAGTTTGCTGTGAATAAGACTTGATTTGTAACAAAATAACCTAAATCTCCTATTTCAAAGGTAGACATAAACTTTTTGCTGAGGACAGGATGGTACTCAGGACTTGAATGGGTAAAACCAACATACATCTCAGGCAAAGGGAACCCATCAACTACAGACAATTTAGGGGTTTCAATAGCAATAAGAAATGGCCTGAGCTGAGATTATGGGCATGAAAGATGAACAGATTTCAGATGGTTATATAGTCAACAGGTCTTGGTGACTGGATATGCTATTATAGGAGATTTTGATGTTGCTTACCCTTCCAAATTACATGTCCATTACGGGTTAGTTTAAATTTTTTTTGTTTTTCTAACTGTCCCTTTTGGACTCTGCAGCCAGCCACAGGAACTTTTTTCTTCCCTTCTGTTACAGAGAAGGTAGCTAGTATAGATGCCTCACCTTTAGGAAGAAGAGAACATTAATGTGCAGAAAACTAAAGATTCTGATAAATACGTAATTTCTGACATTCTGTGGTATAAGAATTAAAGGTATGACAAAAATCCAAATTCATGCCTAGAAAAAAGTCTGGGTTTCTTTAACTCCAATTTTATTTTCCTGACCAATATTAAGAATAAAAATGAATGAAAATCTTTGGCTATTCTTTTCCTTTTCTTTTTTTCTTTTTTTTTTTTTTTTTTTGAGACAGAGTCTCACTCTGTCATCCAGGCTGGAGTGCAGTGGTGTGATCTTGGCTCACTGCAACCTCCACCTCCGGGGTTTAAGCGATTCTCATGCCTCAGCCTCCCGAGTAGCTGGGATTACAGGCGCCCACAACCACATCCAGCTGATTTTTATATTGTTAGTAGAGACGGGGTTTCACCATGTTGGCCAGGCTGGTCTCAAACTCCTGACCTCAAGTGATCCACCCACCTCAGACTCTCAAAGTGCTGAAATTACAGGCGTGAGCCACTGCACCCAGCCATCTTTGCCTATTCTTGTCTGCTCCATGAAAACCTTGTTTTAAGCTTTCCTTCAATATATTTTCTAGAGTAGATCATCTATCATTACTTTATTTCTCTGTTATTTTTTAAAAAAAATTTTTATAGATGGGTCACCCAGGCTGGAGTGCAGTGGCATGATCATAGCTCACTGTACCCTCAAGCTCCTGGGCTCAAGCAGTTCTTCTAGATAGCTAAGACTACAGGTGCGTGCCACCATGCCCACTAATTTTTTTATTTTTATCTTTCTTGTTGTGGAGGCTGGTCTTGAATTCGTGGCCTCAAGCGATGCTCCTACCTCAGCCTCCCAAAGTCCTCGGATGACACGCTTGAGCCACTGCACCTGACCTCATTATTTTTCATTTTGCCACAGGTAATTTATATCTACTTAGAAGTACTAATTCTACTAATTCTGAGCCTGGTTTTTTTTTTTTTTTTTTGAGATGGAGTTTCGCTCTTGTTGCCCAGGCTGGAGTGCAATGGCGCGATCTTGGCTCACCAGCAAACTCCGCCTCCTGGGTTCAAGCGATTCTCCTGCCTCAGCCTCCCAAGTAGCTGGGATTACAGGAATGCGCCACCACGCCTGGCTAATTTTGTATTTTTAGTAAAGACGGGGTTTCACCATGTTGGTCAGACTGGTCTTGAACTCCCATCCTCAGGTGATCCGCCCGCCTCGACCTCCCAAAGTGCTGGGATTACAGGCATGAGCCACCATGCCCGGCCGAGTCTGTTTTTTTTCACTGACTAAAAATACAAATTCCAATAATGAAGTAACAGGCACTATAATGAACCAATTTTCTAGGGTGCTATTTTACTACTGTTATTTGTTAGTGTTATCTGACTGGTGTCTTTGCTTAATCCTAGAAACCCTCATGACTCAGTTTTCCACATTGCTCTTAGCACAAGAACATAAAAATCTCTGTACGATCATGTTGAGCAGGTCAGAAAAACCTAAAATAATAAATCTGTTATGTAGACCAAAAATGCAAAATCAAATCTCATCATGGGGAAACACTGGACAAATCCAAATCAAGGTACATTCTACAAAATAGCTGTCCAATATGCTTCAAAAATGTCAAGGTCAAAAACAAAAATTGAAGAACTGTTCCAGATTAAATGGAGCTAGAGAGATATGACAACATGGATATATTATAATCCATGATCCTGGACTGGGGAAAAAAAGTATACTGTTGGGACAACGGACAAAATGTGAATATGGACTGTGTATTAGATAAGAGCATTGTACAAATAAGTGTTAAATTTCCTGAGTTTGATTAGTTCTGTAGTTTTATAAGATAGTATCCTTTTGCTTAGCAGATGTACATATTTAGAGGCAAATGGGCACTATATCTCAAACATTTTCAAATGGTCCAGGGAAAAAACATCACGTGTGCATGGAGCAGGACAAAAATGAGGCAAATAGGACAAAATGTAAACAACTGGTGAATTAGGTAAAAGATATATAGGAGTTCCTGGTTTTTCTCTTGCAATTTTTCTGGAAATTTAAAACTATTATCAAAATTAAAAGTTAATAAAAAAACACAAAATCTACGTGGGGAGGAAAAAAAACAGATGAGGTGATTTAATCAATTTTAAATATACTCAGTCTTTACTCTGGCTATGATATATGCTAGAAACAATATTTTTAAATATTTAATATTTAAATGTAAATTTTCTTCTTATGGTAGACTTCTCTGCCAGCCCCACAACAAAGTCAACAGCTCTTTCCATGACACTGTTAATAATCTTTATGCGTTCAATAGTAGTGTAATTTGTATTATAATTATTTGTTCATATTTAAACTGGAGGGCAAGTTCCTAATTCCTTATTTGCTTTTGTATCATCAAGGCACAGGCACAATGTGTTACACAGGGCAGGTGTTTACATAAGAAGTTACAATGGATTCTCATGGTAGTCATTTTTTTCTAGAACACAGGATATATCTTTCAACATTGAAAACGTTTCCTCTAAGCTTTGCTTTGAAGTGCTATTTATAGCACCTAATATACTAATTTTTAAAAGTAACATTCAGTGATCACTCACCTACTGGGTGCTCTTCCACAGCACAGGGTAATCTGCTGCTCAGTTCCTCTTGCAAATCTTCAACAAGACGGTAAATTATTTTGTGAAGTTTAATTTTTACTCCTTTTTTTGCAGCTGACTGTTGGATAACATTGCCTGCATTCACATTAAAGCCATATATAACACCTAGCAAACAGAAATATGATCAATGAAGTAGCACAACGATTACATTATAATCATTTATTTGTCTTTCAAGCAGAAACTTGAATCTAAATTGTTTTATTTTCTAAATTAAAATAGCAAATAAGAGGCCAGGTGCAGTGGCTCACGCCTGTAATCCCATCACTTTGGGAAGCTGAGGCAGGTGGATCGCCTGAGGTCAGGAGTTCAAGACCAGCCTGGCCAACATGGTGAAACCCTGTCTCTACTAAAAATACAAAATTAGCCGGGCGTGGTGGTGGCACCTGTAATTCCAGCTACTCAGGAGGCCGAGACAGGAGAATCGCTTGAACCCGGGAGGCGGAGGTTGCAGTGAGCTGAGATCGCGCCACTGCACTCCAGCCTGGGCAAATAGAGCAAAACTCCATCTCAAAAAAAAATAGCAATTAGAGGAGGTTAGAAGGTCTATGACTTTTTTTCTCACCAAAACTAGTACGTTTTCCAATTGATGAAAGAATTTTATAAACTGTATTGTGGCTTGTTTAACAAAGAAAATTTCTTTATAATTTTAAACCCATTCATTTAAGGAACATTAAGTGCCTATAACGTGTAAAGCAGTATGCTAAACAAAATTTGATTTTCATACCAGAGAAATAAAAACACAAAAAATGACCAGGGCTAAAATACTATTCCTTCATTTTAATAACAATTACATTATTAAATTATAATCTTATTGTCTACAATTTTTGTGGTTTGCACTTAGGTATTCAGATGGCCAAAAGATGCCCAAAAATAGTGACTTAAAGGGGTGGATGGAAAAATAGTGACTTAATTGGTAAAGGTCAAGAGTTATTTTTAAGAAGCAAGTTTCATGGAGCTGACCATTTTACCAACAAACAAATAATATATTTAACTGTAAATACTTTGGGAGAAAAAAAAAAGCAAAACACTCTTGTCTTAAACAAAATGAATGAAAAAAATTAACCTGGACGGGCACGGTGGCTCACGCCTGTAATCCCAGCACTTTGGGAGGCCGAGGTGGGTGGATCACCTGAGGTTGGGAGTTCAAGACCAGCTTGACCAACATGGTGACACCCTGTCTCTACTAAAAATACAAAAATTAGCCAGGCATGGTGGCAGACACCTATAATCCCAGCTACTCAGGAAACTAAGGCAGGAACATCTCTTGAACCCAGGAGGTGGTGGGTGCGGTGAGCCAAGATTACGCCACTGCACTCCAGCCTGGGCGACAGAGCAAGACTCTGTCTCAAAAAAAAAAAAACCAACCCAAAAAGAAAAAAAAGCAAAACACTCTTGTCTTAAACAAAATGAATGAAAAAAATTAACCCAAACAGTTTAATCAGGAGAAAAACACAATCACCTTGAAAGTCCTATCATTAAGAAGCCATTCAGGCCGGGTGCAGTGGCTCACGCCTGTAATCCCAGGACTTTGGGAGGCCGAGGTGGGTGGATCACGTGAGGTCAGGAGTTTGAGACCAAACTGGCCAACATGATGAAACCTTATCTATGCTAAAAATATAAGAATTAGCCAGGTGTGGTCGTGGGTGCCTATAATCCCAGCTACTCGGGAAGCTGGGGCAGGAGAATCGCTTGAACCCAGGAGGGAGAGGTGGCAATGAGCCAAGATTGCGCCATTGTACTCCAGCCTGGTTGACAAAAGCAAAACTCCGTCTCAAGAAAAAGAAGTCATTCAATTGGCTAGGCACAACGGCTCATGCCTGTAATTCCAGCACTTTGGGAGGCCAAAACAGGTAGACCACCTAGGTCAGGGGTTCAAGACCAGCCTGGCCAACATGGTGAAACCCTGTCTCTACTAAAAATACAAAATTAGCCAGGCATGGTGGTGCACGCCTATAATCCCAGCTACTCGGTGGGGGCTGTGGCAGGAGAATCCCTTGGGAGGCAGAGGTTGCAGTGAGCCGAGACCGTGCCACTGCACTCCAGCCTGGGCAAAAGAGTGAGGCTCTGTCTCCAAAAAAAAAAAAAAGAAAAAAAAAAGTCATTTCAATATCTTTCAATACACTATCTGTATTACAGCACAGTGCTAAGCCAGTCAGTGCCTACCAAATACTTTTAATTAATCAGTTAGATGTTACCTCTATCCTTTTCAGTAGTAGAGGTGATATCTAACTCTAATCAAGTCAGGTTTCAAAGCATCTCTTTCCTAAATGATTCCTAATCACTCAACAAATGTTTTTGCTTTACTAGGTGTTCGACTTTATTTAACAGTCATGAGTCCCCCTTTTTGTGTATCATAAATTCAACTAATAAAGACAGTTCCCTGCCTTCTAGGCTTATAAAGCTAAAAAGAACTTTTGCTGTAAAAAGATACGATGTATAAAGTTATCAATTACCAAAGATAGGCAGCCAAAAGTAAAAGATGAAGGAAAGAACTGAATAGGGTGATTACAGTGTTAGGAACATTCAGAAGTCTGATGAAAGATATGAGAAATCAACCTTGGGATAGTAAAGAACCAGGAGGAGTAGGGAGAGGGGGCAGTAATGGTGCTTTTAAAAAAAAAAGATAAACGTGACCAGGTCTTGAAATAGTTCCCCAAAACTGCAGTACAACCACAACAAATGGAGCTATAGCCACAATACTGCACATCCTATTAAGTTTCAATTGCTAGCTGGGACTGGACTATAGCAGGAAGGGTGATGCTGATAGCAGTAAATGTCAGGTGTGACAAGCCAAGCAACAAAAGACAGAAGCAGATGGTTCAGTGTTATTTGGGGAACACAGATTAACAAGAAGAAATGGAATCCTTACCATCAAATGTTTCAGCAAGGTTAACATCATTTGCACTTACATCACCCACTCCAAAATGTACTAATTCTAGTTCACACTCGTGTGAAGCATCATAGGTATCTATAATGTTCAAAATGGCCTCAACAGAACCATCAACATCACCTAAATACAGAAAAAGTTTATAATTGTTGCTTTTAAGAGTTAGACATCAGCAGACATAAAAATGACAATAATCTATTTAAAGCCATGATAGGAATGTCATTTATCACTAAATCCACTTTTATTTAGGCTTAGCATTACACATATCTACTTGACTTAATAGCATATAATGAGCCAAACGTACATTTACAACAAAATCAGCAAGAAATATGTTGACTAAGAAAAACTCTCCTAAAATATTGAAATAATTTTCATGTAAATGTAAAGGCCCAAACTATGAGAATAAAAAAACATATATTCAAAGAATGAACTGTAATGTAAAATCTTTAAAAAGATACCTTTAATAATCACAGAAAGTACATTTGAATCTCTTTCCCTTTTCTCTTTTGGCTTTAAGGGTATTTGTTCTTTTCTTTCTAAAAACCGTAGAATTGATCTCTTCTTCCACAGTAGATGGCCATACTTCTCACGGGCTTTCTGATGTGCTTCTTTGTGTTCCTTTCGCTTTTCTTCTATTATTTTCAGATCCTCCTGACCTTTCTCCTGTTCTTGTTCATATTTCCTCCAGTCAACAACTTCACGTGCCCTTGGCTTTATAGGGGAAAAACGTATTATTTAATGAAATAGACATCAATAACTGCTAGATTAAAGCCTTTGTGTTGTCCTGCATTAGGAAATTAGCTTAACTCATGTATGAAACTACTACTTTTATAAGTTTCAAGAAACATGTAAAATTTTAATTTGAGAGCTTGTATAATTGAAATGATTTAAAAATCTTATCCCCACCCCCAAAATTCTATAGTCTAATGCTAAAATAGCACAACTTGCATCCTCACAGCCCCTTATAATCTAGATTTGTTAACATTAATACACATATTTGGTATAACATTGTAAACTGGCATTTAAAATCATTATATTATATCTAATATATAGGAATTAAGCTTGATACACCTCAGATTCTACTTCAAGAATTTCTTCTCCTGCAGAAGGAAGGTCTCTCCAGCCTGTAATTCCCACTGGCATGCTGGGATAGGCCTCATCAATTGTTTTTCCATTTTCATCAAACATTAAGCGTACTTTTGCCCAACATTTTCCAGCAACCAGAACAGAGCCTTTTCTTAAAGTTCCTCTTTGAATTATAGCTGTAGTAACAAGACTAAAATGAAAATAAAAGTATATTTTCAATGTCATAATGTACTTTAAGTAGAGCAAAGATATCTTTATGAAGTTTAAGTTATATAAACATGTGTATACACAAGATTAATTCCACCACTTCTTAACTTAAGCAGTTTTTCATACTATAAAAACATTTCAAAGCTGGGTGCAGTGGCACATCTGCAATCCCAGCTATTCAGCAGGCTAAGGCAAGAGGATCACCTGAGCCCAGGAGTTCAAAGTCAGCCTATCAAGACCATTTTAAACAAATTTATTTGCGATAGCCAAGAAGTAGAAGCAACTCAAATGTCCATCAAAAGACAAATGGACATTTCTTCCAAAGAAAATGTGGATTTTACATACAAAGGAATATTATACAGTCTTTAAAAAGAAGGAAATTGGCCAGGTGTGGTGGCTCACGGCTGTAATCCCAGCACTTTTGAAGGCCAAGGTGGGTGGATTGCTTGAGCTCACGAGTTTGAGACCAGCTAGGGCAACATAGCAGGACCCTATCTCAATTAAAAAAAAAATAGGCTAGGCACAGTGGCTCACACCTGTAATCCCAGTACTTTGGGAGGCCGAGGCAGGTAGATCACCTGAGGTCAGTAGTTCAAGACCAGCCTGGCCAACATGGTGAAACCCCATCTATACTAAAAATACAAAAATTAGCTGAGTGTGGTGGCACGCGCCTACAGTCCCAGCTACTCGGGAGGCTGAGGCAGGAGAATCACTTGAACCTGGGAGGCAGAGGTTGCAGTGAGCCGAGATCACACCACTGCATTCCAGCCTGGGTGACAGAGTGAGACTGCAACTCAAAAAAAGAAAAATTAAAAAATAAATAAATATTAAATTGTTTAAAAAAAGGAAATCTTTTCACAGGCTACAACATGAATGAAACTCTAGAACATTATACAAAATGAAATAAGCCAGTTACAAATGGACACATACTGTATGATTCCACTCATATGAAGTATCTAAAGTAGGCACAAAATTGAAACACAAAACAGTGCCAGGTGTAGTGGCTCACGCCTGTAATCCCAGCACTTTGGGAGGCTGAGGCGGTTGGATCACCTGAGGTCAGGAGTTTGAGACCGGCCTGGTCAACATGGTGAAAATCCTGTCTCTAAAAAAATACAAAAATTAGCCAGGCATGGTGGTGGGTGCCTGTAAATCCCAGCTACTTGGGAGACTGAGGCGGAAGAATTGCTTGAACCCAGGGATTGGAGGTTGCAGTGAGCTGAGATCGTGGCCACTTCACTCCAGCCTGGGCAACAAGAGCAAAAGTCCGTCTCAAAAAGAAAGAAAGAAATAAAGGAAAAGCAGAAAACAGAAAGGTGGTTGCCAAGGGCTCAGGAGAGGGACAAGGGTAATTTTAAAAGGTACAGAGTTTCAGTTTCACAAGATAAAATAGTTCAACACGTCTGTTGCACAACAATGTGAATAAACTACAATACTGAACTGTATATTTAAATATGGTTAACATAATAAATGGGATGTTAGGTGTTTCTTACCATAATTTAAAAAAAAAATAATTTCTTATAAGGTTATGCTAAGCGAAGAAGCAGGGAGCAAAGTGTTCTGACAGAATCTTAACCCACTTTCTATCCCAGTCTCCATCAGCTAAGGGATTACTCAGTTGTTAGAGAGTGTAAAGCAATGAGAAAACCTCTCTTGCTGATACAGAGGAAAATTCAAGCACACCACTTCAAAGACCTTTCTGCGTATTATATTAATGGGTAAAGTATAAAGAATTCACAAACCCTAAAATGCAACCATTGGTATTTCATTCTAATTTATGTTATCTATAAGACTTTACCAATTCAGTCGAGTCAGTGAGGGAAAAAAAATAAAACAAATTGAACTACTTATGTCACCTAAATATGACTAGTAGATGTACATGGATAGCTGCTATGGTCTACTGATAATAACTGCATTTTTGTGTTCTTGTATTAGTACAAACAATAAAATACTTTTTAAAACAAATGCTTTGAAAATATTGTTCATGAACTAACAATAACATGTAACAAAAATAATACATTGTCATATAATCAAGTCACGAAAACCACAGAACAAATTAAAAAGGCAAGCATTTTAAGAGTCCTACCCTCTTCCTTTGTCTGTGAAAGACTCTATTACTGTTCCTTCCACTGGACCATTGGGATCTGCTTTCAATTCTAACATTTCTGCAAGAGCAACTGTTGCTTCTGCCAAAGCCATCAGATTATCGCCCTTTAACAATAACAAACGTTGTTAATACACATTAATAAATATTATCTGTAAATGTAAATGCCAGGGACAGAAAGTCACATAATACTTGCAAGTTATATTATACTTTTCTCTTTAATCATTGAAAGCATGATTACTCAATTTAACAAAGAAAGGGAGGGAGGGGAAACAAAAATAAGAAAAAAGACAATGGGAAGAATGGAAGGGAGGGAGGGATCAGCAAGAAAACCTGAGCCATGGACAGATCTTGCAAGGAACAAGTGGCTATTTTTTTTAAAGGATGACCACTGGTGGGCTTGTTACTATCCCTTTCATAAACACATGCAATGCTTCATTCATTTTCTTTCTCCTCCGTCTGTCCCTACAGTTGTGTTTCCTTCCTCTTGCTTTCTTTTTTTGTTTAAGTTCTATCCAACTGAACGAGATTTCACATCTATTATTTCATTTGATCAACTCAAGAATCCTACAAAGCATATCAAGCATGACTTACCCTTATTAAATAAATGAGGAGAAAAAGCACTAACTAGAGATCTAGGCTCTAAGCTGTGCTTTATAACCACCCAGCTGTGCAGCCTTTAAAAAAAAAATCACCTCACTTCCCTGGATCTCCTTACCTCAACCATAAAATGAAGAAGCTGGAGTGGGTGATTCTTTTACCTTTCATGGTCTATGTTTACTGTGCTCTCTAGGGCTCCAAGATCACACAGCTGATTAACTGGTGATGGAAATGGAACTGATAGGCAAGGTATTTTTCCACTCCTCTTATCAGCTAAGAGATTGCTCACAGTTGTTACAAAGTATAAAACAACAGACAAGGGCCGGGCACGGTGGCTCATGCCTGTAATCCCAGCACTTTGGGAAGCTGAGACGGGCGGATCACTTGAGGTTAGGAGTTCAAGACCAGCCAACATGGTGAAACCACATCTCTACTAAAAATACAAAAAATTAGTCAGGTGTGGTGGCACGTGCCTGTAATCCCAGCTACTCAGGAGGCTGAGACAGGAAAATCACTTGAACCCAGAGGCAGAGGTTGCAGTGAGCCAAGATCATGCCACTGCTCTCCAGCCTGAGACACAGAGCAAGACTTCATTTCAAAAAACAAAAAATAAAACAATAGACAACTGTAAAACAAAACAAAACAAAACAAAAAAATTGACTAAATACTTTGCTTACCCACCCACTTATTCCTAGTATTTATTCCAATTTACAAAATGCTGCCCCAAAAAGCAGAACTAGAGTTGTTTCCTTGCATGAAATAATCCTTTATATATCTTGGAAAAGAAGGCCTCATCTTACCTCCCTGCCACTCTCTTCCAATCCCCTCCCTTCCCTTGGAATCATCTCTGACACGCCTCCAAATCTGCCTAAGCAGCTTTACATCTACCTACTCATCTGATGGTATCTGGCCAGAAAAGGTGGTCAACTCTTCAAATATTTTAATTTTTTTTTTTAGACAAGGTCTCACTCTGTTATCAAGGCTGGAGTGCAGTGGCATCATCTCAGCTCGCTGCAACCTCTGCCTCCCTGGCTCAAGTGGTCCTCCAGTCTTAGCCTCCCCAATAGCTAGGACGACAGGCACATGCCACCAAGCCAGGCTAATTTTTGTGTTTTTATAGAGACAAGGTCTCATCATGTTGCCCAGGCTGGTCTTGAACTCCTGCCTCAATGGATCTGACCACCTCGGCCTCCCAAAGTGCTAGGCTTACAGGCATAAGTCACTGCGCCTGGCCAAATACTTTAATCTTATTTTAGTAAGCCTAACATTTGGCTTTCAGAGTGCAATAACAATTGAGGGATAGTGCAGAAGATAACAAAGTAAGGTAGCATTTTATAAATTTCAGAGAAAAAGATGCACAGTTTTACTATTAATGGACGCATAATTTCTAACTATCTTGGAGGTAACACATTTAGGAAAAGTAAAGATGAAGTGAGATTTAATTGGAGGAAGGTGGTAGAGTAACCCACCATCCCTTCAGTGAATGATCAGGAGAAAAAAAAGGCTATATTATAAATAAACTTTGTAATATAATAAGGACGGACAAAAAAGGAAATTGTCACTTAGCAGCAACCTCTATAGGGTAAGAGAATTGGAAAACACTTATAAGAGGCAAGCACTGAGTTTCCTTGGTGTTTATATTCAAGAAAGAATAGATGGTAATCTTAAAGAAAATGGAATTCATTATAAATAACATTTTAAAACATGTAGCAATTTAATCCACAAAAACATTCAGTCAATCAATAACAAAATCAACCTTAATATTTAATCTTGGTATTCATGAACTTTTTGTTTAAATCTCTTAAATGCTGTAAGACCTGTTTTCCACTTGTAAGAGGCATGAAATATAAGCACTTTTTTGTTAACAACTGGATTTCATTTCTGCTTAAGACAGTCTTTGGTCAGGCATGGTGGCTCACACTTGTAATCTCGGTGCTTTGGGAGGCCAAGGTGGGACAATGGCTTGAGGCCAGGTGTTCAAGACCAGCCTAAGCAACACAGTGAGACCCTATGTCTACAAAAAAATTTAAAAATTAGCTAGGCATGGGGTGGCACCTGCCTGTAGCCCCAACTACTCAAGAGGCTGAGGTGGGAGGACAACTTGAGCTTTGGAGGTCAAGGCTGCACTGAGCTGTGATGGCACCACGTCTTTGTCCTACTATTTCCCTTATTCACCATTTATTCTCATCCTAAGTATCTCATAATAAAAAATATATTCCATTTAGACTTGACTCCACACTGATTAGCTGGTGACTGACCTCTCTGAGCCTAACTCCTAACATGCCAAACCAAGATAATACCATCTTTGCCTGGCACCAAGAAAACTTTTTAAAAACAACACAAATTATGTACATCAAAATGTTCTTTAGATGTAATATACTGTGTGCATTATGTACAGCATTCCCATCCAGGCATATTTATATGAGGTCCCCGCATTTACCGTAAGTGCGGAGACAGGCACTGCTTGAACATCACCTCCATAATCTTCACATACCACATCGTAAGCCAGCAGCTCTTTTTTCACTTTCTCAGGATCAGCCTCAGCTTTGTCACATTTATTTACGGCAAGGATAATAGGAACTGAAAGAAATGGAGTTAAAAAGAGTGAAAATGATGACACCTTCAATTCCAGGTATTCACAGTGAAAGACATCAACTTTCTGTTCTGGTTTTCTCTTTATTCAGTGGATGTTTTTATCTAACAAAAGGCCAAAATGACCCACTTTAGAGTCACATCACCCTACTCTGCGCTCTACATATAGAGAAATCCAGATGCAAGATGTTAAAAGTATAATTATAAGCAGATTCTGAGTGAATAACAGACACCTGAGATTATCAAAAAAAACAATACAGTCGGGCTGGGTGCGGTGGCTCATGCCTGTAATCCTAGCACTTTGGGAAGCTGAGGCGGGTGGATCACCTGAGGTCAGGAGTTTGAGATCAGCCTGGCCAACATGGAGAAATCCCGTCTCTACTAAAAAATACAAAAATTAGCCGGGCGTGGTGGCATGCACCTGTAATCCCAGCTACTTGGGAGCCTGAGGCAGGAGAATCGCTTGAACCAGGAAGGCAGAGCTTGCAGTGAGCTGAAATCGTGTCACTGCACTCCAGCATGGGCAACAGAGCGAGACTCCATCCCAGAAAAAACACAACAAACAATACAATCATCCCTGGGTATACTGGTGGATTGGTTCCAGGACCCCCACCACTGCCTATACCAAAATCCCGGCATACTCAAGTCTTGCAGCCAGCCCTGCAGAATCGTGTGTACAAAAAGCCATGTAAGGAAGTTTCAAATTCTGTGAATGCTGTTTTATTTATGTTTGGTTGAAAAAAATGTGTGTGTTAAGTGGACCCACACAGTTCAAACCCGTGATGTTCAAAGGTCAACTGTATTTTGGGTAGAAAAAGGCCTATCCTTAAACCTAAAAGCAAGATCAGTAAGTACACTGGAGATAATCTCCAAAAAAAAAAAAAAAATCATGGGAAGATTCCAATTCAATACTGCTAGATCATTTGCCTCTTCTTTCCAGGGTTTATTTACTCATTGTTAAAACCCAACATCTCATCCTAGGTTAAAACTAAGTACCAATATCACAAATTTTCTTTTAGGACTTATACTATTTATTCATACACCTAGGTCAGTGACCTAGTAGGCTCTCAATAAATGTTTACTTAATGAAAGGACCAAACAATCTTTTAATCTACTTACTATCACTAGACATATCCTCTCTTTAGAGAAATCACACAAAATTCTACGAGGTAATTCTGTGGTTGCATTTCATCATCTCTGTAATTTTCTCAGGTATCAAACAGAAATTTTAAAAGATACAAAAAAGTTTTGCAATCCACAACGTACTATTACGAAAAAGTACATTCTGGCCGGGCACGGTGGCTCATACCTGTAATCCCAGGACTTTGGGAGGTGGGTGGATCACCTGAGGTCAGGAGTTTGAGACCAACCTGGCCAACATGGTAAAACCCCATCTCTACTAAAAATACAAAAATTAGCCAGGTGTGGTGGCAGTCACCTGTAATCCCAGCTATTCGGGAGGCTGAGGCAGGAGAATCGCTTGAACCTGGGAGAAGGAGGTTGAAGTGAGCCAAGATTGCACCACTGCACTCCAGCCTGGGCAATAAGAGCAAAACTCCGTCTCAAAAAAAAAAAAAAAAAAAAAAGAAAAGGAAAAAGTACATTCTATGTTGATGAGCTGGAACTTAACCGGTACCAAGAGAAGAGGTGTACAAAGCATGATCTAATGAAGTTATCCTATCTCAACCAATTGCTTTGTAATGGGATCCCTGGCAAATTTATCCCTCTCTTTTTGCATGTATTCCCTAGAATCATTAAGAACATAGTACATCATACAAAGGCAGTTTTGAGGAATTAAAAAGAAAAGAGAATAACATTGGAAGCTAGCAGATCCAAATTCCATATGCAGACATACTGAAAATTAGTGTATAATTGTATATAATTAGGGAGAGTTCTGGCTGCTGTCTGAGTCTTAGTTTTCATGCTGTAAAATGAAAGAACTGGACTAGTTCAGTAACTCCCAACCTTTTAAAAATCTTGCCAGTAAATCTGGGGGTAATATGACACACTTTATCGAGTACATTTTCTCAGTAAGGGTAGGGGTACAGTCATTTCAGAATAAAAATCAATATACCGAATGTGTAACTTTTTTTTGAGACGGAGTTTCGCTTTTGTTGCCCAGGCTGGAGTGCAATGGCACAATCTCGGCTCACCACTACCTCCACCTCCCGGGTTCAAGTGATTCTCCTGCCTCAGCCTCCCAAGTAGCTGGGATTACAGGTATGTGCCACCATGCCTGGCTAACTTTGTATTTTTAGTAGAGACAGGGATTTTCCATGTTGGTCAGGCTGGTCTCGAACTCCCAATGACCTCAGGTGATCCACCGGCCTCGGCCTCCCAAAGTGCTGGGATTCCAGGTGTGAGCCCCCACTCCCAGCCTAGAATGTATAATTACATGTGTGGGTATTTATTATTATAACTTTTAAATGAAGAAATAAGGGAGAAGATGGTTAAGTGATTTTCCAAAAGTCTGAATTTTATACATTTGATCAGATAAGAACTTATTTAAAGCAGAAGGGAAAGTTTCTCTTTAGAGAAGAATTCCACATAATAAATTAACAGGAAATAACAGAATATAACCACTATGCAACTCCTAATGAATTTATGTGATGGATAGATCGAATTTCATTATTCTTTTCTTACTTTTGTATCTGTTTAAAATTTCTATGATAAAAAGTTGAAAAAAAAAGGGCATAGTAGAGGAAAGATTGTACCTGTGGTCTGTACTTATGGTCACAACTCCCAAGTTGAATCCTGCTATACTCTTCCTATTAGTTATAAGTCTGTGGGAAAACAATTTATCTTTGAGGCTTATCTGTAATACACGTATAATAACTCTGGGATTGTTGTGAAGACTAAATGAGCTATATGTAAATGGCCCCAGAACTTTGACTTTATGTAGTAGATCCATTAAGTCAGCCACACAGTACCCTGTGCATCTTTGGCATGCTGAATAGATTCTACAGTTTGTTTCATCACTCCATCATCTGCAGCTACAACCAATACGACAATGTCAGTGACCTGAGCACCTCTGGCTCTCATTGCTGAGAAAGCAGCATGTCCTGGAGTATCAAGAAAAGTTATCTTTTCCCCAGAAGGCAGAGAGACTGTGGAAACAGAAATTCAAGAACATCAAGGATTCAAACATGTACTTCCTTAATACCAAAGAATATATGCGACATTATCAGAAACCATCAATAATTCTTTAAAATAATTTTATTCCTTCCATTAATCTTAATCAGAACACAGATCATCATTTCACAATGAAAAGTGATAAAATGCCAGTGAGATTCTTATGGGTTTTTTTCCATGTAAAAATTTCAAACTAAAGTCTCCATAATTCTAGAACATAACTACTTTCATAAATGTATCAACTGATATATCTATTTTAGAGACAGAACAGACCAATTGTTGTACAGGCAGCCACCCTCACATTAGCAAATCAGAGTTGCACAACTCCCTGAGCCACAGAGAGGCAATTTAGTAGGCAGTAGCTCACGATTTGAGTCCATTGACCTTGGGTTTAAATCCTGGCTATGCTACTTACTGGCTATATACTGTGGGAAAGCTGCTTAACTCGAAGAAGTATCGGCTTCCTTATTTGTAAGTGCAACTATTAATACCTACCTTATGATGTTGTTGTCAAGATAAAAAAGACAAAACATATAAGGTGCTCAGCACAGTACTGGAAACATGCTAGGTGCTCGTAAATGGGACTATTATTTAATTATTATCAGCAATATTATCACAACCTAGCAAAGGAAGTTATATAAACATAATTAATAAAAAAATTGTAGACTCATTAAATCAAACTAAGAATGAGCTAGAATTAAAAGTTAACACAATTTTCAGCCAGGCGCGGTGGCTCACACCTGTAATCCTAGCACTTTGGGAGGTCAAGATGGGCAGATCACTTGAGGTCAAGGGTTCGACACCAGCCTGGCCAACATGGCAAAACCCCGTCTCTACTAAAAATACAAAAAAATTAAGCCAGGCACGATGGCTCACACCTGTAATCCCAACACTTTGGGAGGCTGAGGCAGGCGGACCACAAGGTCAGGAGTTTGAGACCAGCCTGGCCAACATGGGGAAACCCTGTCTCAACTAAAAATACAAAAATTAGCCAGGCACGGTGGTGCACACCTGTAGTCCCAGCTACTTGGGAGGCTGAGGCAGGAGAACTGCTTGAACTGGGGAGGCAGAGGTTGCAGTGAGCCAAGATTGCACCACTGCACTCCAGCCTGGGTGACAGAGTGAGACTCTGTCTCAAAAAGAAAAAAAAAAAAAAAAAAGTTAACAGTTAACACAATCTTCTTCTTATAGAAAGTACAAAACACAGCTTTACTAACCACTTGCTCTACATTTCATCAAACTAATGACTGCAAGCTTTAGCCTTCTCTTGTACTTTGAATTTGTATATTTCATACTATGACATTTAGTTTAAGAAAATAAGTGGGGTTCCCAAGCACATTGTAAGGTAATTTGTGTTCATACCAAGAAAGGCACCAATGTGCTGAGTGATGCCTCCAGTTTCCACTGCTGCCACTTGAGTTTTTCGAAATTTGTCAAGTAATGTCGTTTTCCCGTGATCAACATGGCCCATTATAGTAACAACTGGGGACCTTGGGGTTAATAAAGCTGGATCTGCCTGGGGCCTACAATTAACAGCAAAAGAGTTTCATTTCTTAAATATCAGAAATACTTTATAGCCTGTGAATTGGTTCACATTTATCCCTGTGAACTACCATTAACAATAAAACCCAATATTCAGTGTGGATTAGACCTATTTCCCCCTCCTATACATATGACAGACTATTTAATAACTGCCTACCTACCTGTGGTTTGCATTTTCATAACAATGAGCAGAACTGAATCAAATTTGAAAATTCAGACCAATGTATACATTCAGCAAATTTTTAAAAAATCCTTAAAGTTTTATAATAACTTGAATGTATAATACACTTTCTAATGCTTTAAGTACTTCGAAGTTTATACACACATATCTTTATTACAAAAGAAATTTTAAAGCAAATCTTTCCATTAAAAAGTGTAAATATAACTATGTAGTCTCCCCCAAACCCTGCCAGTATATACAGTTAAGTTTTACCTTCTTACAGCATCTTTATTTTTTCTGACTTTGTCCTGTTTTAATTTACTCCACTTTAACTTCATCCCTGCCTTCGTTATCACTTCTTTGATCCAGACTTCATCTAAATGTGAGTCTGCTTCCAGTGAATCTATGTCAATATCAGTGTTCAATAAAGCTTCATATACATAATCTGATTGGAATAAAATAAAACCTTTTAGGATCATTAATTAAATGCTCAAGAAGTAATCTCTATTAATAAATGTCTATATAAACAGTACACTCAATGAGAGGAATAACTATGCAAACTGTTTCTCTAATATTAACAAATCACAAGGAAGCTAAAAAATGTTTTTTAATTATTTAAAATATGATACATTTCTATTAACTGACTTTTCCGCATATTCATAAATATTTGAATATTTATGTATTCTAAGCCATCTGAATCATCAATAAAACATTAAGATAAATTTAGTATTTATAATAATTGATTGTAGTCTATTTCTCTAAAAATTTAAGGTCACAAATGTCATGTATACACGAATGTGTGTGTGTATATACAATCAATTGCCATTATTTGCAATAATTATGTTCTATAAAGTCACCAAAACTATTGAATTAGCAAATATTGAACCACTGTTCTGAGGGGAAATATAGAGTTGGGTTCCTGCAAGCCTTTAGTCACATTTCATCAACTGATCAACACATAATTTTGTTTTATGCATTTCTGTTTAAAGATACTATATATATATTTATATATAGTATTATATATAATATATATTTATATATCTCAATATGATATATTATGTATAATATATATATATAAATCAAATATGTAAAATATTTATATATAAATACATATATTATATATATATATATTTGATTCATTAACATTGAACTCATGGCCAATTGCACTATAACTCATGCCAGAACAAGCTTATCTGAGATGCATATTTTCTCTGTAAGGCATATCACAGCCTTCTTGGGCTTAGGAACACTAGATAGGAATTCAGTACCACATTTAGGAGCCATTTTAAACAGCAAAATTACCAACAAAAAGCATAAAAATGTGAAAAAAAGTGACACTAAATAGAATACAAAAAGGACACTTGTTTGCAGTACGACAGCTGAAACAGTGTCACCTCATTCAACCTCAGCTTCAGAACATGCACAATGGACAACCCACATCTTTCACTGTTCTGCACATGTCCAATAATAACTGCAAGAGAACCTGAGTACTGATTTTTTTCTCTTTTTTTTTGGGACAGAGTTTCGCTTTTGTTACCCAGGCTGAAGTGCAGTGGGGCAATCTCGGCTAGCTGCAGCCTCTGCCTCCCAGGTTCAAACAATTCTTCTGCCTCAGCCCCCTGAGTAGCTGGGACTGCAAGTGCACGCCACCATCCCTGGCTAATTTTTCTATTTTTTGTAGACAGGGTTTCACCATGTTGGCTAGGCTGGTCTCAAATTCCTGACCTCAGGTGATCCGCCTGCCTCGGCCTCCCAGAGTGCTGGGATCACAGGCATGAGCCACCATGCCCAGCAAGTACTGATTTTTGAGCTGCAAATACATTTTGTTGAGTAGGTGAATTTTCAAATACAGAATCCACACCTAAAATAAATAATCCACTTATAATGAGAACTGATAGTATGTACAGACATACACACATATACACACACACACACACACACACACACAATATATATCTCTGAATACATGTATCCGCAATTCATTTACTTGTTTATGTATCTAGGGTGTCCAAAAAGTCTTTATTTTTTATTTTAAAAAAATTTTTGGCCAGGCACGGTGGCTCACGCCTGTAATCCCAACACTTTGGGAGGCCGAGGCGGGCAGATCACGAGGTCAGGAGTTCAAGACCAGCCTGGCCAATATGGTGAAACCCTGTCTCTACTAAAAATACAAAAATTAGCTGGGCATGGTGGCGGCACCTGTAGTCCCAGCTACTCGGGAGGCTGAGGAGAATTGCTTGAATCCGGGAGACAGAGGTTGAAGTAAGCCGAGATCACGCCACTGCGCTCCAGCCTGGGTGACAGAGCGAGACTCCATCTCAAAAAAAAAAAAAATTTTTTTTGAGACAGGGTCTTACACTGTTGCCCAGGCTAGAGTGCAGTGGCACAATCCTAACTCACTGCAGTAGCCTCAAATTCCCAGGCTCAAGCAATCCTCCTGCCTCGGCCTCCGTTATAGCTGGGACCACAGGTGCCACCACTACATCCTACTAATTTTTTGTAGAGAAGGGTTCTTGCCATTTTGCCCAGGTTGGTTTTGAACTCCTGGTCGAGCAATTCTCCCACCTTGGCCTCCGAAAGTTCTGGAATTACAGGTGTAAGCTACTGCACCCAAACCAAAAACTCTTGAAATATAGGAAAAATATTTACTTATTCTCTTTTTCATTTTATTTAATGTGCTTTGTTTTAATCTCAGTCATGTTTCCCTGCGGATGATAAATAAATGTATCTGTGATGATAATGAAATAAGTAGTTTTATGTTCCAGACTTGCAGTCACCCTATAAAAATATATTTAAAGAGTAGATATGAAAGAAGGCAGCCGGGTGCGGTGGCTCACACCTATAATCCCAGCACTTTGGGAGGCCGAGGTGGGCAGATCACCTAAGATGAGGAGTTTGAGACGAGCCTGGCCAACATGGTGAAACCCCATCTCCATTAAAAATACAAAAAATTAGCTGGGCATGGTGGCACGCACCTGTAATCCCAGCTGCTCCAGAGGTTAAAGCAGGAGACTCTCTTGAACCCGGGAGGCGGAGGTTGCAGTGAGCTGAGACTGCGCCACTGCACTCCAGCCTGGGCAAGAGTGAGACTCCATCTCAAGAAAAAAATAAAAGGAAGAAAGCCATCCTCAGATAAGCAGAACATTAAACTAAAAGAACATCCTATTCACTGGTATGCTGGCAAATGTTTAATAACTATGCTCTCAAAAATAAATCTCTAATTTACAGTATTCTCCAATTTCCATGGTGCAAATATGCCCACCATGGTTGATTACAAGCTACCAACATAAAGTCACTGAATGCAGTGTTGGGAGTCTTTTTACCATATAGATATGACAGGCATAAATAACCTTGAGAACACAGGTAATTGTAAAATGCAATAAAATAACTGGGAAGTGAAGAGTTGGTTTTGTTTGTTTGTTTGGGGTTTTCTGAGGCAGGGTCTCAGTCTGTCGCCCTGGCTGGAGTGCAGTGGCACAATCTCAGCTCACTGCAACCTCTGCCTCCCAGGCAGTCCTCCCACCTCAGCCTCCCAAGAAGCAGGAACTAGAGGCTCACATCACCATACCCAGCTAATTTTTGTATTTCTTTTGTAAAGACAAGGCTTCATCATGTTGCCCAGGCTGATCTCAAACTCTTGGGCTCAAGCGATATGTTTGCCTCAGCCTCTGAAAGTGCTGGGATTACAGACATGAGCCATCGCACCCAGCCAGTGAGTTTCTGAGTTTTTACTACCTTTGTGACTTAATTTTTTTAAATGGTTGTGTTTAACAACCAGCTCAAATAATTCCTTATAATTTAGCAATAAGCTCACAAACTGATGCAAGCCAGCACCAGCAAGCCACTGATTGTACTCCACAATAATGCCAAGAAACGATTTCCTATTTATCTTTCTACCACATGCTTTCCCAAGGAAACACATTTTAAGAATGATACAACTCAAATTTACTATGTGAATATGCTCTCAGAGAACTGTAAAACTATTTCAAAACAAAAATTATGAGTTGGTCAGGCATAGTGGCTCACACCTGTAATCCCACCACTTTGGGAAGCCGAGGTGGGTGGATCACCTGAGGTCAGGAGTTCGAGACCAGCCTGACCAACATAGTGAAACCCCATCTCTACCAAAAATACAAAAATTAGCAAGGCGGCTGGGCGCAGTAGCTCACGTCTGTAATCCCAGAACTTTGGGAGGCTAAGGTGGGTGGATCACCTGAGGTCAGGAGTTTGAGACCAGCCAGACCAACATGCTGAAACCTCGTCTCTAATAAAAATACAGAAATTAGCCAGGCGTGGTGGCACATGCCTGTAGTCCCAGCTACTCGGGAGGCTGAGGCAGGAGAATTGCTTGAACCCGGGAGACAGATGTTGCAGTGAGCTGAGATCGTATCACTGCACTCCAGACTAGGTGACAGAGCAAGCCTCTGTCTCAAAAAAAAAAAAAAAAAAAAAATTAGCCAGGCATGTTAGGCACCTGTAATCCCAGCTATTCAGGAGGCTGAAGCAGGAGAATTGCTTGAACCTGAGAGGTGGAGGTTGCAGTGAGCTAAGATCATGCCATTGCACTCCAGCCTGCACAACAAGAGTGAAACTCTGTTCAAAAAAAAAATTATGAGCACAATTCTATTTCTAATAATGGTAACAATACCTAATACTCTAGTTTTCCAATACATTATACTGAACTTTTGAGAGGTAGCTTACACAGAGAGATAATCATTTCCCCTCTGTGTTAAATGCATATGGTATTAACATACTATTTTAATTTTATCCAAGACTTAAATAAATATTTACATGTAGAAAAGTGTCCAACATATTGCAACAAGAAATAGTACATCAAGCTACTTAACTGACCCAGGAGAAGAGGGAATAAATGTACTCATATCGCTAATGTATATAGTAGTTAAAAATAATTACCTCATGAAAACTATCTTTAATTCAGAAGAGATTTGAATATGAAATAAGCTTCAAATAGACACATTTATTTTCATCATAGACAATCAGTTTGGGGTTTAGAGTACTGCTCCATGAGACTAAATTTGTATTTTAATCATTCTATTTATTAGTCATAATAAAGAATTATGGTTATGGGTTCCTCTATGTGTATAGGGGTAGGGGGTAATGTTTAAAAAAAAAAAAAGGAGTCCTCATCTTTTAGAGATACATACTGAAGTATTTATGGATAAAATAAAATATCTGTTGTCACTGACTTATGCATACATTTAAGCTTATTCCATTCTTTCTGCTACCATATTTGTCTGATAATTGCTAATAATAAAAAGTTTTGCCAGGCGCAGTGGCTCACGCCTATAATCCTAGCATTTGGAAGGCTAAGATGTGCAGATCACTTGAGGTCAGGAGTTCAAGACCAGCCCGGCCCACATAGTGAAACTCTGTCTCTACTAAAAATACAAATATTAGCTGGGTGTGGTGGCATATGCCTGTAATCCTAGCTACTTAGGAGGCTGAGGCACAAGAATTGCTTGAACTGGGGAGGCAGGAGTTGCAGTAAGCCAGGATCCTGCCACTGCACTCCAGCCTGGGTGACAGAGCAAGACTCTGCTTCAAAAAAAAAGTTTTAAAAATCAAGCCTATTATCAATACTATTTATAAAGCCACACCAATATAATTTTCCTTAGAAAAATTCTGAATGACATAGCCATATTCATTTATTTTCAAAGTTTTCTAGCTATAAAATGACTGAATAATCCATCTGCAAAATTATTAAAAATGCCAAACAGGCCAGGGATGGTGGCTCACGCCTGTAATCTCAGCACTTTGGGAGGCCGAGGTGGGCGGATCACCTGAGGTCGGGAGTTCGAGACCAGCCTGACCAACATGGAGAAACTCCGTCTCTACTAAAAATACAAAATTAGCCGGGCGTGGTGGCACATGCCTGTAATCCCAGCTACTCGGGAGGCTTGAGACAGGAGAATTGCTTGAACCCAGGAGGCAGATGTTGCAGCAAGCCGAGATAGTGCCATTGCACTCTAGCCTGGTTAACAAGAGTGAAACTCTGTCTCAAAAAAAAAAAAAAAAAAAGCCAAACAGTGTGCTAACAATTTTGTACTCTTTGTAAGGATGTACATGCACAAAAAGTAGTAACACTTTCAGGCAGGAAACACATTGAAGTTTAGCATTGCTGTGATTTACAAAATAATTATTGAAAGATAATGTGGTTGATGAGTAACAGCATGTGCTCTGGAGCCATATTCCATAGGTTCAAATATTCCCCATATTCCCTAGGTTCAAATCCTGGCTCTCCCACAAACTAGCTGGAAATAGTGGGTAATTACTTATCCTCTCTAAACCTCACCTTCCCAGCCTGTAAATAAGGATACCTAACTTTAGGGCATTGTGACAGCTCAACATATATGAGTCACTATTAATTCTTTTTTTCCCCAAGAGTCTGTTACACTTTGTTACAATAACAGGGTATTTCTCATATACTGAATTTTAATATCACTTTATAATGAAAACTCAAATTTTGTTTCAAAAATCCTAAATTGGTAATAAGCACATCACAATGAAGGAATATAAAAATGACAATAATATGCTCCATTTATAAATAAAAATAATATTATGAGAAGTTGTAGTTATTACTACCAGTATTTCTTTTTTTTTTTTAAGATGGAGTCTCGCTCTGTCGTCCAGGGTAGAGTGCAGTGGCGCGATCTCGGCTCACTGCAAGCTCCGCCTCCACGGTTCACGCCATTCTCCTGCCTCAGCCTCCCGAGTAGCTGGGACTACAGGCGCCCGCCACTAGGCCCAGCTAATTTTTTTTGTATTTTTAGTAGAGATGGGGTTTCACCGTGTTAGACAGGATGGTCTCGATCTCCTGACCTAGCCTCCCAAAGTGTTGGAATTACAGGCGTGAGCCACCGTGCCTGGCTACTACCAGTATTTCTCTGCTGGCCTTACAGATATTGTCAAAATGAGAGAAAAGGCTGGGCATGGTGGGATCACGCCCCTAATCCCATCACTCTGGGAGGCCGAGGCAGGCAGATCACTTGAGGTCAGGAATTTGAGACAAGCCTGGCCAACATGGTGAAACCCCGTCTCTACTAAAAAAAAAAAAAATTAGCCGGGCGTGGTTGTGGGCACCTGTAATCCCAGCTCCTCAGGAGGCTGAGGCAGGAGAACCACTTGAACCTGGGAGGCGGAGGTTGCAGGGAGCCGAGATCGTGCCACTGCACTCCAGCCTGGGCAACGAGAGTGAAACTCCATCTCAAAAAATAATAATAAAAAGAGTGAAAAAAAGGAAATCAGAAAATTATAGGGCCAGGCGTGGTGGCTCATACCTATAATCCCAGCACTTTGGGAGGTTGAGGCAGAAGGATTACTTGCACCCAGGAGTTCAAGACCAGCCTAGACAACATAGTGAGACTCTGTCTCTACAAAAAATAAAAAATTAGCTGGGCATAGTGGCACATGCCTGTAGTCCCAGCTACTCAGGAGGCTGAGGCTGAACGATTGTTTTGAGTCTAGGAGGCCAAGGCTGCAGTGAGCCATGATCATGCCACTATACTGGACAAAGCAAGACCCTGTCTCAAAAAAAAAAACCAAAAAAAAAAAAAAAGAAAGAAAAAAGAAAATTATAGAAAAACAAAAAGAGAAAGTATATAAGTATAGCCCCTCAGTCTAAAAACATTCTTTGGATTTATTCTAATAGCCCACAAAACTTCCGAGAAAGAAAACTTAATTCGTATAAGAAAATCTTTTCCACTTTAATTAAAAGCAAAATCTTGGAGAACTACATTTGGCAGTCAAGAAACTAACTAGGGATTATGACTTAAAGTGAAGAATATTACAATGACTTAATATATTTTTTAAGTGCCAGTCTAGTTTTTAATCTTTCAATGCCTTAATCTCGTTGCAAATAAAATGCCCGGTCTTCCAACATTCCCATATTTTGCTTTGTAAAAATATCTGACTCACCTGTGTTTTTTTCCATTGCCCTGGCCAGTTCCTCAATAGTCATTCCAATCCATACTTCTACCACCTTTTTAGATTTTGTTGAAGATAACTGAGATTTCCATGGTCCTTCTTCCTATTAAAAAAATCAGAACATATAAACAAAAAGGAAGAAAAAACTTAAGTGACAATTTAGATTTATTCTCAAATATCTACCACAATCATAGCTACATTTCTTTCTTTTTTTTTCTTTTTTTTTTTTTTTTTTTGAGACAGACTCTTGCTCTGTCACCCAGGCTGGAGTGCAGTTGCACAATCTCAGCTCACTGCAATCTCTGCCTACTGGGTTCAAGCCATTCTCCTGCCTCAGCCTCCCCAGTAGCTGGGATTACAGGTGTGCACCACCAAGCCCAGCTAATTTTTGTATTTTTTTTTTTTGTTTTTTGTTTTGTTTTGAGACAGAGTCTAACTCTGTTGCCCAGGCTGGAGTGCAGTGGCACAATTTCGGCTCACTGAAACCTCCACCTCCCAGGTTCAAGCGCTTCTCCTGCCTCAGCCTCCTGAGTAGCTGGGACTACAGGCATGCGCCACCATGCCTGGCTAATTTTTGTATTTTCAGTAGAAACAGGGTTTCGCCATGTTGGCCAGGCTAGTCTTGAACTCTTGATCTTGTGATCCGCCTGCCTTAGCCTCCCAAAGAGCCGTGATTACAGGCGTGAGCCACCACACCTGGCCTAATTTTTGTATTTTTAGTAGTGATGGGGTTTCACCATGTTGGCCAGGACGGTCTCGAACTCTTGACCTTGTGATCTGCCCACCTTGGCCTCCCAAAGTGCTGGGATTACAGGCGTGAGCCACCACATCCGGCCATAGCTACTATTTCTACCAACGAACACTCCCATAAGTAGTTAAACCTTAAGCTAAAATTAAAATCCTGTATCCTTAATTCACTGTTTTACACTGATTTCCAAGGAACCAAATTCATCAGCACCACACAATTAACCGGAACTTCCCTTTCTCACAAAGCTCTATTGCTTGGAGTAATACTTTATTGCATTAAGTAATAAATATTCTGTAAATGATAAATTACTCAAAATGGATTTGTACTCATGGTTCTAGGCACTTTCATTTTAGACCGAGTAATAAAATAACTTACAGAAATCTGTAACTATAGCGGGTGCGGTGGCTAATGCCTGTAACCCCAGCTACTCAGGAGGCTGAGGCAGGAGAATTGCTTAAACCCAAGAGGCGTAGGTTGCGGTGAGCTGAGATCGCGCCACGGCACTCCAGCCGGGGTGACAGGGTGAGACTCCATCTCAAAAAAAAAAAAAAAGAAATCTGTAACTACCTTTTTTGTTACTAGAAGCCTATACTGAGATAAAGCAGCCCCAGTGAGCACATCTGTTGGCCAGGGCCAGGCACACAGTTGAGCTGTCCACACAGGGTAAGCAGATGAAAACCCATGCCTCCACTGTCTTAATGCTCTTCTTTGACACAGACTGTGCAGTTGCCTATAAATAGTGTGAAATCGTAGCAAGTTCTCCAACTTCAGTAGCTTCTGGTTCATGTTTCTCCTGGGGAAAAAAAAAAGGTTTTAAAATAATATTCAAATCAAGTTAGCAAATATTAATTGGATATTTACTATATGCATAGCACTGGACTACACTTAGCTCACTAGACTTACAACAATGAGTAAAACTGGGTTCCTGCCCTGAAAAATCTCAGTCTCATCAAGAGATGGGATTCCATAACAAGTACTCTCTAAATACTAGCTATTATTATTACTGTTAATGTTACCACTATGATAGAATTGAAATACAATAACAACTTGTAAAAGGCTCTTTTTTCACTCTTGAAATATCAACTAACCAAATCACAACTAGAGTAATGTTTCTAAAGTGCGAATTCCAAATGATAACATTTCTGTTAAACACCCTGAAACTTCTTTTTTGAAACCGGGTCTCACTCTATCATCCAGGCTGGAGGCTGGAATGCAGTGGTATGGTCACAGCTCATTGCAGCCTCGACCTCCCAGGCTAAGGTGATGCTCTCACCTCAGCCTCCCTAATAGCTGGGACTAGAGGTGCGCACCACTATGCCCAGATAATTTTTTGTTTGTTTTTTTGGTAGAGATGGTGTTTCACCACATTGTCTAGGTTAGTCTCAAACTCCCGGGATCTAGTGATCCACCTTGGCCTCCCACAGTGTTGAAATTACAGGCATGAGCCACCATGCCCAGCCTTACTTTATTTCTTACACTCTTAGAGTCTCTACACTCCTACCTCTCAAGCTTTTGTTATTGTAACCCACCTGTCATCTCTAATGGTTTCTCATCTCAGCTCTGAAACTTTGCACACACTTCCTCTAGTTGGAATCGTCTTTGAACTCTTAACACTTTTCCATCTTCCCATCTCACCCCCTAAAAAAAGATGCTTTATAGTAGGAAGAAGACACCCAATATTTATTGAATAATGCCTTTTGAGTATTATTCTTAGAATAAAAGAAGAGTTTTTTTGAGAAAAAACTGTAACAGAACTCATTAGTAATATAGTTCTTTTCCTCCCCGTGGCCTCTATTGCCTCTGCTCTCAAGACTGCATTTCTATGGCTTTGCTTTTCAGTTTTTAAGGACAGGAACGACAAAAACAACGTAAAAAGAACATGTTTTCCAGCTGGGTGTGGTGGCTCATGCCTGTAATCCCAGCACTTTGGGAGGCCGAGGTGGGCGGATCACCTCAGGTCAGGAGTTCGAGACTAGCCTGGCCAACGTCGTGAAACCCTGTCTCTACTAAAAATACAAAAATCAGCCGGACATGGTGGCGGGCGCCTGCAATCCCAGCTACCCAGAAGGCTGAGGCAGGAGAATCACTTGAACCCGGGAGGTCGAGGTTGCAGTGAGCCGAGATCATGCCATTGCACTCTAGCCTGGACGACAAGAACAAAACTCTGTCTTGAAAAAAAAAAAAAAAATGAAGAAGAACATGTTTTCTTCTTAGGAAACATTTCCTAAGTACCATATGCCAGGCTTTCTGCTTGATATTGTTGATTCAAAGTTTAATAAGCCAGGTTCCATTCCACAAACAGTTCATTGTCGTTAAAGCAAGCTTGCCAATACAATGAATCTCAGGCACACGAGACACTACCTATGATGACTGATTATAACCTAGGGTCGTGTTTTCATTGCAATAATATGCAAAATTATTTCTATAAATTGTAAAGTCATTTTAAGGTTTTTTTTGTTTGTCTGTTTGCTTTTCAATGGAGAGTACATTTCCAAGTAGTGGGTATAGCCTTTTAGACTCTTCAGTATAGATTTTCTTTTACTCACTACTCAAAAATAACTTTAGTTAACATTTTAATATATATATTTTCAACTCTTTTCTTTGTGCTTTTATCTATTTTACTCACAAAAATAAGGTCATATTAATTTTGTTTTACAACTTTTTACACTAAAGAATACATTGTGAATATTATTTTATATCATTAAACATTACTAATCAGCCCTTTGTATCCATGTGTTCCACATTTGTGGATTCAAACAATTGTGGATCGAAAATTTTTTTAATTTTTTAAAAAGATGGTTCTGTCTCTACTGAATATGTACACCTTTTTCCTTGTCATTATTCCCTAAAGTATACTGTTTACATAGTATTTGCTTTGTATTAGGTATCATAAGTAATCTAGAGATGACATGAAGTATACAATGGTATGTGCTTAGGTTACATGTAAATATACGCCATTTTATATAAGGAACTTGGACATCTGTAAATTTTGGCATGCGGCAGCGGGGGTCCTGGAACCAATGCCCCATAGATACTGAGAGACACATATATTCTTCAGCATTACAAAAAAAAAAGAATGGAAATTATGAACTATTTCAATGCGTTTACCTTAACCATATAAAGCTATCTTGAACAAAATTATAAACTTTTACAAAGCCTTAAAATTTTTGGCCAGGCGCAGTGGCTCATGCCTGTAATCTCAGCACTGTGGGAGGCCAAGGCAGGCAGATCATTTGAGGTCAGGAGTTCGACGCCAGCCTGACCGACATGGTGAAACCCCGTCTCTATTAAAAATACAAAAAAATTACCTGGGCGTGGTGGCACATGCCTGTAGTCCCAGCTACTTGGGAGGCTGAGGCAGGAGAATTTCTTGAACCCGGGAGACAGAGGTTGCAGTGAGCCAAGATCACGCCACTGCACTCCAGCCGGGGAGACAGAGCGAGACTCTGTCTCAAAAAAAAAAAAAATTTTTTTTTAATGATTTATCTCATAATATGGCATTTCTACAATATGCTTATATTTTATATTTATATACAACATATATATTATATAAATATATTTATATTTTCTACTAGATAGTCTTTAAAATTGTTCACAAATGATAATAGTTATTTGATGTGACCAAAGAAATTAAGGCTCTGGACGGGTGATCTTTGCTAGATAACTAGGCATTAAATGCTACATTTCATTCTTTTTTTTTTTTTTTTTTTTTTCAGATGGAGTCTCGCTCTGTTGCCCAGGGTGGAGTTCAGTGGTGTGATCTCAGCCCACTGCAACCTCTGCCTCCTGGGTTCAAGCAATTTTCTCCAGCCTTAGCCTCCCAAGTAGCTTGAACTACAGGTGTGTGCCACCGTGTCAGGCTAATTTTTGTATTTTTAGTAGACACCGGGTTTTACCATGTTGGCCAGGCTAGTCTCAAACTCCTGACCTCAGGTGATCCACCTGTCTCAGCCTCCCAAAGTGCTGGGATTACAGGCGTGAGCCACCACGCCTAGCCTAAATGTTACATTTCAACCAATCTTCCCAAAGTGTATTTTATGGTTCTGACATAGTAAATGTATGGTTCTGACATGGTAAATAGAATATACTGAATTTTTTTTTTTGAGATGGAGTTTTGCTCATCGCTCAGGCTGGAGTGCAATGGCGTGATCTTGGCTCACTACAACCTCCACCTGCTGGGTTCAGGGGATTCTCCTGCCTCAGCCTCCCAAGTCGCTGGGATTACAGGTGCCTGCCAGCACACCCGGCTAATTATTTTGTATTTTTAGTAGAGACGGGGTTTCACCGTGTTGGCCAGGCTGGTCTTGAACTCCTGACCTCAGGTGATCTATCCGCCTTGGCCTCCCAAAGTGCTGGGATTACAGGCGTGAGCCACCGCGCCTGGCCTATACTGAATATTTTTTAAAAGAAAGAAAAGAAATGATAACAGAAACAAGTACAGTATAGCAAAGAAAGTATCTTATTAGGCAACAAAGGAACCTTAGGTGGACACTCACTCTGACAGTCAGTGTTATCTGGACTCAGCAAGTCACTTGTTTCCTATGGGCCTCATTTTCCGGATCTCTGTTAAAAATAAATAAATAAATAAGTGTTTGAATATCTGTCCTTCCTATTACAAGACTAAGAGGAGAAAATGAGATGATGTATATACTTTATCATCAGCTATTTTAAAACCATATCACATGTCTTGATACTCGCTTATAAGCTTTGAGGATTCATTGCTTATAAGTTAAAAATATTCACAAGTCATTAACTTGTTTACCTTCGGACAATTATGAGGTTGTGTATGTGTGTGTAATCGAGCAAGCATTTTACCTTAAAAGGCTTATTCGAGTAAAGATCAAGGAAAAATCTAACTTAATGCCAACGAAATAAACACATTAAGATTTAGAAATTCAGGCTGGGCGTGATGGCTCATGCCTGTAATCCTAGCACTTTGGGAGGTCGAGGCGGGCGGATCACCTGAGGTCAGGAGTTCGAGACCAGCCTGGCCAACATGGTGAAACCCCCTCTCTACTAAAAGTACAAAAATTAGCCGGGTACGGTGGCGGGCGCCTGTAATCCCAGCGACTTGGGAGGCTGAGGCAGGAGAATCGCTTGAACCCAGGAGGCAGAGACTGCAGTGAGCCGAGATCAGGCCACTGCACTCCAGCCTGGGCGACAGTGAGACTCTGTCTAAAGAAAAAAAAAAGAAGATTTGGAAATTCATTCAATAGTATTTACACACATTAAATACTTCTAAGAATGGCACATGGAAAATATCTTATTTACGTTTGTGCCCCTGGACCAAGAAGTAGAGTGCTCAGGTAACACAGGATTCCTTGAGAAAATAATTTTTAAATCAGTATGAAACCAGATTTGAGAAGAGCACAGATTAATGGAGTGGGAGGAAGGACCCTACGAGATATTAACCAAAGCACAGATATGTAATTGAGGCAGGAACTGGAAAGACACATTGGAGGCAATAACCCAAATGTCAAAACTGGAAGGAAACTTGTCACTTACTCCAAGCTCCTCATTTTACAGAAAAGGAAACGGAAATCCAGAAGGGTCAAAAAAGCTTCTCCAATGTCATACCGCTAGTTAATGGCAGTCAAGACTAGAACCCAGACGTTCTGACTCCCAGTACGGTGTTGTTTCGCCGCTAGGATATCCTTGTCAAGGAATCTGAAAAAAGTATGTTGCAAATACGTAGTTGCGTTAGGGAAAACGTCTGAATGTGAGCTGGAAGCTTTGGAACTTACCAGAAAGGTAAAAATAAATCACTGCAGAAAAATTACGGATCTGGGGTGGCTCGCCTCAAATTGGAGCCCAGAAGGCCTTGGGCCCATGGGAGGCTGGGAAGTGAGGACCTGCACCCACAGCCGCGCGCGAGGAGGGGAAGCCGGCCAGCCGCTTCCGAGAGAACAGTGCACATGCCTTCGTGAATGCCTAACGTGGGCTCACGCAGGGATTAAATGCATCTTGGAAAGGCTTCCGAACGCACAATGTTTATGAAGTTCGCGTGATTTGTGCCACTGACACGTTAGGCGAAACAACACACACCACCTGCACCGGACAACCCTGGTTAAGGGATCCTACCCACTTAACTCCTACCTACAGCCCCGGGCCCCTGGATTCTGAGCACGGGCGGAGATCACCTTCTGGACCCGGAAGAATGGTCGGTAGGTCAGTCCGTCCCCGCTACGGTCCCCGCCGGGCTTCCGGTCCCGCTGGAAAAGGTTCTTTCCGGAATTCAGAGAGTTGCTGTCGCCGCTGGGGGTGGGACTGTCTGCGGTGTCCGCGGCGGGCGTCCAGCCTGGGAGGCGCTGGTTCAACCTGTGGCTCCTCCCAGGGTCAGCCGCGCGTGGTGAATCGTTTCTGCAGGTCCCTTCCATTTCTTACTTTCCTTTCCTTTCTTTCTCTCTTTCCTTTTTTTCTTTCTGTCCCTCTCCTTTCTTTCCTTCCTTCCTTTCTTCATTTCTTCCTTCCTTTCCTCTTCCTTCCTTTCCGTTTTTCTTTCTCTTTTTTTTTTTTTTAAGAAAACTGCCTTTATTCAATTAGAAGTTGGAAAAATTAACTGGTACAGAAAAAAAGTGTAATCAGCTGGAGAAAAAGTGCCACCCATGAGAACTGATGGCTCCTCTGGGAGGGAATCTGGATACAGTGAGGATTTCTAGGAAGCAAATTACTTCTTCTCTGGGGCTATGAGAGGCCTCGGTGGTGCTTAACACTGTAGGAAACGTTAAATGGAGAATTGTGGGAGAAATGATACCTCCTTCAAAGATACGTGTTCCTAACAAGAAGGAAAAAACAAATGCAAGCGAACAGTGGCGGTAGAACCAGTTAGTATTGTGCGAACAGTACTTTCTGTTTTCTCCTAAGTCAGCTCGTGTGTATGGCATTAGGAGTAATAGAGCCAGAGTGCCTGGTTTCCTATCCCAGCTCATTCCTAGTGTGTGGTTGGGAATGTTTTGTCAACTGTCCATGTCCCAGTTTGTTCATCTACATTATAGTAATGACAGTAGCTAGTTCACAGGATTGTAATAAGGTTTTTGTTGTGTTTTTGTTTCTATTTGTTTTTGAGATGGAGTTTCGCTCTTGTTGCCCAGGCCGGAGTGCAATGGCACGATCTCAGCTCACCGCAACCTCTGCCTCCCGGGTTCAAGCGATTCTCCTGCCTCAGCCTCCCGAGTAGCTGGGATTACAGGCATGTGCCACCACTCCTGGCTAATTTTGTGTTTCTTGTAGAGACAGGGTTTTTCCATGTTGGTCAGGCTGGTCTCGAATTCCCTATTTCAGATGATCCGCCCACATCGGCCTCCCAAAGTGCTGGGATGACAGGCGTTAGCCACCTCTCCCAGACTGTTTTTTGTTTTTTTTGAGACAGTGTCACTCTGTCGCCCAAGCTGGAGCACAATGGCGCGATCTCGGCTCATTGCAACCAAACTCCGCTTCCTGGGTTCAAGTGATTCTCCCGCCTCAGCCTCCCGCGTAGCTGAGATTACAGGGGCACATCACCATGCCTCACTAATTCACCATGTTGGCCAAGCTGGTCTCGAACTCCTGACCTCAGGTGACTGCCCACCTAAGCCTCCCAAAGTGCTGGGATTACAGGCATGAGCCACCACGCCCGGCTGCAATAAGCTTTTAATGGGTTGATAAACTGTTGATAAGTAGTGCCTGGTTCATAGTATGTGTTTGCTGTTATGGTTATTACTGCCTGCCCCCAGAGCTTTCCCTCATCTTGCTTGGACATTATGACTTTCAGCTGGTCGTTTTGACCACAACCATCACCACCTCTCAAATATAAATATTGTTTTATTATCTCTGTCTTTTGGTAAAAGGAATTTGAGAAGAAAACAAAATCAATCAATTAATCTTTGTCTTTAAGATCTACCACTCCCCTGGGTAATTGGTATGGTACAGAAGTTCATTACTCAAAAGCATACTTGCCATTGAGGGAAGAGAGAGACCCTCTCATATTGTTTTATATTGTTTTATACTCAGTACCTGTTTTAAGAGAGAAAAAAGAAGTGAAATCAAAGACAGGCAGTCCGGCGCCAGGCCCAAAACCAGGCCTGGCTCTGCCTGGCCTAAACCCAGTAGTTAAAAATCAACTCAGGCTGGGCGCAGTGGCTCACGCCTGTAATCCCAGCGCTTTGGGAGGCCGAGGCGGGTGGATCACGAAGTCAGGAGATCGAGACCACCCTGGCTAACACGGTGAAACCCCGTCTCTACTAAATATATATTAAAAAAAATTAGCCGGGTGTGGTGGCGGGTGCCTGTAGTCCCAGCTACTTGGGACGTTGAGGCAGGAGAATGGCGTGAACCTGGGAGGCGGAGCTTGCAGTGAGCCGAGATGGCGCCACTGCACTCCAGCCTGGGTGACAGAGCGAGACTCCGTCTCAAAATAAATAAATAAATAAATAAATAAATAAATAAATAAATAAAATAAAAATCAACTCATAACCTAGAAACCGATGTTATTCATAGATTCCAGACATTGTATAGAACATTGTGAAACTCCCTGCCCTGTTCTGTTTGTCTCTGACCACCGGTGCATGCAGCCCCTGTCACGTACCCCTTGCTTGCTCAAATCAATCACGACACTTTCATGTGAAATCTTTAGTGTTGTGAACCCTTAAAAGGGACAGAAATTGTGCACTCAGGGAGCTCGGATTTTAAGGCAGTGGCTTGCCAATGCTCCCAGCTGAATAAAGCCCTTCCTTCTACAACTCGGTGTCTGAGAGGTTTTGTCTGCGGCTCATCCTGCTACACCATCATCTTACCTCCTAACTCATGCCCCCATCCCAACCTACCAACCTCTTTTTTTTCCCCACTTTCCCAATGCCTACTACAAAGGTGTGTAATCGGTGTTACTGAATGATTTAATGCAAACTCCTCTCCTGGACATTTTTTTTTTTTTGAGATGGAGTCTCACTCTGTCACCCAGGCTGGAGTGCAATGGCACGATCTCAGCCCACTGCAACCTCCGCCTCGCAGGTTCAAGCGATTCTCCTGCCTCAGCTTCCAGAGTAGCTGGGATTACAGGTGTCTGCCTCCATGCCCGGCTAATTTTTTTTGTATTTTTAGTACAATTGGCCTGGCCGGTTTTGAACTCCTGACCTGAAGTGATCTGCCCGCCTCAGCCTCCCAAAGTGCTATGATTCCAGGTGTGAGCCAGTGCGCTAGGCCTGGAAATTTTTTTTAACTGAACCTAACAGGCACAACAGTTGAAAACTATTGAAGTTTACTCCAACTGCTATCATTTTACCTACTACTCGCAGATATCTACTGAAGTTTAATTTCTGTGAGAAGTAATTCTTTGCTGTCTTACTTGGCTTGCAAGGCAGTTGAGAAACAAGCAGAAATCAGTTGGTAAACCATCAAAGTAGTTGCCAGATCTTTTTTCCACAATATTAAGGTGAAAATAACCATATATGCATCTATGTTCCTCTAATTTTCTAATCATTAAGATTTTCTAATCATGCTAATGTAGAAAATTCAAGCAATATACCAAAATATAGAAAGTAGCAAAAAAAAAAAGAAAAAAGAAGAGAATGAAAACAGTTAAAGGAACAGAGAAGCCAACCTGAAAGAGCTCCCAATGGCCAAAGCTGGAAATATTTGAGCAGCAAAATAACATAGTACCGGATTATAACCAAAAGTATCAACTAAGTATACATATGTTCATACTGATATAAATAAATAATTGAATAAATACATAGAGAAGGAACAAATCTTCCTTACAGAAGAATTCCAAATTTTATATATATATATATATATATATATATATATATATATATATATATATATATATAAAACCTTCACTAGGAAGTGAAGATTAATTCCTCTCCACCTTAGTGTGGGCGGGACTTACTAACTTGCTTCCAAAGAATACAATATGGAGGCCGGGCACGGTGGCTCACGCCTGTTAATCCCAGCACTTTGGTAGACCAAGGCAGATGGATCACGGGGTCAGGAGTTCCAGACCAGCCTGACCAACATGGCGAAACCCCGTCTCTACTAAAAATTAGCCGGGCATGGTGGCACGCGCCTGTAAGCCCAGCTACTCAGGAGGCTGAGGCAGGAGAATCGTTTGAACCTGGGAGGCGGAAGTTGTGGTGAGCCAAGTGCCGCTGCACTGCAGCCTGGGCAACAAAGCAAGACTCCGTCTCAGAAAAAAAAAACAAAAGAACACAGTATGGAAAAGGGAAAATAGTAACTTTACAGTGGAGAAACGTGGCAGACAATGCATGAACCAAGTGATCAAAGTGAACATCACCTGCAATGTCGTTTTAATATCATAGACACCCCCTGAAATGATGTGATGAGGACACTTTACCCCTGTAATATCCTTTTCAAAAACCCACAACCCTACTTTAATCATGGGGAAAACATCAGAGAAACCCAATTAAAGAGCCTTCTACGAAATACCTGACCAGTACTCTTCAAAACTGTCAAGGTTAGGAAAAGCAAGAAAGGACTCAGAAACTGTTACAGATCAGAAGAGACTAAGGAGACATAACAACTCAGTGCAATATGGTATCCTGGATAGAATCCTTTAACAGAAAAGCACATTAGTGGGAAAACTGGTGAAATCTGAATAATGTCTGTAGTTTAGTTAACAGTAATACCCCAATGTTAATTTTTTAATTTTCACAAGTGTATCATGATTAATGTAAGATGTTAACAAAATTGGGTAAAGGGCACTTGGGAACGCTCCACTATCTCAGCAACTTTTCTGTAATCTAAAATTATTCCAAAATTAAAAGGTTGATTGCTGGGTGCGGTGGCTCACGCCTGTAATCCCAACACTTTGGAAGGCCGAGGTGGGTGGATCACCTGAGGTCAGGAGTTCAAGACCAACCTAACCAACATGGAGAAACCCCATCTCTACTAAAAATACAGAATTAGCCGGGCATTGTGGTGCACGCCTGTAATCCCAGCTACTCGGGAGGCTGAGGCAGGAGAATTGCTTGAACCTGGGAGGTGGATGTTTCGGTGAGCTGAGATCGTGCCACTGCACTCCAGCCTGGGCAACAAGAGTGAAACTCCGTCTCAAACAAACAAACAAAAAAAGTTGACTTAAAAAAGAAAGAAAGGGCCAGGCACAGTAGCTCACACCTGTAATACCAGCACTTTGGAAGGCTGAGGCCAAAGGATCACTTGAGGCCAGGAGTTTGAGACCTGGACAACATGGCAAGACCCTTCTCTACAAAAAATAAAAAAATTAACTGGGCATGGTGGTGTACACCTGCAGTCCTATGCTACTCTGGAGGCCAAGGTGGGAGGATCACTTGAACTCAGGATTTCGGGCTTACAATGAGCTATGATCATGCCACTGCACTCCAGCCTGAGTGACAGAGTGAGACCCTGACTCTAAAAGGAAGGAAGGAATGCAGGGAGGGAGGAAGGAAGGAAAAAAAGATGGAGAGAGGGAGGGAAGGAAGGAAGGAAGGAGGGAGGGAGAGATGGAGAGAGGGAGGGAAGGAAGGAAGGAAGGAAGGAAGGAAGGAAGGAAGGAAGGAAGGAAAGAAAGAAAGAAAGATATCCTAAAACACGCATAAATATACATACAGATACAATGTATATTGGTGGCTCAAGCCTGTAATCCCAGCACTTTGGAAGACTAAGGCAGGTGGATCACCTGAGGTCAGGAGTTCAAGACCAGCCTGGCCAAAATGGTGAAACCCCCGTCTCTACTAAAAATACAAAAATTAGCCAGGCGTGATGGCGGCTGCCTATAATCCCAGCTACTCAGAAGGCTGAGGCAGGAGAATTGCTTGAACCTGGGAGGCAGAGGTTGCAGCGAGCAGAGGTTGTGCCACTGCCCTCCAGCCTGGGCAGTAGGGCAAGACTTTGTCTCAAATAATAATAATAATAATAATAAATATACATATGCATACAATTTTATATAAATGGGATTTATACAATACATGCTGCCTTTTGCCTTTTCAACAATATATAATGGAAATTGGCCAGCTGCAGTGGCTCATGCCTGTAATCCCAGATACTTTGGGAGGCCAAGGTGGAAGGATCACTTGAGGCCAGGAGTTCAAGACTAGCCTGGCCAAAATGGTGAAACCCTGTCTCTACTAAAAATACAAAAATTAGCTGGGTGTGGTGGCATGTACCTGTAGTCCTAGCTACTTGGGAGGCTGAGGTGAGAGGATTGCCTGGGAGGCTGAGGTTGCAGTGAGCCAAGATCACGCCACTGCAATCCAGCCTGAATGACAGAGGGAGACCCTGTCTCACAAAACAACCAAAAAAAGGTGTGAACTGTGTAACTTTGCAGATTATTGGTATTTATTCTAAGGAATACATGAAACAATTATGCATATATGTGTATATATGTGTGTGTGTGTATGTATATATGTATATATATGTATATATATATACATATATATGTATATATATATATACATATATATGTGTATATATATGTATATATGTATATATATGTATATATATGTACATATATGTATATATATACACACATATATATATATTCACCTAGAGAGAGAAATACACTTATAGCCTTATTTGTAATTATATTGAAAATTTGGAAATAACTAACATTAGGTCATTGGACATTGGATATTTCCAAATTTGGAGTTGGATACGTAAATGGAATATTATACAGCCATTATAAGTAATAAAGTAGATCTGTTGACATGGATACTTAGATGAAAACAGAAAAGCAGATTATAAAATATATAATTCTGTCTTGATCAGAAAAATTAGAAATAAATAGCATTACCAGCCTGAGCAACATAGGGAGACCCCCATCTCTACAAAAACTAAAAATATACAAAATTAGCTGAGTGCAGTGGTGTGTGCCTGGAGTCTCATATACTTGGAAGGCTGAGGTGGGAGAATTGCTTGAGCCCAGGAGGTCAAGGCTGCAGTAAGCTGTGATCATGCCACTGCACTCCACCCTGGGCAACACAGAGCAAGACCTTGTCCCAAAACAAACAAAACAAAACAATCTTTTAGAAATAAACAGCATTAGAGTATATACATTATGTGTCCAATGTGAATATTTTTATATACCTGTGATTTAAATTTTTGTATCTTCATATGTGGTCTAATTTTTTTTAACAATCTATATATATGTTGTTAACTTGTCTTTATTTTTAAAGCGTAGTATTAAAACATTTATTTAAAGAAATAGGGGGCTGGGCTTGGTGGCTCACGCCTGTAATCTCAGCACTTTGGGAGGCCGAGGCGGGCGGATCACGAGGTCAGGAGATCAAGACCATCCTGGCTAACACGGTGAAACCCCATCTCTACTAAAAATACAAAAATTAGCCAGGCGCAATGGCAGGTGCCTGTAATCCCAGCTACTCAGGAGGCTGAGGCAGGAGAATTGCTTGAACCTGGGCAGCAGAGGTTGCAGCGAGCCGAGATTGCATCACTGCACTATAGCCTGAGTGACAGAGAGAGACTGCATCTCAAAAAAAAAAAAAAAAATGCATGCAACTTGTTAGAAAAGACACTATTTTATGTTTGGGAAAAATACTGAATATGAGTTTGTTTTTAATTGAACTGGCCCTTTTTGTTCTTAAAGCCAACACATTCCAAAATATATTTATTGACATTTACTCAAATCAGTATTTACCATCAATAAGTAAATCCATCCAGCAGGGATAGAGGAATAATATGTGATTTCTGATCTCAACTTAATATTTTTATTAAAATTTATGCAAATATATATTACTTGCAAGTTAATTAAGGCATTAAAATCATAGGAAACTTCTCTTGGCCAGTAAGACTAGGACAGAAATTCCAAAGTAGTTCCCACAAACCTAATCCAGTTGAAGCAATCACTGAAATGCATGACTTAAAATATCCGTAGTCCATACATGCAAAGTAGGAAAAGTACCTCTGTTACAGCACTTTTGTATGGAAGTCAGTTTTCTTGGGTTGCTATGAGAACCACCTGCAGACCATGTAATAATATTGAATATATGGCCAGGTGTGGTGGCTCACGCCTGTAATCCCAGCACTTTGGGAGGCCAAGGCGGGTGGATCACCTGAGGTCAGGAGTTTGAGACCAGTCTGACTAACATGGTGAAACCCCATCTCTACTAAATACAAAAATTAGCCAGGCGTGGTGGCGGGCACCTGTAATTCCAGCTACTTGGGAGGCTGAGGCAGGAGAATTGCTTGAACCAGGGAGGTGGAGGTTGCAGTGAGCTGAGATTGTGCCACGGCACTCCGGCCTGGGTGACAAGACTCCGTCTCAAAAAAAAAAAACAAAAAAGGAAAAACAAACAAGCAAAAACCCCTGAATATGTGGCTGTATTCATTAATTTAGTGGTCTAGGTAGACCCAGAAAATTAAGTCTGATTTAAAGAACAACTCAGGGCAGGTCTTGTTCACCTGACCTTCTTCTGCACGCTTCCTGAATTGCAGTAATTGTGGCTCTCAGGAGTTACACATTGGGAGTTTACAACACAGCCTGGGCTCGGCTGTGTCTTCTGTAAACAGTGCTTGTCCAAAGTAAAGCTTCCTTATAACCACACAATTTTAAATGGGTGTTTTAAAGTGAACAAAAAAGAAAAAAACATGCTCCTTCTCTGCTTAACCCAGTTGTCGTCTACTATGTAGATTTTGTTCACATTGCATGAAACCAGTGTTTTCCCAGGCAAGCAAGCAATGTGTTCATCCATTTTACGGTTTAATTAGAAAGAAATTACATTCCATATAACCAGTTAACTGGTTATTACCTTTTTTTTTTTTGAGACAAGTTTCACTTTTTCCTTTCTTCCTTCCTTCCTTCTTTCCTTCCCACCCTCCCTTTTTCATTTCTTTTTTTTTTTCTTTCTTTCCTTTTTATTTTTTGACTGGGACTACGGGCATGCACCACCACGCCCGGCTAATTTTTGTATTTTTAATGGAGGCAGGATTTCACCATGTTGGCCAGGCTGGTCTCGAACTCCTGACCTCAGGTGATTCGCCCTCCTTGGCCTCCCAAAGTGTTGGGATTGCAGGCATGAGCCACCATGCCCGGCCTGCTATTTCTTCAGAGGGTGATCTCTGCTGCTGTTCTAATTTCATTCTTAGAAGGAAACATACTGAAAAAACTGAGCCTACCACACCTTAAAAACCAAAGTAAATTTTAAATAAGGAATTGAATATTGTTAAGAAAAAGAAAAGACTGAATATTCTATTGTTAGAGGTTAACTTTCTAAATTTAGATCAGAATAAAAAGAATGACATTTAGTTATGTAAAATTGGGTAACTTTTGTACATAAAACGGAACTAAAACCAACTGAAGGATATATGACAAAAAGCTCATAATTTCATTATATGAAGAGCTTGTATAGGAAGGTAAAAACCACTGATATTCATTCAGTGGCTAAATGAGCCAAGAGATGATGAACAAGCTAATTCACAAATGGGGAAATAAAATAATAAACATGGAAAAGTGTCCAGGGCCTTCATAATCAGGGAAATGCACATTAAATGAGGTACATTAAATTTGTCCAATAAATTTGCAAATTAAAAAATATATACTGTAAATTTGGGCAAAAATATAGTAAAATAGATTAATTCATACATTGCTAATTATACATTATAATAATTTTTGGAAAGCAACTTAGAATGTTATGATTCACTAACAACAAGGATGTCCACCAATATGGAGATGGTTAAGAAAATTATTAGATTGGTGCAAAAGTAATCGCGGTTTTTGCCATTCAAAGTAATGGCTAATATCAGCAGGGCACGGTGGCTCTGGGCGTTTTGGGAGGCCGAGGTGGGCGGATCACTTGAGGTAAGGAGTTCAAGACCAGCCTGGCCAACATGGTGAAACCCCATCTCTACTAAAAATACAAAAATTAGCCCGGCATGGTGGTGTGCACCTGTAATCCCAGCTACTCACGAGGCTGAGGCAGGAGAATCGCTTGAATCTGGGAGGCAGAGATCACGCCACTGTACTGTAGCCTGGGTGATAGAGCTACCCTGTCTGAAAACAAAAACAAAAACAAAACATAATGGCTAATATGACCCAGCAACACAATATATCTTTATTAAAGAAAGACACTGTGGCAACAGAGGAAAATGCTTATAAGTAATAAAAAGGCAGGACACAAAATTTAATATGTAGGAAGTTTCAACTATCTGAAAAATTCATTATGTATAGCCAAAATAACAAGAATAAAGGAAACAAGACTGGAAAGATACACCAAAATGGCAATAACATTGCTGTGGGGAAAAGAAAGAGAGATCAGATTGTTACTGTGTCTGTGTAGAAAGAACTAGACATGGGAGACTCCATTTTGTTCTGTACTAAGAAAAATTCTTCTGCCTTGAGATGCTGTTCATCTATAACCCTACCCCCAACCCCGTGCTCTCTGAAACATGTGCTGTGTCAACTCAGGGTTAAATAAGGGCTGTGCAAGATGCGCTTTGTTAAACAGATGCTTGAAGGCAGCATGCTCATTAAGAGTCATCACCACTCCCTAATCTCAAGTACCCAGGGACAGGAACACTACGGAAGGCGGAAGGCTGCAGGGACCTCTGCCTAGGAAAGCCAGGTATTGTCCAAGATTTCTCCCCATGTGATAGTCTGAAATATGGCCTCGTGGGAAGGGAAAGACCTGACCGTCCCCCAGCCCGACACCAATAAAGGGTCTGTGCTGAGGAGGATTAGTTTAAGAGGAAGGAATGCCTCTTTGCAGTTGAGACAAGAGGAAGGCATGTGTCTCCTGCCCGTCCCTGGGCAATGGAATGTCTCCGTATAAAACCCGATTGTATATTCCATCTACTGAGATAGGGGAAAACCGCCTTAGGGCTGGAGGTGGGACATGCGGGCAACAATACTGCTCTGTAAGGCATTGAGATGTTTATGTGTATGCATATCTAAAGCACAGCACTTAATTCTTTACCTTGTCTATGATGCAGAGACCTTTGTTCATGTGTTTATCTGCTGACCTTCTCTCCACTATTATCTTATGACCCTGACACATCCCCCTCTCCGAGAAACACCCAAGAATGATCAATAAATACTAAGAGAACTCGGAGGTCAGCGGGATCCTCCGTATGCTGAACGCTGGTGCCCTGGGCCCCCTTATTTGTTTCTCTATACTTTGTGTCTTTTTCTTTTCCAAGTCTCTCGTTCAACCTAATGAGAAACACCCACAGGTGTGGAGGGGCAACCCACCCCTTCAATTGCATGAGCACCATGAGATTCTGAGTGATCTTTCCCCACTTTCCTGTTTTCTAAATCCTCTGTAATGTGATACATTGCTTTTGTTGTTGATCTGAATTTAGCAGGCCATGGGAAGTGTGGCCTGTTGATCCTGTAATCAGAGATCAAATAATTAGATGGAGTTTTTGAAGGGAAACCATGATTTAATCATTAAAGAGGTAGGTTAAACTGAGACATTTTGAAATTGTGCTATCCAAGGCCAATTCTGGGTGAAACTGTGAGGTTGACTTTGAATTCCTCCTCTTTTGTAGCTTCCTCCAGGGCTGCAGGTAAGGACTATGACATTTTACTGTGTCTTAAGAGGCTTCCTTCTCCAGCCGTTCAGTTTGCACCCCAGAAATGACCCATTCACACTAAGGTTAAATATCCTTAGGTATATCTATGTGTTATCTGGGATTCGAGCCTTAATCTAAATTCATAAATGAACTTCTAAGGTGGAATTCCAGGCCTCATTCAAGTGGGGAGTGTTTCCCAGGATAGCTGTGTTTGAAATGCTTGTTCCCCGGTGCTGTAAAGAAATAGCACTTGAACATTAATTTATTTAGTAAGGCCATTTTTACTTCCTGCAGAAAGGGTACACTTGCCAGCAGTTTTGCCAGGAGAGTACACCCAACAAAGGAGACAGGGTCATTTATAACCTGACACGTCCTCCGTACTGCTGTGTCCGGTTTCCATTGGCTGGAATGGGACCTCACATTCTGTATTTGTCTTGATTGGCTAGCAACTTAGAACTTTTTAAAAGAGGCAAAGATAGAGGAGAACAAAGGAAGTAACTTATGGAATGCTGAGAAAGGTAAGAACACTTTTAAATAAGGAAGAGGAATACGCTATGACCTAATGCTTGCTTGGACCAGTATAAGCATGCCAGGGCAAATATTTAGGCTAAATTGTGGGAGCTAAGAACATAAAGTACACTGATTTGTTTATTATGGCTAGCAGATATTTAAGAATGTTTGCAAGGGTCTTTGAATAAATTTTGCTTCTAAGAGAAGTTACTATTTATTCCTAATTAGACGGGGAGGAAAGTCTTTGAAGAGGAATAGCTACTTTACTTTTTACAGCTGGAAACACCAAGATAGCTTAAAACCACCTGGAGGTAGTCAAACTACCTTGGGAAAAGGTGAGTCATAGTTGGCACAGTCAATTATTCTTAGATCAATAATAAGAACTGTCAGAAAAGGTAAAATGTAAAATTATAATTTACAACAAAAGAAGTTGAAAAGCCTTAGAACAGTATGGATCTGGGCCCCTTCCACACTCCCTAATCTGGGAGTTACTATGTGGGTTTGATTGACTATTGATTATTTATTTATTTTTAGAGACACGGTCTCATTATGTTGCCCAGGCTGGTCTCAAACTGTGGACTCTGAGCGATCCTCCTGCCTCAGCCTCCCAAACTGTTGGGATTACAGACGTGAGCCACCGGGCACCGCCTGCCTATCTGCGGTTTAAACAATAAAAGCGGCGGGAAGCGGTGGTTCAGTCCTGTAACCCCAACACTTTGGGAGGCTGGAGGATCGCTTGAATCCAGGAGTTCGAGACCAGCCTGGGCAACAAGGCGAGACCCTGTCTCTACAAAAAGTACAAAAATTAGACGGCTGTGGTTGCTGGTGCCAGTAATCCCAGCTACTCGGGAGGCTGAGGCGGGGGAATCACTAGATCCCAGGAGGCGGAGGTTGCATTGGGCCGCGATCGCGCCACTGCACTCCAGCCTGGGTGACAGAGCAAGGCTGCGTCTCGAAAAACAAAAAACTCCCAAACCGTCAACAGAAGATATGGTGATCTGGGAAACTTGAAGTGGGATCAGGGAGGGCTGTGAGATCGCAGGCGCCGCCCCGCAGCGAGGCGCCTGTTGAGAGCTCCCGCAGGCCTTCGCAAGCCGGAGCCCTCAGCGGACGATGTTCAGGGACTAGCGGGCGAGGCGCTCAGACAGGGCGGACCCGCCTTCACCAGGCACCAGCACTACGCTGCCGGCGTCGGCCGAGATCCCTCTGGGCAGTTCCGCCTCAGGCTTCGGTCTGCGCAGCCGCGGGAAGCCGTGCCGTTTTTCCGCCCATCGCCACGATAGCGGCTCCACGGCGGGCGCGGAGTTGGGAGCGGCGCTCGAGCAGCGGCTCGGTGCCCTGGCCATCCACACTGAGGTCGTGGAGCACCCCGAGGTGAGGCCCCTAGAAGCGACCGCCGAGACAGGCCCAGCGGGGTGGGCTGTGCTGCACGTCCGTCGGGCGAGGCCGCTGAGATCAGGTGTCCCAGGGTCAATGTACCGTGAGAACGTCGCTCCTGGAATATTTCCCCGGTCTCAAAATACGAAAGTGACCCTGCAGGGACAGCAGAGGACTTCCATCTTGGGACCATGAGGTTACTGCACGGAAATCTTTACTCTTGGGAGTGATCTGCTTACATTCCGTGTTGAGAACCAGCACAACATACGGAGGACTGTGCATCTTAAATCGGTCTGGGATGCTGGGTCAGTTTGTCCACTTTTTGTGTAGATAAAATAAGCAAGTGGTTAATAGTGTGTTCAGTAGGTACGACGTATCAGGCACCATACATAGAGCAGGACACTGAGGTTCACAGTGATATTTTTCTACTGTGGTCAGGGTTGATCACAAAGTATGCAGCATGGCAGAAACCACCACCACCCGTAAAGTGCTTACCAAAATTGACATGCCTGTATTTTCATAAATTGTAACATTTGTTGTGTTTTGATAGAAAGTCTTACTTGCATTTATTTTATTTATTTATTTATTTGAGACAGAGTCTCTGTGGCCCAGGCTGGAGTGCAGTGGTGCGATCTCGGCTCAATGCAACCTCTGCCTCCTGGGTTCAAGCGATTCTCCTGCCTTAGCCTCCCGAATATCTGGGACTACGAATATCTGGGACTACAAGCGCCCGCCACCACGCCTGGCTAATTTTTGCATTTTTAGTAGAGACGGGATTTCGCCATGTTGCCCTGGCTGGTCTCGAACTCCTGACCTCAGGTGATTCTCCCACCTGGGCTTCCCAAAGTGCTAGGATTACAGGCGTGACCCACCGCGCCAGACCACTTGCAAATATTTCACAGAGCCAATGTGTAACTTGAGTGGTGCAAGGACATGAAGTTTACCCAAGGCTTAACAGTTGATAGATAATGGCTAAATATGGTGATCTTCAAAGAGTAGAGAAATATAGTTAGTATTCCTCACCTTCACAAATACAACATCAAAACCGTAATCCTTTTCTGTGACCTTCCTCCCTCCCATATAGTCCTATATTCTCCCCCTTCTTTATGTGTGCGTATGCCAGCTTTTCTGATGTTCTGTTAGTCTGGGTTCTTATTGCCTCCCCACTCACGTTCTTTGTGGTTACATATTTGTAGAATGGAGGTTGTCACATGGTCTGGACGTAACGGAATGCTAAAGAATAGGAGTCTAGAACTGCTGTAAACTTTCAGTAACCAAAAGCTTAAATTTAGAAATAAAAAGCTGCTGAGGAGTGAGATCTTGGCAAGTACATTGGAATACAAAACTGGCCGAAGAAACTGCCTGAGGTCCTGAGATGAGGAAATGAGATGGCATGGGCTTATAAGTAATTATTTGGTAAAGGGGTGAAGATGGGTCTTTAACAGTGAAATTCAGGGCGATAGGCACTCCCAAACCTTGCTGTTTTCACCCAGCAGGCAAAATAGGTATAAACGTGTGCATATGTAAACATGCATATTACTTTAAAACTTACTGATATCTTATAGCTATTTACAGTTGAAGAAATGATGCCTCATATTCAACATCTGAAAGGAGCACATAGTAAGAACTTATTTCTTAAAGACAAAAAGAAAAAGAATTATTGGCTGGTGACAGTTCTTCATGATAGACAAATTAATTTAAATGAGCTTGCCAAGCAGTTAGGTGTTGGGAGTGGAAATCTGCGATTTGCTGATGAAACAGCCATGCTAGAAAAACTAAAAGTTGGTCAAGGCTGTGCCACACCCTTGGCACTTTTCTGTGATGGTGGAGATGTGAAGTTTGTTCTGGATTCTGCTTTTCTCGAAGGTGGACATGAAAAGGTGTACTTTCATCCAATGACCAATGCTGCAACCATGGGATTGAGCCCTGAAGACTTTCTCACATTTGTGAAGATGACAGGACATGATCCCATAATACTAAATTTTGATAAAAACAACTAATTGGGCCAATGTTTAGAATAAATTTCTTTCTGAAAGCTGTTTTTCTTATTTGTAATTTATAAAAAGCATTGAAAGTGTAAGAATATTTGGTATCCTTAGTTTGGTGACTATCTAAACCACTTTAGGAGGAATATAGTATTTCATCTTGAAAGAGCTGTTTTTTTTTGAGACGGAGTTTTGCTTTTGTCGCCCAGGCTGGAGTGCAGTGGTGTGACCGTGGCTTCCTGCAACCTCCGCCTCCTGGGTTCAAGCGATTCTCCTGCCCCAGCCTCTGAAGTAGTTGGGATTACAGGCACACACCACCACTCCCAGCTAACTTTGTAATTTTAGTAGAGATGGGGTTTCACCATGTTGGCCAGGCTGGTTTCAAACTCCTGACCTCAGGTATCCACCCACCTCGGCCTCCCAAAGTGCTGGGATTACAGCCGTGAGCCACTGTGACTGGCCCTATAAAATAGCTCTTTTTAAAAAGATGTATGGAGGTACTTTTAGTCAGCTCAGAGATTCAGTTTTCCATCTCCCATGACAACTACTTATTATAGGAATGCCTCCAACAATTAAAAATACTTCAAAGATTAACCAGCTTACATCTTTAGGGTGCTTATTGTACTTGAAAAAAGCAAGTTGCAAAACAGTATGTATAAAATTATGATAGTGTACATAATACAAGGAAAAAATCAAAAGGAATATAGGAATGTATTGTTGAGGCCAGGTGCAGTGGCTCTCACCTGTAATCTCTGCTTTTGGAGGCTGAGGCAGTAGGATCAGTTGAGGCCAGGAGTTTCAGACCCGGCTGGGCAACAAAGTGAGAGAACCCCCTTTCTACAAAAAATTGAAAAGTAAGCCAAGTATGGTGGTTCACACGTGTAGTCTTAGTATATTGGGAGGCTGGATCACTTGAGTCCAGGAATTCAAGGCTACAGTGAGCTATGATCACAGCACTGCACTGCAGCCTGGGTGACAGAGTGAGACTTTGTCTTTAAAAAAAAAAAGTGTTGATAGTGGCTATTTTTGGGAAATGGGGATTAAAGAATAAGAACTCCCTAGCAAGATAATTAAAACAAACATTGAGGCAAAGGTAAACACTTTCCATTATTGGGGTTTGTTTATAAACCAGTGATTTTTTTTTTTCCCAGTGAAAAATAAGCTAATTAACTTTCTATGAAAATGTATCTTTACAAAATTTTAATCCAGAAAAACAGCTAGGGGGGAATATGTTATGTCATAATCATTGTACTATTAAATTTACAGGCCAGGTACAGTGGTTCACGCCTGTTAATACTAGCACTTTGGGAGGCCGAGGTGGGTGGATCACCTGAGGTCAGGAGTTCGAGACCAGCCTGACTAACATGGCGAAACCCCGTCTCTACTAAAAATACAAAAATTAGCTGGGCATGGTGGTGTGTGCCTGTAGTCCCAGCTACTCGGGAGGCTGAGGCAGGAGAATCACTTGAACCCAGGAGGCAGAGGGTGCAGTGAGCCAAGAATGCGCCACTGCACTCCAGCCTGGGTGACAGAGTGAGAATCTTTTTCTTTTTTTCTTTAAAAGAAAAAAAAAAGAGAGAAAAGTTATATTTATAGGCTGGCCTGATGGTAGTGAGTTATCTCAACTGATTGTTCAGTCAGTTACAGATGGAACTCCTTGTTCCACTCTTTCCTCCCTTTCCACTACTACACTTGACTAATCTTAACAAAATATTACATTAAAAAGTGTAGTAATGGAATATACATTATGTTATTAAAAAGGATTTGAGGCCAGGTGTGGTGGCTTATGCCTGTAATCCTAGCACTTTGGGAGGCCAAGGGTAGGGGCAGATTGCTTGAGCCCAGGAGACTGGTTTGGGCAACATGGTGAAACGATGTCTCTACAAAACACATAATAGCTGTGCACGATGGCATGCACCTGTAGTCCCGGCTACTTGGGAGGCTGAAGTGGGAGGATTACTAGGAAGTCCAGGCTGCAGTGAGCAGTAATCCTGCCAGTACACTCCAGCCAGGGTGACAGGGTGAGACCCTGTCCCCCACCCCCCAAAAAAGGATTTGTTTAGTCTTTGTTCAGAGATTAGAAATGTGAACATACAATTAGCCAGGCGTGGTGGCGCATCCCTGTGATCCCAGCTACTTGGGAGGCTAAGACAGGAGAACTGAAAGAAATGTGAACATACTTTCAGAAAGAAATGTGAACATACTCGTCCAAGTTTCTTCTGTCCTCCAGGCTATACTGAAGTTTTACTCATCCCCTTTCAGTTGTTTTTTTTTTTTTTTTTGAGTCAGAGTCTCGCTGTGTTGCCAGGCTGGAGTGCAATGGCACGATCTTAGCTCACTGCAACCTCCGCCTCCCGGGTTCAAGCGATTCTCCTGCCTCAGCCTCCTGAGTAGCTGGGACTACAGGCATGCACCACCACACCCAGCTAATTTTTGTATTTTTAGTAGAGACAGGGTTTCACCATGTTGGCCACGATAGTCTCGATCTCTTGAACGCGTGAACCGCCTGCCTCGGCCTCCCAAAGTGCTGGGGTTACAGGCGTGAGCCACCATGCCCGGCCTACTCATCCCCTTTCAGTTCTGGCATCTGAGACAATATAAAATTGCAGGAAAATCTGGAGTCATCTGTTATATAAAAGCTAGTTCAAAAACAGAAAAGTTGACATTTTTTAAACTTCACTTAAATGTAAACAAAATCCTTCATTAGTGGAGTGAGGATCTGATGTAGGCTATTCCTCTTCTTGTGGTCATGAAAATTCTAGTATTTCCTTCTAGTACAACCAAATGGGACTGTCTTTTGTTTCTGTTTTTGTTTTTTTCTGAAATGGGATATTCTTTAAGAACCACATTTTCCTAAGTTTGATCATTCAAAAAGTAGTTTCCATCTGGTAGAAATATTGTACTTAGTTTGTACCAAGTTGTGTTACTAAAAGGCAAAATAAAAGTAATGACTTTATTCTAAGGTTCCTCTTAGTTTTTACATACTCGGTATTCTATCTCTAACACAAAGTAGCCGTTTTAGGTTGCTTTGCATATGAAATGAAGGTACTAATGAATACACAGAAATTAAGTACCTTAGGTATCTGGTCTAATTGCCCTCCCCACCTTATAGTGAAAACAGGCCCAGAAAAACTGACCAGCCCAAGGATGAGGCCAGTTCCTTTGTCTCCCAAAGTCTAAGTGAAAATGGGAGATTCATTTGTGCAATCTATTAGATTACATTTAAACCTATTTTGGGACTGATAAAATTGACAGATGCTCTTTCTCTCCAAACCCCTAATACTTATCACAAAATGATATGACAGAATCAACTAAACAAGGTCATGGGTTATGTCTGACGATAGTTCTCTAGGGAAAATGGAAAGAAATAAAATAACACTTGGCTAAAATGATATCATTTTTAAATGATTACTAACCAGTTGTTACAAAAATCACCTCTTGGTTTTATTTCTTTTTATATTAGTTTGATACGTGAATGTTAGTCCAACTTAATTTTTGAAGGAGAAACAAAATGAAAAATGTTTTTTAAAAAACAAACAGTGGTATCTCTTGTCATGAGTTGGATGCCTGTGACTGACATCAGGTATTGCCAAGTAATAAACATTTTGCCATTCAACTCTAAATCCCTTATTAGCATTAGTTTTAAAGGAAATGTTACAGCTTTTATATTATTTGATTTGGTATTTAATAACAGTTATAAGTACAATGGTAGACACTGAAAAAGAAAACCCTTAATAGAAAAGAAAAAGACAATTTAAAATTAGATTTTGTTGAAGGGTGTTATAAGTGCAACTTTATCCATATGCATTCCTTTTAAGGCATTTTCATTGTCCAAATATCTCAACATGTACATCAAGGTTTATATTATAAAATGGGCTCCTTTTGTATTCATTCAAGACTTAAAGAAAAAATACATCTCAGGACTAAGTGTAGCTGAAAAGAAAAACACAAAAATTCACCACTCACAAAAAGTAACTTAAAATACAAAAGTCATTTAGTATACATTATTACTCCCCATTGTAATTCCAGATTTGGTACAGTATCTTTTTCATTTCCTGACATAAACCATTAAGACAGCACAGGCTGTAGTACTTCATTGTGAGGTGGCTACAACTCTATAATATGCACAGTGATTTTAAAATAGGCTTTTTGCATGCCTTGCATGAAAGGTGCTACATACAAACCTGTTTTGTGAACTCTTTGGTAACCACCAATTTAAAAATTTGGATGAAAGCATTTCCACATGGACAGATCTGAAGCACATTATTGGAGCTCTGAGCCAAAGCTATTACCCTGTATATTGATTCTTCAGTTTCCTTGAGGGGTTAGGTGTTGATTTAGAATACAGCCAGATAATTTAAAGCATGTCAGGCCCCGGTTAGGAAAATGAAAATGGCTCCGATTCGTTTCCAGTTGGCTTTATTATTGTTTGGCAGAAGTTGTTTAGGGGAGAAGAGTGGCTTCCTACAAAGTTTGCTTCTCAAGGTATACTGGAGAAAGTAAAATATTCATGTGGTTACTACTGTCTAGTCGTTTCTTGAAATGGTATGAAAAAAGTGTGATGAATATAATTGAGATTATTCATATTTTTGTAGTCTCAATGTGTTCCCTTGGTTGTCTCTTTAATTGTCCCTTCTCAGGGTCAGCCTACTCAGATTCAGTACTTTACACGTTGTTTTCAGCATTTTCTGCTTGAAGCACTAATGCACTTAACCCAGCATGTTCTGTATTTTAGGATATTAGTGTTCTGGAGAGGTCAAGCTGTAATGTCATTCGCCCTCATTGGGCTACATCACCACCCATTAAATTTCAGCTTTTCAGTAATTGTTCTGGGATGTGTTCTAGTTGTGCAAATTAGATGCTAGCTAATATAAATCTAAGTTACCCACTAACTGTATTTAGCCATAACATAATTTCTATGTTTACTTTTATCCACCTAAAAATGAATGTACATTTTTTGACATGCAATTGTCTCTAGACTGCTCTGATACCTATTACCAATGTGCTACTTGAATCCAGGGAGTTATGAGAGAGAGAGATGTTTCAAAGTCTACGGAAAAGGTTTTAGATATTTCTGTTGTGCATTATTTTTGTATGTTAGTAAGAATCCTTTGTATTTCCATTTACATAGCACCTTTCATCCAAGATTTTCAAAATGATTTAACGTTAACAGCATTTGGTGGTAAAACCTAAGTTACCGGTGGCATTGAAGTACGTAAGTAAGCTCAAGTTCTCTAAGTTCCATTTCAATTTAAACATGCTCTCTTTTTTATTGATGGTCTTTTGGAAATTAGACTGTGAACACAACATTGCTACTGGCCTACGAAAGAGAGAGAGAAAGAGGGAGAGAGAAAGAGAGAGAGAGAGAGAGAGAGAGAGAGACTTTTCTTATGGTTACTGGGTTAGTGATGAAACCCACAACTCATAAACCACACACTATGGAATATGGAATTATTCCAAAAAGTTCTTCAGAGCTGGTAATGAAAGCCTAAGAAGTACACTGTTAAAATTTTAAAAAGTCAGTATGTTTCTCATTTCAGACCTTGAAGATTACTCTGATATTGATGTTAAATAATGAATTTGCATTAATGAGTATCAATGCATTTTTTGATTTCATAAGAAAATAAAACTGTGATATAAAATTGGAACTACTAAAAAAATTGATGTTTCCCTGGGTTAACTAAATCTATTTTTTTGTGCTTCTTCCAAATGTTTAAAGGTAACAAATGCATACAAATATTTCAAAAGTACCAATAACAGTTATCAACTTTAATGTAATATCATAAAGGAGAAAAAAATCATTAATAAATGATAGCCTTAATTATAAATGAGTTTCTGGCAAAATGCAGATCATAGTAACTTATTTACATTATTTTTGCCATAAGAAAACTTCTTAAGCAACAGTCAGCTCTCAAGTTAAAAAAATGCACACGCATACATAACCCAATACCAAAGAAAAGAAATGAGTTAAAGCACAACAGCTTTATCTTGGGAATGCCATTTGCTGAAAAACCATCTTACTAAAAAAAAGTTTCAGAAAAACACTCTTTACCATGGGTTAACTTATGAATGCTTAGTGTTGCTTAATGGGAAATATGGAAAGATTAATATCACTATAAATTTTTTATAACTCCTATTTCATTATGGATTTTTCAGATTTATCTTATAAACTGAATTTCTTTTGCATCAAAATAATTGGCTTTAAGAAAAAAAAAGTATCAACACATGCAGTCTGCTAACCAAATAAGGCTCTGACATGCCAAAACAATTTTCTCTGTATCTTGCTATATAGTACATTCCACAAAATACTACAGCATTTAATTTAGGTTTACACAACTAAATATAAATGGCTAGATTTTGGCTAACACTTAGCAGAAGCATTAAGCAAACATGGATAAATTCATAAAACAAATGATGAAAAAAGCAGATTGTTCTTGGAGTACTTCTTTAAACACTTAACCTTAAAACACCTGGTCCTTAGTGAGAGAACGTCCTTTATTCAGTAGATCTTAACAGTACAAGGTATAGTAAGTCCTAAAACCTTTAAAAAATTTTGGCAGTTGAATCCAGTAGTGCTCCTTGATTCAAGGAATGAAGGTTTGTATTTCTTGCCTGCTCTATTCACGAAGGACTGTTAAAAGTCTCCTTAAAGATTTTTAAAAATGATTCCTATAGTTGCTAGGTGTCTTGTTACTTCAGAAATAAAGGCTTCATACTGAGAAACTGAAGGACACTTTTCTCTCTGTATTTAGTTGGAAGGTAGAAAGAAGAAAGAAAATATAAGAAAAGCTTAAAGATAAGAGAGACACAAAATACAGAGCAGCCACTATAAGAACAGCATGCACCAGGTATTTCTATAAGAATGAGAATGACAGACAATCAGAGATAATTTTTGAGTGGCTCATCATAGAATAGGCATTTAGTCATTAATTTTCAAGAAAACTGTGGGGAAGTTGTATTCCTACCACAAAAGGCTTCAAACTAAAAAAGTAATTCCTAGAACATAATTCACTAGTAAAATTAAATTTAAAGTGACAAAAAAACTTAAAAAAAAATACTTGTTCCTTGCGCTGACAGGTAAAAACCTATGGCAGCCAACTAATCTTGCTTCACTAGTAAGTAGAACAGAAAGTCAATGAATTAAGCAAGCAATATTTACATCTGTTAATGCAATGTGCACTTGTTTCACACTTAATTTGGTTAGTTTGTATAAATGAGACTAATCTCATTTACATTTTAAGCAGGAAACTCACCACTTGGCCCACATGTCATGTAGTGGGTAATAGAATTAGGAGCTTTGTTGCTCCCTAGACCTGCTTTTTGAATTTCTGCTTTCTTGTACTTTGTCCACATCTGCAGGAGAAAAGCATTTCATGTTATTTAGTCAAAGATGAAACAAAATACAATTCAGAAGATAAGAAATACACTCTCACTGAGTAGGGCAAGGAGAAGGAATCTGTAACTGTCTGGGAAAATTATTAATCTCATAGGCATCTCAATACTTAAAGATCGATTTTTATATTTTAAAGCTATAAGTAATATTCCTAGGAAAGCTATAATTTTTAAAAAAACTATAACAATTACATTTCCCCCCCTCTTAGTGCCAGATAGCCTTACTATGTTTATTTACTAAATGGTCACCTACAGTCTTAAACATAATCTTGCATGTAGTAGCAAAACCATCTGGAATGAAGTATTTGTATTATTTACTAAGAAAACCAGGGCTTGATGCATATTTTATAGGCAAATAATGTTCCTCCTTACATTGGTTAAAGCTAAAATTGCTTTGGTCAAAGGGGATGCAGTGCATAAGAATATGTTTATAATTTCTAGAAAGCTAGGCCAGGAATACTGAAAGCTATCCAGCTTCATCATTTATAAAATTAGGGTACTGAATCTTCGAATAGTTTTACAAATAATCCTTTTGAAAACTGGAGGTGTCTTAGAGGAAATAAGTGCAATTGCTCAATTGAGTCAGAGTTGTTTCACTTTTACTTTAAATGAAATTCATTTTTTAAAATTTGGGGCATCTATGTAAGATTTCACTTACAGAAAGTATTGTTTTTTTTCTTAAATGTTTGGGACACATCGGTTCCATATGATTTCTAAGGTATTTTCACCACTAAAAATTTGATTCCAAATGCTATGAAAAAACGTTGATAAGAACTAGTGTTGTGGCCAGTCGCAGTGGCTCACGCCTGTAATCCCAGCACTTTGGGAAGCTGGTCAGGAGTTGGAGACTAGCTTGGCCAACATGGTGAAACACCGTCTCTACTAAAAATACAAAAATTTGCTGGGCGTGGTGGCATGCTCCTGTAATCCCAGCTGCTTGGGAGGCTGAGGCAGGAGAATTGCCTGAATCCAGGAGGCAGAGGTTTCAGTGAGATGATATCACGCCACTGTACTCCAGCCTAGGCTACAGAGTGAGATTCCATCTCAAACAAACAAACAAAAAGAACTAGTGGTGTTTTGGGGGGAATTTTATGACTCCACAGCAGGTGATGATTTCTGAAGTCCAGACTGTATTTTCCAACAGTCCTCAGGACACATGGACATGATACATATTTCTCTTATATGCACAGTGTATTTTTTTTTTTTTTGGAAACATGCTGCATATAAACATATAGCTTTTTGGGTAGGAAATAGTTCTTTTCTGTAAGTCTAATTTTGTAAAATAATCACATAATTTTAATATAATAGCATGTGATTTTTCAATGAATTTTGAATGAATAAATACAATATTTTGAAGTGTTATGGTCAGAATTATGATATCTAAAAAGTTGAAATAGCTGTGAAATAATCTTTGACTCAGTGTGGAAAAGAAATAACACTAATTATAACATTTGTGTCATATACTGCCCCCATTTAATCTCAGCTATGTTTACTATTAAGTTTTGTTACTGGCCTATGAAAAAACAAAAGGGAAAATATTAGCACCAAATATATTTGAAATGTCAGGACTGACTGGGAAGTAACTGACAATAAAATAGAAGGATGCAAAAAGTATATTAGGTGGTACTAAAATATGACAATCCTCTGATTGTGTTCATTTGATTACCTGTACCAGAACCATTTTTTTTTTTTTTTGTAATAGCTATCGGAAAAAAAGTGTGATTACAAAGGAGACAAATTTCATTAGGAAATATTCTCTACAGATTTTTTCTTTGGTCCAGTTAATAACCACTTAATACAACAACAACAACAACAAGTATAACATAATTTCATCCCCACATGGTCACATTTGAAGGCATTCCTTCCAGGTGCCAGGCTGAGTCCTTATCAGCTATAGGCTAAATCCAAATGGCAAAAAACATTCCAGAGAGAATGCCAATGTGTATTTCTCTGGAAGTAAATGGATCAGGGTTATGGGTTTTTTTGTTTTTAGCAATCTGGGAGTTAGAGATTCAAATTTAGCTAATTTGCTTTAAAAGTGCTGTGAACACAAAAATAAAAGTTCTTTGCACTGGAGTCAAAGTTAACAAATATTTTCTTACTTTTTTTTTTTTTTTTAAGCTAAAGAGTGTATTTATTCTTAGTTCTAAAATTTGTTCTACTAGAAACATACTTGTTTAAATGGTTACAAGTTCTAATTTTACATTTTAGTGTGATTATTCATTTAAAAAAAATTCTGTTTTAAGGATATACATGTATAATTTAATAATAGATTAATTATAGAAGTAACAATTTTTACCACTTTGTAAACTTGCTACCCTTTTTGATTAGAAGTAAAAATACAAATTTCCAACACAATGAATATAATTTGGTTTATTTCTCTTTGACTCTCTATAAAAAAAGAACTGGAAAAACTATTGTATTAACTGATTTCAAGTATAGAAGCCATCTTGAAGAAAAGACAGTTACTTGAGCTCTTGTATTTATCAGATGATGAAAAGTGCAGAGAAGAAACAATAAATACAAATGTTCCTAGTCACTGTGTAAATCACATTTAAATTTGATGGGGTTTTCTAAGAATAACACTAAGTTTATAAGTATTAACAATCTTTTAAATCTGAAAAATGTTTTATAAATATGGGTATTAGTTAATATTTGTTATATAAAGTGTTGAATTATTAACTATTTCTTTAAAACAGGACAGATGGCCTAATTAAATGACAAAAGAAAACAACATCTTTTTACATTTTCCCTACTGATACTGTACATATGTAATATAAAGTACACATTCTGGAAGAAAAAAAGGAGTGACAGTCAGAGCAAGTGAGGGGTGGGAAGAGGAGGAAGGGAGGGAGGAAATGAACATTTTTTTCCAGAAGCAACAAAGCAAATATGACTTGGAAATGTCTTCTTGGTAAGAGAGCATGCAACTGTTTTAACATGCTTCTGGATATCAAAGTAACAATCTTATCAGGCAACAAAAAATGTGAAGGAGGAGCATGTATGGTTAAGGTTTTTAAAGGCATGCAGAAAATGGACAAAGTAATTAATATTTCATGCAGGTTTTGGTGTGGTTACACATTCACATTAATATACATGCCATCATGTACAGCTGAACACTGTGCAACAATTTTAAATAAAAAATAAAAACCTAGCCAAATGATATTTTGTTAACAGCAACTTTTCAAATCATATTAGAGAAGCAGTGTATATCAAATAACATCAATATATTATATTGTGCAGTTTTGATCATATACAACCATATTCATACCAAACAGTTTGATTATCCTCAGAAACCAACAATGCAGCTTCTGTGTCATCAGGATAGAGGCATGCAGAAGTGACAAGATTGTTGCTATTTATAGAAAACTGTAGGTTACTGTTACTAGGGTTCTGATGATCAGAAAACTGTTCATTTTCTTTCTGTGCAGGTTTATCCAAAGAGGCAGAAGCCTGGTCAGTTATTCTGATAACTGGCCTAGGAGGTAACCCACTTATGTTACTAACTAATTCTGTATTCAGGGATAAGAATGGCTGAGATGAATGGGCCACAGTAAATGGTCCTATGCTATCTTTTGCCAACATTCCGAATGCATCACTAGGCATCCTAATAGTGGCAAAAGTTTGGTTTAGAAAATGTGACCTTCCTGTTCTTGAGTTTCTAGCCTGGGCATATAGAGGCTCAGGCATGTCTATAGCTAAATCATTTTGGGCACAAGAACCTATAGTATGTGTTGGGATGTCAAGTATATGAGAGGACCACTGGTGTAAATGGTACTCACTAGATGCTGCAGTGGTGTTGCTGTCAGCAGCAGCTGGTGGTGAATCAACTGATATAGGCAGTCTACTGTCCTTGGTCAAAAAATCATGGATGCTTGTCCTTCGTGTAGTTCCTTCGGCAGTTGAGATCACGCTGCTTGCACGAGGTAAAGTTGCATAAGGGTTACTATCTTTTGATTGTCGTGACAGAGAAGATTCTTTTACTAATTTTATTTTTCCTTGAGTGCCTGGTGTAGGTTTTCCCGCAGAACTAATGAAGTAGGTATCTTCAGTTTTTCGAGGACCAGGTCTCAAAAACTCAGGCTTAGTTGTCCGTCTATCATAGAAGTCCCCTGGGGTTTTTCCACTTACTGACCTGGCCAGACCACAGCTAACTGGTTTGTCTTTTCCCAAAAAGTCAGAAGAGACAGACAAACTTTTCATTACTTCATCTAAAAGATTCTCTTGACTTGAGGACTTTATCTGTTTAAAAAAAAATTCAAAGCAGATTAGTGAATATAGTGCCATGTTTTTACTTTCCTGATTTAGCAGACTGTGCAATATAAAATTGTGGTACCTCTTAATACTCCTTAACTTACCAAAAAAAAAAAGCTCTGAAGTTCAATTACAGAAATTTAACTTGTGGTGTTCATCTAAATTAAGGTCATCATAGATAAAACTAACCTGTACTGAGGTAAGCTTATTGCTTTCTTCCAAAAACTGTTGTAGAGTAACAACTTCACTTCCAGGGGAACCAGTTTTGATCTTGTGATGTCGACTCTCCAGTGTTTCAGATATTTTGTGCTGGAGCACTGGGCTTGATCTGGTCTGTCTTTTCAAGTACTGGATTGGACTGCTACCACTGCTGGACCAAGCCTCATGGTCATGAAGCAGGCTAAATTCTCCACTGCTGTGGCTTTGTGGCCTGCTTTGGTTATTAACTGCACCTGCTTTTGGAGTAAATGGGGTGTTGAGATTTCAATAATAGAATTGAGATTAATACTTCATGAGTAATAACATTTGTTGACTGTGTGCTAATTATATGAACAGCCAAATTTACTTTCAAGCTTTATTTAGAAATGCTTAGTAAACCATGTCAATCTTTTATCAGTCTAACAATTGTCTGCCATAGCCTGCTTCCTTATTTTGTCAAACTGACAACTATTGTAAGCTCCATAAGGGCAAAGACTTGCTTTTACTATCATACTCAGAGCCTAAACAGAGCCTCATACAAAGCATTCAATATATTTTTTGAGTAAATGAATGAATAAATAAGTGAATAATATATTTTTTAAAATTCAGGTTCAAATAGTTATAAAATGCCTTGCAGGCCAGGCGTGGTGGCTCACGCCTGTAATCCCAACACTTTGGAAGGCCGAAGCAGGCGGATCACGAGGTCAGGAGTTGGAGACCAGCGTGGCCAATATGGAGAAACCCCGTCTCTACTAAAAATACAAAAAATTTGCCAGGCGTGCTGGTGCACGCCTGTAGTCCCAGCTACTCAGGAGGCTGAGGCAGGAGAATTGCTTGATACTGGGGGGGTGGAGGTTGCAGTGAGCAGAGATCGCGCCACTGCACTCTGGCCTGAGACTCTGTCTCAACAATAAAAATAAATAAAATAAAATGCCTCACAATTTAGGATAAGAACATGATTAGACAAAATATATATATATATTTCATCTAATGTGTATTTTTATATATATTATATATAATATATATAATTTATATATAATTATATATAAATATATAATATATAATATATAAATTTATATATTATATATAAATATATATAATATATATTATATATAAATATATATTATATATAAATATACATATGTGTGTATTTTTTTTTTTTGAGATGGGGTCTCACTGTGTCACCCAGGCTGGAATGCAGTGGCACGATCTCAGCTCACTACAACCCCCGCCTCCTGGGTTCAAGTGATTCTCTTGCCTCTGCCTCCCAAGTAGCTGGGATTACAGGCATGCGCCCCCATGCCAGGCTAATTTTTGTACTTTTAGTAGAGACGGGGCTTCACCATGTTGGCCAGGTTGGTCTGTAACTCCTGACCTCAGGTGATCTGCCCACCTCGGCCTCACAAAGTGCTGGGATTACAGGTGTGAGCCACCGCACCTGGCTCATTAGGTGAATTTTATATTATTTCAGTATGTTAAGACCAAAAACTGTTCTAAATGCAGAAAATTCTATTTTAATTATTTGCTTATCTAAGAAGTCCTCATTACTACTTGAAGGCTTCTCTGTTCATCCTGCATGGATAACTTTAAACATTTAAAAAAATTTAAAGAGCATACACATAAGGAAAGTTAAATAAAGATATGAAGCAATTACTTACAACATTTCAGTAAAAGTATACAATCAAATATGTAGTGCTTTATTCTTTTTTAAATGTCTTGATCATCTTATTGTTCTTGCTGTCCACTGTTGATATGGTGCCTATATAACCTTAAAAGACTCAGTTGACATTAAGCAACTATATAAAATGAAAATTTGCTAGTTCTAGAATTAAACTCCCTCAAATCTATGGTGTTCCTTAAGAGTACGGATTTGTTTTGATCACGAACAAACTGTACATCAAAACAGAAAATGCAACTTTCCATTGTTTCCCAGTCACAGAGAGTAAAGTGGGCCACGAAAGAATTTGGCTCAAGTTATGTAACATTTTACAAAAGTAAGAGTTTCTTAAATTTTCAAATCAGAAAAAAAAAAATCCTATTTTCAGACTACATTTTTCTACTGGATGTAAAAACATTTTTAATTAAATAATTTATTTCTTTTAAGGCTAGTCAAATGAAGTAGTGGGAGTGGGAAAGGAACAAAGAAATCTGAAAAACATGATAAAAATTAAAAAAAGAAACCCACCTCAAAATTAGGTATTTCAGATCACTGTAATAATGTCATAGCATTAATTGATAAAATAAAATTACAACTGAGACAAAATAATTTTATAATCCAAAAAGGAACAAAACAAATGCATTCCTTGTAACCTGACAATTCTGGAGTACAGAGAGTAACTATGATATATTGGTCAAATAATTCAGAGGCTGGATGAGGTGCCTCACTTGAGCACAGGAGTTCGAGACAAGCCTGGGCAACATGTTAGAAACCCTGTCTCTAACAAAAATACAAAAAAACTAGCTGGGCATGGTGGCATGGGTCTCTGTAGTCCCAGTTACGTGGGAGGCTGACGTGGTAGGATCGCTTGAGTCTGGGAGGCAGAAGTTGCAGTGATTTGAGATAGTACCACTGCACTCAGCCTGGGTGACACAGCGAGAACCCGTCTCAAAAAAAAAAAAAAAAAAAACACAAAAAAACAAAAAACCCTCCAGGCCGGGCAAGGTGGCTCACACCTGTAATCCCAGCACTTTGGGAGGCCAAGGCAGGTGGATCACCTGAGGTCAGGAGTTCAAGACCAGCCTGGTTAACATGGTGAAACCCTGTCTCCACTAAAAATACAAAAAATTAGCTGGGTGTGGTGGTCGTTGGCACCTGCCGTTCCAGCTACTTGGGAGGTTGAGACAGGAGAATGGCTTGAACCTGGGAGGTGGAGGTTACAGTGAGCTGAGATCACACCACTGCACTCCAGCCTGGGCGACAGAGTGAGACTCCGTCTCAAAACAAACAAACAAACAACTTCCAGAATCTGAGTAGGCAGTATATCTTTAAGAAAAAGGTATCAGTCAAGGTTTCCAGACATTTACTTAAATACCTCACCTTGGAATGCACATTTAAAAATTAAGAAAAAAAATCTTGAAATAATTCCTTATATGAGCCAAATGCATTCATATAGTTCTTGTTCAATATATATATACACAAATAGTTGTTTCTCAAATTAAACACAAAATCCTTCCCCTTATTTTGTGGATAAATTAAGCCAAACATATTTCTAAAATATGAGTAATGTGAGTGTCCATGCGTCATAAGAAAATGAAGGACAATCATTTTCATGTCAAAGACAAAATGTCAGTAAAATAAGGACATATAGATAATTTTGAAGTATAAATATTACTATAAGACTTTTATCTATGAAGATGAAAAAGTGAAACTAAATAACTGCTCCTGTTTTTACATTTGTATACATTGAAATACATTTGTATTACAATGTGAAAAGTATAAAATGTTCCAAACAACTATGTTCCAAACATAGATGATTTGGATTTCATGCTTTACCCCAGAAACTTCATCCCATCTCCCACCTTTAAATACTGGAAATGGATAGAGCGCATTAATAAATTTACCTACAGCATACCTTTGACTTCATGTAGTGAAGCATTATTATTGCTATTGCTAGTGGATGTTCTGCCACTATCAAGGCTGGCTGGTCTTGAAGCTAAATGAAAAAACCAGGAGACAGTGTGATAAAACTTCTAGCTGATGATGCTGATGAGCTTTTACATTCTGATTACAGAATGCTTTGAGGAAGCAATCATGCATACTTTCACAAGATGAGCATGCCCAGATTAGAAAGCAAATTTCCAGATAGTTCATTGAGACACTTTAGAATAGGACACTTCTGAAACAATAGTTGAGATTCAAAGAGGAGGATAAAGTGCATATTTAGATTTGAAAATGAGTTCTAGATGGATATGCCAGGAGTGTTTTAGTTAAATAGAATGACATATCCCCCCAGATCCCCCAAAATGCTATTGATTGGGTCACCTACAACAGATCAGACAAGGAACTCTGCACATTGCAGAGATGTCAAGAAGAGGAGGAATACAAGCATCTATACAGTTAATGTCCTGTATTCCTATCTGTAACAAGGGTAACAACTGTATAATTAACACTGCCCTATGCTAACTCTTAAAACCCTGTTTACATTAAAATTCCTTTAACATGTTATCCACTTATTGCCAATAGTTTGGTGAGATATGATTTTCCAGACAGAAATGGAAAATATCTGAAATACTCAACATTGCCCAAAAACTGGTTTCTTTTTGAGTCAGAGTCTCACTCTGTCGCCCAGGCTGGAGTGCAATGACACAATCTTGGCTCACTGCAACCTCCGCCTCCTGGGTTCAAGCGATTCTCCTGCCTCAGCCTCCCAAGTAGCTGGGATTACAGGTGCCTGCCACCACACCCAGCTAACTTTTGTATTTTTAGTAGAGATGGGGTTTCTCCATGTTGGCCAGGCTGGTCTCGAACTCCTGACCTCAGGTGATCCGCATGCCGTGGCCTCCCAAAGTGCTAGGATTACAGGCGTGAGCCACTGTCCCTGGCCCAAAAATTGGTTTCTTAAAGTTCATCCTTTAAAACAGATATTTTTAATATTTTAAACTAATATGTATTTTAAATTGGCATTTTAAACCAATGGTAAAATGCAACTCTTATAACTTTAATCTTATACAAAAATGGTAAGAAAATTACCTTTGAAGACTGTGCAGGCATACTTTATAAATGACCTTGGCTAAAACAGAGAACATTTAGATGAAGCAATTATCTTAAAAGAGGCAGAAGGGAGTATTAGGTTTGAAGAAATGGTAGAGGTAACTATGAGATGCAGGATAGAGAAAACATGCTTGCTGGCAATGACGCATTCACCTATTAAAGGCAAGAGTCCTAGCATTCCCATTCTGTATTTAATGTGTACTCTCTAAATAAGGTTCATTATCTTACCATGAACTCTTGATCCCGTACTAGAATCATCACTAACACCTTGTGGACTTATGTCTTCAAAGGATGTAGTATCTACATAAAATAGCAAAATGGATATAAAGATATTTTTGTAATAAAAAACCATTATAAAATTTTATTTACATAGAATATGGAAATTGTTTTTCAATCATGTATAATACAGATTGACTTAACATATTTCATAGACTCAACTAGAAACTGGAACTAGGAATAAGAAAAATGACAACTCTCATTAGAGTTGACTTGCTTAGGGAAAACACCAAAAGCAATGAAACAATCTCCCCTCTGACCCTGCAAAGCAAAACAAGAGCCTGGGTTGTTCTAGGTAGTTCTGTTGGAAGTTGTAGTGCTTTTAGTTTTTAGAAAACTAGCATTGCCTTCTTTTATCACTCTTTACCTGGTTTACTTCTCGTTTTCTTGTTAATTCATTAGCTGTTTATTATGAAAGGAGGCCTGGAAAAGATTTTAGTTATTTGTATAACGTTTTATATTTTTAAAATGATTTGAAAGTTCCTCCAAATCCAATACAGATCATGTTTTGATAATTATTTCAGGTTGCTGCTTTTTAAAAAGTACACAGGGAAAAGTCAAATTAAAATTCTTGTTGCCAACAATTACACCACAGTGCAAATAGCAGACAGCCTATACCTTTATTATTAACCAACTGCTTGGATCTGAAGCCTGCAGAAGAGTTGACAGTTGAAAAGTTGATGGCTGTAGTAGAGAAGGCCATAGCTCCCAATTCTTTTCTCCTTTTACCCGTTGAAATATCATCAGGAACCTCCAAATTCTCAGTACTACCTGTCCACTGTCCTGCTAGGACCATGGACTGCACCAGGTCATTCATGGCTGGGATGCAAATGAAAGCAAATGAATCAGCATGGTTAATGTATTTGTTCTTATTTCTATTTTGTAGTACAAATACTGTGGTTTTTGTCTATGAATTAATGCAAATGGACATAAAAAATTATAACCACATGGTCATTTAAATTATGACATGCATTCAGCTGAATGAAATGAGTAGGCCAAAGGCTGATAAATTTCAATAAATACTTTTATCCCACCTCCACCCCCTTTAAAAGACAGAGAAAGGAATTTTACTAAGTACGACTGCCATGCGATTGTGCAGCGATGTGCTAAAACTTTAATTAGCAGCCTTCACAATGTGGTTTTGTGGTGACAAAAATGGAATGAATAAAGGTAAGATGGAGAGCAGTTCTTATATAGCATCATTATTGAAAATGAAAGTCCTTGGTCAGAGCAGGTTACTGAAGAAATTATTCATTTTATGACTCAATAAGTATACCATTCAATAAAAACCTGAAAGAGATGATATCTAAAGTGACAGACACTTAATGTGATTATGTAACTACCCATGCCACATAAAAAAAGAAAATCCAGAATATTATTATTTAAAGAATGACAAGCATTTTCAAGGGTTTTTGGCCACTTTATTTATTTAATTAATCTGGTTCATTAAAGGAAATTAACTTCTAATGCTAAACATTTTGTTATATTCTTCTTAAGTAAACTTCTTTGGGAAAAAATCTCTATGGCATATAAAATAAAGGGTTTTTTTCCTGCCAATTTTTAGAAAGCACTGGAAATTTACGAGTAAGTTACATGTATGACTAGAAATATGCACGTATATGTATCAGTGGACATATACATAATGCAAATTCAGTGCCACTTGAAAAAAAAAATTCTTCTAGCTCCTTATATTAGAGGAAGACTGACCTCTGCAAAATAAGGAAATTGGCACAGTCCAGAGAAAGGTTAGTGAAAAATTAGTAATGAAAGCCAGTGTAGTCAGTTGAAAGAAGCTGAACTGTCATAAAGTCTTACACATGGAACGACGGTAGCAGGCCTTCATTTTGTCTTTATCCTTCGGTCTGTTCCTCAAAAAGGGCAGTCTTTTCAGTGCAACCACTTTAATGTCAGAGCATGAGGAAAAACAGAAACAGGGAGATGAAAGAAAAAAGGGAGAAGAACAGATGGGAGTTAAATGTTGAAATTAAGGACAGAAATGAATGTTTGAGTTTTAGCTATGTATGCTATATTAAGGCTATTATTCTCATGCTGCTGAGTGATAATGAAATATGAAATATGTACTTTGATATTTTAAAATACTTGGAAAAGCACTGAAGACAATGATGAGGAACATATACTTTTTTTTTTTTTTTTTTGAGACGGAGTTTTGCTCTTGTTGCCCAGGCTGGAGTGCAATGGCACGATCTCGGCTCACTGCAACCTCCGCCTGCGATTCTCCTGCCTCAGCCTCCCTAGTAGCTGGAATTACAGGCATGTGCCAACATGCCTGGCTAATTTTGTATTTTTAGTAGAGACAGGGTTTCTCCATGTTGGTCAGGCTGGTCTCGCACTCCCAACCTCAGGTGATCCGCCCACCTCAGCCTCCCAAAGTGCTGGGATTACAGGCGTGAGCCACCACGCCCGGCCTGAGGAACATATACTTTTAAAGCTTGGATTGGTTACAGTCCTATAAAAACAGGAACTGATTAGAATTATTTATGCAGGGATCAACTTTCCTAGTTAAGTCGTAAAGGTAAACCTTTAAAATGAAGGCTACTGGTGGTTCACAGAGTCTACATGATGAAAATGTACAAGGCTTTTGAAGTCTCTATTTTAACTATTTTAACTTTTTAAACATAAGTTAAAATATTTATTTTGGAAAACAAAAATAACTTAGGAAAATGCACATTCCACCACAGTATTTTATTAATATAAAGCAACAAAAATTAGGGTGCCCAGGGGATGTTTAAAACAGTCTTAAAAACTTTAAGATTTCGAGGAATGGTAGCTTCTGCCTGTAATCCCAGGATTTTGGGAGGCCAAGGCAGGAGGATCGCTTGAGCCCAGGCGTTCAAGACCAGCCTGGGCAACAGAGCGAGAACCCATCCCTACAAAAAATTAGCCATGTGTGGTGAGCACCTGTAGTCCTAGCTGTTCTGGAGGGTGAGGCAGGAGGATCGCTTGAGCCCAGGAGTTCAAGGCTATAGTGAGCTATGATCACGCCACTGCACTCCAGCCTGGGTGACAGAAGGAGACCCTCTCTCAAAAACAACAAAACAAAACAAAACTCAAAAAAACCTTTCATTAGTTCATTACACTTCAGTAAAGAAAATAAATTCCTTCTTGGTTTAAACTGGATTCTGGTGCATTATTTAGCAGCACCACTGAAATAAAAATTCTTTTGACCAGAGTATTTCTAAAGATTAAATAAACAATCACATTAAGTTCATTTTACAAAAGATTCGTTGGGGGAAAGAGGGGAAAAAAAAGAGTATTTTGATAGTAGTAATAAGCATTAGCAATAAGCTCCGATAAACCTAAAAAATAAGGAGGTACCCCAAAGCAAGCAAAAATGAGAGAAAAGTATATCATTTTTAGATATTTTGAAGAGCTTTTTGAAGGAATTTGATTTTGTGAATAAAAGTTAGGATTATCACTAAAATATAGGAGTCATTAGAACAAAAATAAAAACGTTCACTAGAGTCACTAACCATTCTTAAGCTACATTTTAGTAAGATTTAACTATAAAAATTATTGTATCTTTTTAGAAATGTAATTTAGGAATTAGGAAAAACAATTTGCATAAAGACCTAAAAACATATTATACACTATTTAATAACTACATTCTTTCTCAGTGTTTGCTGTCATCGTGTAAATAATCACAGCTCTTTTGACAAACTAACAAGTATCATTTATTAGAGAGAGTGCAATGGACATATAGCTCTTTAACTTGTTTGATTGCTATTAGGAGCAGTCATAATTCATTTAAGCTTTTAGTTTGACCTATTTCTTTTCAAGCTTAGTAAACACAGCTGTTTTCAATGATTAAAAAGAAATGAACTGAAAGCAATATAAAAATGGACACTTAGATAAAACAAAGCTGAGTGGTTGCAGCATGCACATGTTGTCTTGTTTACTTTTCTTTTTCTGTTTTTAATTTTTTTCCAAGGACTGCTTTACTGACAGATACTCTTCCAAAATGGACAGGATAAAAGGAGTTTTATATTTGTCAGGAAGAAATGATTCTTCTTATAGCAATGAGTTTGTATACATACAATGTTCATTTCCCAAAACATACTGAAATTAAGGGAACATTAGTATTTGTTGGGTTTGGGGTTTATTTTAAAAATTCTAAAACTAAACAACTGTAGGAAAGGAGAATATCACTTCCTTCTGATTCTTATTCTGGATGTTTCAGCAGAGAATATGAAATGATGACAGATTTATACCTAAACAGACAAGATGACTTCAAAAAAGACTTTTGTGCCTCTCTTGTGTATGCTTATATCTGAATTGACATTTTTTTCCTTTAAAGCCAGGCAGTGGTTCATGCCTGTAATCCCAGCACTTTGGGAGACCAAGGCAGGAGAATAGCTTGGGGCCAGGAGTTTGAGACCAGTCTGGGCTTAATAAGTGAGACCCTGTCTCTAAAAAACAATTAAATAAAATAACAATTGTCAGTGCAGTGCTGTTTTCCTGTAGTCCCAGCTATTTGGGAGGATGACGCTGAAGCAGGAGGATCCCTTGAGTCCAGAAGTTCAAGACTGCGGTGAGCTATCATTACACCACTGCGCTCCAGCTTGGGCAACAGAGTAAGACTCCATCTCTTAAAAAAAAAACTTCCTTTAAAAAAAAAATTAAGTATACCTATTACTATTTCTTTCTTTTTTGTTTTTTTTGAGATGGAGTCTCGCTCCTGTCGTGCAGGCTGGAGTGCAGTGGCGTGATCTCAGCTCACTGCAAGCTCTGCCTCCTGGGTTCATGCCATTCTCCTGCCTCAGCCTCCTGAGTGGCTGGGACCACAGGCACCTGCCACCACGCCCAGCTAATTTTTTGTATTTTTAGTAGAGACAGGGTTTCACCATGTTGGCCAGGATGGTCTCAATCTCTTGACCTTGTGATCTGCCTGCCTCAACCTCCCAAAGTGCTGGAATTACAAGTGTGAGCCACCGCGCCCAGCCCCATTTCTTATTTGGTAAGATGTCAGATATTTTATATCCAAAGATAACAGATAAAATTAAGTTATCTGCCATCTTTTAAAGAAAACTTGATGACCTGTCTAAAACAGTAACTACTTGGAGGATTTGTATAGATTTACTTGGTGGACAAAACCAGACAGCAAAAGACCCAGGGTAACAATAATTTTATGTGGGGATATAGAATTATAAAACTGCTTGACACACACACACACACGTACATATACATATATGTGTGTATATGTACATATATATACCTGTGTGTGTATATATAAGTGTGTATGACTTTTTACGTTGCTTACCTATGGATTCTAGTTTTTAGGCTGCTATACTTGCATTCTGAAATATATCCCATAATTTTATTTAATTTTTTTGAGACAAAGTCTCGCCCTGTCACCTAGGCTGGAGTGCAGTGGTGCAATATTGGCTTACTGCTATCTTCACCTTCCAGGTTCAAGCGATTCTCCTGCCTCAGCCTCCTGAGTAGCTGGTGCATGCCACCACACTGGGCTAATTTTGGATTTTTAGTAGACACGAAGTTTCACCATGTTGGCCAGACTGGTCCTAAACTCCTGACCTCAAGTGATCTGCCCGCCTCAGCCTCCCAAAGTGCTGGGATTACAGGCATGAGCCACCGCGCCTGGCCTATAGCCCATAATTAATGCCTAATATCCTATACCCTAAAATACTATGTTTCCAGAGATAATTCACCTAAGCCAAAACACTGTGAATAGTTTTTTGAGTGCTTTGAGAGTTGCCCATTTGGAGAGTCTACCCCTGGGAGAAGCAGCAGCTGCATTTACCTGCTATTTCAAAAGAATAGAATGTGTCTGTGTGTGTGTGTGTTCAATTAGTGACATTAGTGATAGTGTGAGAGGATTCAAAGTATCCTGTTCACATATTTTGTAAGAACTTTGATAGTAGTCAACTTCTTAGACATCTTTAAAAAAATTTTCTGATTTTCTTGGAATATACTTCCAAAGCTTTTACTTTGGTTTTACTGTTTAAGCATACTAGTAATGAAATTAAAAGGTTATAATTGTATAGAGCATATTATAATGCGGTACTTCTAAATTTGTAATAAAAATTATATCATAAGTTTATAAACAAATATGTATCTCTTCACCTAATTTTTTTTTTTTTTTTTGAGAGAGAGTTTCACTCTTGTTGCCCAGGCTGGAGTGCAATGGTGCAATCTCAGCCTCAGCCTCTGCCTCCCAGGTTCAAGCGACTCTCCTGCCTCAGCCTCCCAAGTAGCTGGGATTATAGGCATGCACCACAACGCCCGGCTAATTTTGTATTTTTAGTAGAGACGGGGTTTCTCCATGTTGGTCAGGCTGGTCTCCAACTCCCAACCTCAGGTGATCCGCCCGCCTCGCCATCCAAAGTGCTGGGATTACAGGCGTGAGCCACCGTTCCCGGCCTAATTTTTTTTAAATAATAGAGACAGTGTCTCACTATGTTGCCCAGGCTGGTCTTGAACTCCTGGCCTCATGTGATCCTGCTTTGGCCTCTCAAAGTGCAGGGATTACATGCATGAGCCACTGTAACTGGCCCCCACATCTCTATTTTATTTTGAGACGGGGTCTTGCTGTGTCACCCAGGCTGGAGTGCAGTGTGCAATCTTGACCCACTGAAAACCTTCGCCTCCCAGGTTCAAGTGATTCTCCTGCTTCAACCTCCTGAGTAGCTGGGATTATAGGTGCACAATACTACAACGGGCTAATTTTGTATTTTTCTTTCTTTCTTTTTTTTTTTTTTTTTTGAGATGGAGTTTCACTCTTGTTGCCCAGGCTGGAGCGCAATGGTGCAATCTCGGCCTCAGCCTCCCGAGTAGCTGGGATTACAGGCATGAGCCACCACGTCTGGCTAATTTTGTATTTTTAGTAGAGACGGGGTTTCTCCATGTTGGTCATGCTGGTCTCAAACTCCTGACCTCAGGTGATCTGCCCACCTCGGTCCCCCAAAGTGGTGGGATTACAGGGGTGTGCCACCGTGCCCGCCAGCACCTCTCTATTTTAGATCCTTTACCAAGCAATCCTTCAATAATTTTCTTAACCTTCTGTAATTTCTAAATCATTGAATAACACCCCTTCAAATTCATACCTATTTTTGCTTCCCCAAATGTAACTTTGTTCCAATGTGACACCATCAAAGTATATGAGCAGAAACCTCATTATAGAATGCCTTATTATTCTGATTAAGTTATATATAATTATGAAAATGACATCTCATATTTCTAACTTGCTCCTTGTAACTGTCCTGTGAAGTATGAAGCAAAGGTAAAAGGCTTGCCCATATTAACAGAAATAGCAAGTGGCAGAGGTATTCCAGCTCTTATTTTAACTTTCTTTCTGCAATATTTTACCCCTCTGGCCAAATGATAGTATATCTGTGTATGATTTACCTCAGAAAATTGTGTGGCTGTACACTAATGCAGTACACAATTAATTTTATGATGTTAAATTAAAAAGAAATGCCATTCATCAGACTATTCCCCCAAAGGACTACTGAAGTTTTAAAAAATCTTTAGAAAGGATTCTAAATCAATACGATGTTTAAAGAGTTTAAGCACTCACTGCTGCTTTTCTTGGTCCCCAAGGTCTGGCCATCTTCTAAAGAGTTTGAACCTACTGAAGAACTATCTTGACTGTCTTGATGAGGGAGCTGAAGAAATCCTTCACTGGAGTCTGAGCGGGTGGGTGTTAATGTTAGAGATTTCTGGCGTTCCCGATTAATATCTTTCTTAGACTTTATCAATTTTCTCATTTTTAGAGTAATCCAGTTGCCTCTCCTAACAGAATTTTAAAAATTGTTATCAGTTTAAAATTCAACATACAAATCCTTCACAAAAGTAGAAGTCATCACAATATTAGAAATAACCTAGTGTTTTTTTTCAGAATAAGAATTCATAAAATTTGGTTAATGGTACCTTCTAGGAGGAGATGGGTCATAAAATTTGTATTGATCCATAATTTTCTCTTCTAGTTTCTCCTTCTGACGTCTTAATTCATTTAACTTATCACTATAAAATAAAAATTACCTTTTAGGACAGGCATCATATTTTGTACAGCTATGAATATTAAATTATTTGGTGACTGTGATCTAATGTCTCCCCAAAACATAAAAAAATACAGATACCATGGTTGGCAACTAAGATTTCATCAGGTAGTTAACAATGGGAATTTTTCCATGTTTCTCCTTTTTTAAAAATTTACATTTTTTTTTCCTTTTTGGAAGAAAGGTGACCTATTACAATTTATATCAGCAAAAAATTAAAACATTGTTTAGTTTGCTTACAATTATAGATATAATAAATAATCCTGCAAACACATGTTCATGCAAATATTTTTCTTTTCGGCAGAATTACTTAGGTTTGATTTACTTGTAGAGAACCATTTCCTGACTCCAGCAATGCATGAGTCATCGCATCCTAGTCTCATTGTTATATTCTCAGTAGTATTTACTATACAGAGAAACATCAAAGATCATCAAAGTATTGTCTCTAAGAAAACCCCACAATGCCAAAGAATACTATTTACTTCAGAAACATTAGTGATCATTTACAATGAGGAAGGCATGAGGTATATATGAAGATGAATAATAAATAGCTTTGTTTACAATATAGGAGAGAAGATATATCCATAAATTAATATAATAACATATAATATTGTGTGTGTGTATATATATAAAATGACTATATAATCCAAGGTAGTAGCAGTACCAAAATAAAATACTGTGCAAGTACAACAGGAAGGTAAATATATCCATCTTAGATCACGAAATAAAGCCCCATGAAGAAAAAGGCCATTATTAGATAGGCTGAAAAGGAAAGATAAGAATGCTAAATTACATGTTGGTGTAGTTGTAGGAAGTTAAAAAATGCTAAGTTATGTTTAGCTTGAATGTTATAGGCTGAGAGGAAGTAGTGAGGGAGAGTTTTTGTTTTACATTCTGCTCAGTAGGAAATCAGAAGTATTGAAAGTTTCATTACAAAGTGGTAAGAAATCTTGGTTTAAGGTACTTTAACCCAATGATGGAATAGGATATATCGGAAAGAGTGGAGATAAGGCAGGGCGTGGTGGCTCAGGCCTGTAATTCTAGTGCTTTGGGAGGTGGAGGCAGGTGGATCACTTGAGCTCAGGAGTTTGAGACCAGCCTGGCCAATGTGGCAAAACTCTGTTTTTACAAAAAATACAAAAATTAGCAGCATGCCGCAGCATTTGCCTGTAGTCCCAGCTACTTGGAAGGCTGAGGCAGGAGAATAGCCTGAACTCAGGAGTGGAGTTTGCAGTGAGCTGAGATTGTGCTACTGCACTCCAGCCTGGCTGACAGAGCAAGACTGAAAAGAAAAAAAAAAAAGATTGGAGATAAGAAAACATTCAGGAAGCTAATGGGGTAGTCTATTTGAGAGGGAAGGCTGAATTACAGTGGTGGAGACTAGGAAGAACTAACTTGAGAGATTCTGTAGAAGATGCCTTGTGAACAGATGTTGCCAACAGTTATACCACAGTACAAACAGCATACAGCCTACATTTATTATTCACCCAACTGCTTGGATCTGAGGCCTGCAGAAGAGTTGACATTTGAAAAGTTGTTAACAAGGCTGGAGTTCCCAGTTCGTTTTTCCTTTTACTTGTTGAAATATCATTAAGAACCTCCAAAATCTCAATACTACCTGTCCACTGCCATCCTGCTAGGACCACGTAACAAAGGCATTTAGCTAGAAATATCTAACATGCAAGATGGATATTTGTAATTTAAATTCATTAAGTCAGAATAGATCATAATCTTTGGAAGTCAACTATCTAGATACAAGCACTTTCACCTGGAAATGTATTAGTCACCAAGGGTCAGAATAGTAAGACAACAAAGCTTTGGATAATGCCTCTGCTTAAGGGACAGGAGACTCAAATGCCAAAAGTTTTATATATACGCAAAGCTTCTTAACCTAAAACAAGCCTTCTTTTGAAAGCAAGTAAAGGAATACATACCCCAGAAAGGACTAAAAGGACTAAAGGTGGAGCCCAAGTTGTCCAGCCACAAATGTGAAATTTCTTTGAGGTTTTACATTTACTTTGAAAGTTTACACAAATTCTGCCTTTGTTCCATGATACACCTGTGTATTAATAAAGAAATAATGTTCCCTGCCTGAAATTTTTTGGTAAGACTGGTGCTTCAGAAAAATGTATGATGTATCCTGGTTTCACATGTGCCCTGGCTGTTTATGTACATCAAGTCTGAGAGGCACAGACATACTACTTCATGCACTCCTTGAATAATCTAGAAAGTAAGTGTCATCTCTATTTTAAAGAAGAAACTAATGATCAAAGAAATGACTAGTCTGTGGTCACACTGTGAGTGGATGAATTGGGACATGAATTAGAAGCTGTCTAATTTCAACATCTGTGCTATTTCTATTTTACTGTGATGCTTCTCATTTGTGGGGCAAAGAGAAGAGATGTATTGAGTAAAGATGAATCATCGGGTAGTAATACCAAGACTACCCACTGGGCTGCACAGGCCCAAATGTGAGTCTTAACAGATTGTTTAACTTTCTGGAGACACAACTTACCAATAATTAAGCCCTGTCAACTCTCTTTCACATGTTTTGCAGCTTGATCTCAACTCCTTGGTATGGCATAGAACAACCTTTGTAAACTGGGTCCTGACTGTTTAGCCACTTCTCTATTGCACCCCTCCTTTCCTCAATTTTGCTCCAGAAAGAACAATTAATTTTTAGGTCCTATACCACACCACAACATACTTTCATCACACTTCCATGACTTTGTATTGCAGCTCTCCTGGGCTGGCATGCCTCCTCAAGCAAATTCCTATCGAACCTATAAATCTCCACTCAAATCTCATCTTTGGAAAGTTCACCTTGCCTCTCCCAGACTAAGATATTCCTGCCCCTATATGTGCTATATTTCTATGGCCTCCTACATATACTTCCATTATAGAATTACTGTATTTAAATGTTTATTTGTATTTCTCACTTTAGACTACTAATTCTTTAAGAGCAAGATGCATGTGTTTTCATGTTAGTATTTCTGATTATTAGAATAGTGCCTGGAATATAAGCACTCAAAAATATTTGTTGAAAATCAGTAAAAATTAGCATGAATTTTCTCTGCCACTGGGTATGGCAATGATAAAATCATGAGTAACATATTTCAGAGTGCAAAATTATTTGGTACCTACATGTACTGTCTTTGTTCAACATGAAAAAGATCCTTGCTTTCCATATTCTGCTCCAAAAGTGTTCTGTTCTGTAGCATTAATGTCTGAATTTGATCTAGTAGATGCCGATTTTCTTCTTCTAAATTTCCTTTAAGTTGGCTTAGCAACTGTTTAAACACAAACATTTTTTAAAAAATCAACATTTACATTTAACATAAATCAACTGAAAAATATGAAGTACTACACAAAGATTTAAGTGTTCCACTGTTTGAACAATTAGATGATTGTACTTTTATCAGAGCATGATTATTTTAGTGATGACACCTACAGCACTGGGTTACATGCTGTCTCTCTCTCTATATAAATATTTTCTTAATTTTCACAAACACTGGGTCTAATATATAATATATTATCTACTCCCCAAACACTGCTTTCTGTCTTTAAAACTGTTTAACTTATAGTATAGTCCAAAAGCTAGATTCAAATATCTAATATTTTATTTCTATGAAATGTTAGACAAGTAAGTTCTCAGATCTATGAAATGAGGATAGCTCCCACCCAACAAGGCTGTTGCAAGGATTAATTAGCATATGTAAAGTATCTAGTAGCATGTGTGTAGCACACACTAAGTACTTAGTATGTCTCATAATTTCCCCATCTACTGTTTTCTTTTTTTGAGACAGAGTTTCACTCTTGTTGCCCAGGCTGGAGTGCAATAGCATGATTTCGGCTCACTGCAACCTCCGCCTCCCAGTTTCAAGCTATTCTGTCTCAGCTTCCTGAGCAGCTGGGATTACAGGCATGCGCCACCACACCCAGCTAGTTTTGTATTTTTAGTAAAGATGGGGTTTCTCCATGTTGGTCAGGCTGGTCTCTAACTCCCAACCTCAGGTGATCTGCCCACCTCGGCCTCCCAAAGTACTGGGATTACAGGCGTGAGCCACCGCGCCTGGCATCCATTCACGGTTTTCAAGAAACCTTAAAAGTCTGTGTATAGTTTTTGTAGCTTGATCAAGGGAAATCGGGTAATTTAGTCAATAGTTGGTATTAACAGCTGGCATTACTAGTAGGTGGGCTGCCAGCAGCATTGGGCCTTTTCTACGCAGTTAGTAGAAACTGGAAATATGCCTTAGCTAGGCCAGAGGTTCAAACAGAAGTTAGCAGAAGGCCCAAAGTAGTGATTCTAAAAATTTGGCGTCCCTTGTAGAGTAGATTTGTGGGCCCCAGCATTCAAATTCAGGTCTCGAGTAGAGCCCAGAGATCTGTATTAAAAAAGCAAAAGCAAATAACACATACCCGCCCTGCCTACACCACCACCCCGGCCGCCCCCCGCAAAAAATAAACATTTTGAAAAATTTCAAAAGGTAGAGAAAATCAGGGAGAATTATACTATAATCATAAACAACCATCTAGATCTGTAACTGTGAATATCATACTACGTTGGTTTTATTTATCTGTATGTTGTTAAATTGAAACATAACATATGTGGTAGATTCATTAAAAAACTGAATGCATTTATTTTCTTCCCTGTACCTATGCCCTCTTGCAATGTGACTTCTCACTTTTCCCGTAAAGAAGTGGAATCTATTTTCCTTCTTCTTGAATTTGGAATGCTTTTGGCCAAGAGAAAGAGGTGGAAGTGATGGTGTAACAGTTCCAAGTCTAGGCCTCAAGTTGCCTGTGGACTTCCACTCAGACTCTCAGAGCCCTGCTGGAGGATGGAGAGACCACATGGAACAGAGAAGGGTTATCCCACCGAGGCCACCATAGACCAGCCAGCCCTCAGCGTACATGCCAGCTAATTACAGATGCAGGAGCAAACCCCTGGCCCATACATCAGTGAGTAGATTAGCATAGATGCTCAGCAAACTCAGACTCATTAGGCAAAAAGAAATGTTTACTGTCCATTACCACTAAGGTTGTCTCGTTGTTAAAGAGCATTATCAGTGTCAATAGACAACTGATAAAGCATATATAAAGAAAAGAGAACAATTTTTTTTGTTTGTTTGTTAGATGGAGTTTCGCTCTTTCGCCCAGGCTAGAGGGAAGTGGTGCGATCTCGGCTCACTGCAACCTCTGTCCCCCAAGTTCAAGCGATTCTCCTGCCTCAGCCTCCCGAGTAGCTGGGATTACAGGCATGTGCCACCACGCCTGGCTAATTTTTGTATATTTAGTAGAGATGCGTTTTCACCATGTTGGCCAGGTTGGTCTTGAACTCCTGACCTCAGATGATCCACCCGCCTCGGCCTCCCAAAGTGCTGGGATTACAGGCATGAGCCACCGTGCCTGGTCCAAGAACAAATTTTAAGTGTATATAGAGCTCAATGAATTATCACAAAGTAAACATATATGTTAAACTAGCACCTGGATCAAGAAACAGAACATTAATTGTATTCCAGAAACACCTGTGCTATCTTCCAACCACTATCCCTTCCCACCAAGGTTAACTACTATCTCAACCTTTTATACTATAGATTAGTTTTTTCCACCTCCACTAAATCATGTCATTATATGACTTAGCCCTCAGCCAATAATTAACATTTGACCCAAATTGTGAGAATTAGCCAGGGATGCATAGATAGCTAGGGCCCTCTCTGGTCTCTCTTGAACAGTTTTCTGGACCACCAGTGACATGTGGAATCTTATGAAGACCCACTGAGGCTGACTCATTTCTTGAAAATCCTTTAATTTTTGACTGGTTTACTGGTCTGTTACTTGCCCCAACCAATATTTCAACCTCAGGCTATCTAAGAGCTGACCTTTGACAGCTCTCCCACGCATGGGGCTTTTCTATGCTCTGTTCCAAATCAAGTCAGTTTTCTCCAGTAGAAAAGTTGCTGTTTTTCACAGCTTGCCCTGTGCTCTGTCAAAACTACCAGGCACAGGAACCAGGGAAGGAGAAGAGGAATGGGAAGAACCCCAAGATAAAATGCCTCAGACAACCACAGTTCCTTCCCAGGGTTGAATAGTTTTGCTTTAATAAATGCTTCTCAATTTGCTATATGCCCTTGTTGGGTTCTAGAGTCCTAACAAGGTTGTTTTTGACAGTTCTGTCCAATTTTATTGTTTCTTAAGGAGTTGATTTGCCACATTTCTCACTCTACCATTCTGGAGGTATACCATCCTATAATTTATTTGGACTTTTATAAATCATAGGTAGAATGAATTACTTTCTGAGCTTTGTTGGGTAATTAATTGTATGTTGTTTCCAGCTAATTTTTCTATTGGTTTATAATTTCATGCCAGGTGTAAACATTTTTTCATTAAATGAATAATTTTACAATTTTCAAAGAATTTGGACATAAGTTTAAGCTAATAGTTTTTAAAATATTGTAATTAATGATATGGGAAGTTGTTCTGAATTACATGTAAGTTTCAGTGATCCTAGACCAAATTCTTTTAGATATATGCCACTAAATATATACTAGTATTGTCATTGTAATCTAGTCATTTATTTCTTAGGCATGTCTTGGTGCCTAAATGAAGGACACAGTGATTAAACTTTTTAAGCTCACCTCACACTGGTTATTCAGCTTGGTTGATGTAATATCCAATTGTTGGTATTGTTCCTTTAGTTTTGAAAATTCAGCTTCTAATCTTGTTTGTTCCAGTTTGGAATTATTCAGAAGACTTTTCAAATTTTTATGGTCAGTTTGTAAAACTTCAGTCTCTTTTAAAAGTTGACTATAGGTATGATTCAGCCTATAATTAGAAATCATAGAAATATAATTAGATTATCTTAATAGCTTTTGGTGTAATTTATACAATATGAAATGATATAAATAACATTAAGGCATACTTAGAATAAAAGACTGTTTTACAAGTTACTAAACTTATCAAAAATCAGTTTCTATTCTGTAAAAACTAGATTTTTTAAAATTCTGAGTACCTTTCCCTTGAAAATAATTTTTAATTTCCTTTTTTCATCCACCCATCTCCACACTGGGAAAAGAATTTTTTAGTCTTTAAATATGTTGAAGTATAGGTACTCAAAGTTTCAAGTATTAATAAGAAAGTATTGGCTGGTTATTGATGGTCCATGTCTGTAATCCCAGCATTTTGGGAGGTAGAAGCAGGAGGATCACTTGAGGCCAGGAGTTTGTGAGCAACCGTGGGGATCACAGGAGACCCTATTTCTACAAAAACTAAATATTAAAATAAAAAAATTAAAAATTAGCTAGGCATGGTGGTGTGTGCCAGCAGTTCCAGCTACCTGAGGGGCTAAGGTGGAAGGATTGCTTAAGCATAGTAGTTTGAGGTTGCAGTAAGCTATGATCATGCTACTGAACTTCAGCTTGGGCAAAAGAGTAAGATCCTATCTCTCTCTCTCTTTTTTTTTTGGAGATGGAGTCTTACTCTGTTGCCCAGACTGGAGTGCAGTGGCGCGATCTCGACTCACTGCAACCTTTGCCTCTCAGGTTTAAGCAATTCTCCTGTCTCACCCACCCAAGTAGCTGGGACTACAGGTGCACGCCACCAAGCCTGGCTAATTTTTGTATTTTTAGTAGAGACGAGGTTTCACCATGTTGGTCAGGCTGGTCTCAAACTCCTGACTCAGGTGATCTACCTGCCTCGGCCTCCCAAAGTGCTGGAATTACAGGTGTGAGCCACTGCACCCAGCCTATTCTATTTTTTAAAATTCCGAATTCAAACTATGCTTGGTACTACAAAGGGGCAGTATATAGTTTGGATGTAAGAAATAATACATAATTTTGAAAAAACATATATATACACATATATATGTATATACTTTCTATATAAAATGTTTGTTATATATAATATATATTTATTACCTATCATTTTCACCACAAAGTTTCTTGTATTCTGCAGCTACTGTTTCATGATTTTTATTTTCAAGCAGCATTTTTTCCTGTTCTACTTTGAGCATTTTTTCCAAATCTTCCAACTGTCCTTTCTGTTTTAATAACTGATTGTAACTGGGGGGAAAAAAGGCATTTGGTTTATAATATTTACAAAAAAGAAATTTTAGAAATGAAGGAAATGAGTAATGAGTATCATTTAAAACACATGTAAATTTATATAAATTTCTTATGTAAACTAACATTAGATGTGTTTAATATATAAAATTTATTATACTACTTGAAGAAAATTCATTTTAAATTCACAGTACAACAAAATATAATAAATTACCGGTCTTCAAGGTCTCTATGTTCCACCTCAAGATTTTTGTGGGCAGACTTCAGAGTTCCATGTTTAGAGATAAGAGATTCATACTCTGAAGCCTGACGTTCATGAAGAAGTTCCAGCTTTTCATGATCTTTGATCAGAGAATCATAGAGAGATTTTAGGTCTTCTCGCTCTTTGATTACAGATTCATTTTCATTTTCTAAGGAAGACTGCTGGATTAGGAGTTGGGCATTCTGGTTCATGAGTGAGGTACTTTGGGAATTAAGGGTGGAATTTTCAACCTATAAGAATATATATTGTTATCAGACATAAGAAAAACAGTTCATGTTCTTTTTCAAAATACAAGATTACAATGTTAATTAAAGAAAGCTCTAAATGAATCACAGCACACATATTTACATTATACTGGGAAGACGTGGATTTTAGCTTCCCAAAGAATAAGGCTATCATTTAATTTTGACTTTTGGAAGTGTATATATACATATGTATGTGTGTATATATAGACATATATATGTATTGTATGTTTTGGGTTGAATTTATTTTAAATGAAGGTGATTAGCAACCATTTGTATTATATTACAAATGAAAATGTATAGAATTTGAAGTACTAGTTTATCATTTCTAGAATTTGGTGATAGAAGTTGATAGAAGTGAAAAATTACTTTTAGAAATTTTTCAAGAGTCCAAATTAAATAAGTATTTTCTTTATCAAAGTGTTGATGTTAATCAAAATCAGTGTCAAAGAAAAGGGTTACAGAAAGAAGAATTCTTTGATTCGGAGAGGGAACTTGTTTCTGCTCTTTAAGAGCTTTCAGAGTTGAACTTTTCCCCACCTGATTGTTCTGTTTTAAAAGACACTGGCGGTGTTAAGTGAAAGATGGATCCTTTGAACTTAGGAGAGGTCTAAAGACAAAATTCTCATGTTGTCCTGCTTTTCAGTAACTAAACTGACAAAAAAAAGCTATACAAATGAAATAAGGAATAGTATGCTGCAAGCATACTCTAAAGCAAGGGTTTCTACCTAATTTTTTACAATCGACTTAATGAAATGGTAGAAAGACCATAAATATAATTTATCTTTATTCAGATGTATTGACTGAATTTATTAATATTTAAAATTAAAAACTGATGTGTGAAAATTTGGCATGGCACTAAATAAAAATATTTTCATTTATCTTTAAGTTCATTCACTAAGAAACAATGTTTCCATGTTTACCCTCCCTTATTTTAATAGCATAATTCAAGAGTTTGGTTGCATATTCCCAAAATATTATATTACAACCTGAAGCTTGGCATTCTGTGTTTGAAGAGTGGTATTCTGTTCTTGTAATGACACTGTCTGCCTCTGAAGTGCAAGAATCTGAGCCTGCAAATTATTGTTCTGTGTCTCAAGTTGCTTCAGTTGAGTTTTCAACGCTTGCTTCTCTGCTTGCAGTGTAGCATTCTTGAAAAACAAAAACCAAAACCAAACATATTAACAATAATGGCAACATCAAATATGTTTCTATAGTATACTGAATTTTATACAATGAGTATTTATTAGCATTATAATCCATAAAAGCCCCAACAATCTTAAAAGAGAAAAAAAACCAAAACATTTCCCCCATCCCAAATTGTAAACAGACATTTATCAGAAAGAAGGCAATGATATTAAAACTTTAATATTGTGCCTGTGTCTTGTCTGCATTATAATATCCTAAAAATAAAATATCCCATTCTAAATATATTTATTAACACAAAAACTAGAAAGGAATTGTCAGTTGTATGGTTTTAATACTGCTTGAAGGTTCCCAGAATGCCCAGAATAAATGGGGCTGTGTCCAACCATGGAGGTCTAACTTTTCTAATTTACCCAAAGGCAAATATATACCTAAGTGAGTAGTGGTCCCAGAGATAGTGCAAAACTAAGTATATTCCAAACACAAATATTTCAAAGGGAAGCAGGTTTACAGGAACAATCTTAACCATTTTTTGTTTCCATTTTGCAATCCACAACAGACCTAACGCAGATATTTTCTTATTTTTCCCACAATATAAAATACTAATTAAAATTCTATTTCAACTATAAGACTCCTGGAGCATTTCCAAACAAAACATAAAATTTTCAGTTTTTCCAGTACATAAGGCCATATTTCAATTTTATAGCTAAACAAATGAATTACTATGTGAATCAATGATTATTATATTTTAAAATACTTGTCATTAATATTTTCAGGATTATTTCTAAATTAAACTTCATAAAAAATCAACAACAGCAAAGTATAAACAAAGAACCCTCCAGAAAACAGAAATAAAACTTTAATGTACAAAAGGTCATAATTGGTCTACCCTGCAGTATGCATAAAAAGTTAACAACTGAATCACAATAGATCACTCTTATCATATCTATATGTAAATATAACATTAATTTTATTGGCTTTATGTTATATACACTGCATGTCACTGTGTAAAAGGCAGGTCAGGATTTGACCCACATATTATACCATAAAATTGAAGCTGAGGAAACAAATGCTTTAAGATGCGTTATGATTTTATACTTCTCTTTTGTTCATTTGTTCAAATAGAAAGGATGAAAAAATGTGTACTAGAAAAAATAAAAAGGAATACTGATAGTACTGATGTATTTATATACCATCTCAGCACAAAGAGGTGAACCATTTTTCACATATATATGTGAAATACTATTGTAGTTTAGCACTTTAGAAACTAAATTGTACAAGCTCTACCGATTATTCCAGGTGTCTTTGGGAATAAAAAAAATTCCTATAGTCTATAATGAATAGAAGAGATAGCTGAGAGGGTATCTTAGAGCAGGAAAAAATTTACAAGGGCAAAGAAATAAGTTAGCAAATATAATACTGGCAAACACACAAAAATTACCAGCCTATTATATGGCTAACCGTCTTTATAACCCCATTATCTAAAATATGATATGAAGTAATTTTTTTCCAATGAGAATTTATAAAGGAAGTCTACAAGAAAAAAAGATTCACCTTACAGAACTTTATATGCCAGCTCAATTTTCTAAAATGTAATTATGAATCCAAGCAATATAGGTATATATATCACTGATTAAAAATAGGCATTTATAAATGGCCAATAAATATATGAAAGATGTGTAATACCTAACTCATAATTTTAAATGTGCACATGAAAATATTTTCTCCTATTGCTTTAAGAAAAATTAAAGCACTAGGTACTATCCAATGTTAATATGGAAAGATAGGTATACTCTCTTAGTGGGACTGAAAATTGATGTGATTTTTAGGTTGGGTGTGGTGACTCACACCTGCAATCCCAGCACTTCAGGAGGCTGAAGAGAGCAGATCACTTGCGGCCAGGAGTTCGAGACCAGTCTGGGCAACATAGTGAGACCCCATCTCTACAAAAAATACAAAAATTCGCTGGGTGTGGTGGTGTGCACCTGTGCTCCCAGCTAGTTGGGAGGCTGAGGCAAGAGGATCACTTGAGCCTGGGAGGATGAGGCTTCAGTGAGCTATGATCTCGCCACTGCATTCCAGCCTGGGAGATGAGTGAGACCCTGTCTCAGAGAAGAAAAAAAAAAAAAAAAAGATAATAGATGGGATTTTTAAAGACTAGTAGAAAAAATCAATTAAATACACACACACACACGTATATATCCTTTGGCCTTGCAATTTCACTGTCAGGAATTTAGCATTCTATGAACATGTTTAAAAATAACCTAAATGGGTGGGGCGCGGTGGCTCATGCCTGTAATCCCAGCACTTTGGGATGCCAAGGTGGGCGGATCATGAGGTCAGGAGATTGAGACCATCCTGACAAGCATGGTGAAAACTGTCTCTACTAAAAATACAAAAAATTAGCCAGGCGTGGTGGCAGGCGCCTGTAGTCCCAGCTACTCGGGAGGCTGAGGCAGGAGAATGGGGTGAACCTGGGAGGCAGAGCTGGCAGTGAGCCGAGATCACGCCACTGCATTCAATTCCTGGGCGACAAAGTGAGACTCCGTCTCAAAAAAAAACCAAAAAAACCTAAATGTCCAGAAATGTGAGATTTATTTAAGTAAATTATGGTAACATTCACACTATGGAATAATAGGTAGTCATTAAAATGAAATACATATACATCTGCTAAAATTGAGACATCTCCAATATAATATTAACTGAAAATGCAAATAGGAATTTTGTATAGCATGATCCCACAGGTATAAATTTGTTAAAGAAATATACTTCTACATACAGATAAATGACAAGAAAATTTTCTAGGAAGATAAACTGTTTATAGTGATTCTTTTTGAATGAGAAAGTAGAAATCATGGTGTGGGGATTAATTTTTGGTTTTATTGCTTAGTTTTTAATTAAAGGTACTATTTTTGTGTTAAATTAAAAAAAAAAAAACCACCACCACAACTATTTTACTTGTTATTGTGTAAGTTCCTTAAGTTTATTCATCTTTTGAAGGGTAAGTATTTGTTGTTCAGTTTGTTTGCTTGTTGTTTACTGTCAAGTATATATTGAACTAATTTAGCAAATATTTGTTAAGTGTCTACTACCTACCAGGCACTATTCTAGATAGTAAAGGCACGGTGGTAATAAAAAGAAAGACGAATTACCTGCTTTCATAAATGAATACAAAATTTAATTTCACTGTGAAAAGTGCTATGAAAAAACTAAAGCAGTGGAACAATAGTGAATAGTTTAAGTCAGGAATAACAACTTTACTGGGGGAAGAAGTCAGAGAAGACCTTCTGCAGGACATATGATATGCTACCCAAATGCTGAGGGAAGCCAGTCATATGTTCCAGGCAGGAGAAGCAAAAAGAAAGTCCCCTTAGGTAGGAACAAATAGAAAAAGGACTATATGACTAGAATTTTCTTATTAAGTGCCATCAATTGTTTAAATATTAGAAAATGTATCTAAGATAAATATATCCAGTGATCCTCTATTTCTAAAAAAAACTATTTCTACTAAAATTTAAAAATACTTACATTTCTTTCTACTTCAATTAATCTGTCTTTAACTTTCAGAAGTTCTCTAGTCGTTTCTTGACTTTCTCGCTCCCATTTGTTGTCTTCACCAGATATTGGAGGAGAGCTCTGTACCATCCTTTCCTCATCTTGTCTCTGTTTGAGAGCTTCATAATTTTTTTTCACCTAAAATTTTATTTAAAATATTTTAATGGGGAGAAAAAAATCACCACAGTTACATTTCTCTCAATTAATTTGACTCTGGGCTGATCTGGTGAATACGAAAGGCAATTTACTTTTAAATGTGATGAATAATATGTATGATTTATGCTTTTTAAAATGTAAATCCTTTCCTCCTAGAAATATAAAACATACTCTACTTATGTGCCAGAGTAATAGTCATGTCAAATCCTATCGTTTGTCGTGCAAATGCCCCTGGATTAACAGTGGATATAGATATGTTGCTAATGACTAACAATTCTTTTTACAGCTATCTATAACCAGGTTAGAAATTTCACAGAGATGCCTACGTAAAGCACAAAGATTTGACACTTTATTAATTTTAAGGATATATCGTATTCAGGATTTTTTAGTTCTGAGTTGGCTCTCTTAAAGTAGATTACAATCACACTAGAAAATCCTGGATAAGATATATCCTTGGATTGCTATTAACTTGCTCATCATACATGACCAAATTTGCCAGATTTAACTTAATAACTCTTTCTCTTCAACTTAAATTTAATATTACTATTCTTATCTTGAATTATTAAACTATCTTGAAGCACTAGTTTACCCTAGGAGATTCTTATAATAAATTTTAAGTTAACCCCAACCTTTGTATTAAGGCAGGGATAGAAATGTTTTATAGTTCAACATCTAATGTACAACTTAAGAAAGCCTATGACTCAACAATTAATATTGCTACCAATGAGTTAGAAAATAATGAGGTGAGACTAAAAAGATGCCAAGATAGAATGTAATGTCAAGTTTCTCAAGAAATCTAAGGGGTACCCTATGATCCTAGTTTCCGGGTTTTGTTTGTTTTGTTTTTACTTTTAACACACTAATAACAATAGATGAGTGGCATCATTTCTAGTCTCTATTTTACATGAATTTCCCATGAGGTCCTTATTCTAGGCTTAGAAAGGCTATAAATATATGCAGTTATTAAGAAAGGGGAGCTGAGAATAAAACTCGAATCCTTTCATTTTATATATTTTTTTGAGACATAGTCTCACTCTGTCACCCAGGCTGGAGTGCAGTGATGCGATCTTGGCACCCTGCAACCTCCGCCACCCAGGTTCAAACCATTCTCCTGCCTCAGTCTCCCGAGTAGCTGGGATTACAGGTGTGTGCCACCATGCCTGGCTAAGTTTTGTATTTTTAGTAGAGACGAGGTTTCACCATGTTGCCCATGCTGGTCTCGAACTCCTGACCTCAAGCTATCCACCCACCTTGGCCTCCCAAAGTGCTGGGATTACAGGCGTTGAGCCACTGCGCCCAGCCGAAGGCTTCTCATTTTAAACCCATTGTTCTTTCAAGTAAGTATTAAAAATGATTACTTTATGTATCATTAATCAAAATCTTTATATTCAGAGTCTAAAGATAAATCACTGTAACAAAGTAATTTAGAGCTAATTAAAAAATTGTCAAAGTTTAATTAAAATTTAAAATATTGTAAATTATGTTATGAATTCAAATTTTCAAGTTCCCAAAGATAATGTCATCTTTAAAAACAGAGTTATAATTTGCATGAAGTTGCTAATGTACAGATTTTAAGTGTAATTCGGTAGTTTTGAGAATGGCAAACACCTATATAACCCATATATCAACATGACAGAACACTTCCATCACTCTAGAAAGATCACTGCACTAAGCAACCACTGTTTTCATTTCTTTCACAAAAATTCTGCTTATACTAAAATTTCACACAAATATGATCACAGTATATATAATCTGTGTGTATGTGTGTGTGTTTCTGAGTATATTTCTAAGCTTTAACCATGTGTTGAGTGCATCAGTAATTTTTTTCTTTTGGTCATTATATCCAGTTTTTATGATGATGAATGAAGTTGTTATAAAAATTCATTTATCTATGTTTTCATTTTCCTTGAGTAAAGAGAAGTAGCATTATCACCTTCTTTTTCTTTTTTTTTTGAGATGGAGTCTCGCTCTGTCGCCCAGGCTGGAGTGCAGTGGTGCAATTTCAGTTCACCACAACCTCCACCTCCTGGGTTCAAGTGATTCTCGTGGCTCAGTCTCCTGAGTAGCTGGGACTACAGGTGTGCGCCACCACGCCCAGCTAATTTTTGTATTTTTAGTAGAGACAGCATTTCACCATGTTGGCCAGGCTCGTCTTGAACTCCTGGCCTCAAGTGATACACCTGCCTCAGCCTCCCAAAGTGCTGGGATTACAGGCAAGAGCTACCATGCCTGGCCATGGGCCAGGACTTTTTGAGATACTGCCATACTGCCTGCTAAATTAGTTATAACACCTTATATTTGCATCAGTATGCATGACAGTTCCAGTTGCTCCCAATTTGCACCAATATTTGATCAATATTTCCATATAAATTTTAGAATCATCTCGTTAATCTGCCTGTTGGGATTTTAATTGGGATTATGTTGAATCAAGAGATCAATCTGGGGAAATCTGCCATTTTAACAATATTGAGTCTTCTAATTCATGAACATGGTTCTTATCTCCATTTACTGAGGTATTTCCTTTGGTGTTTCTAGTACAGAGTTCTTGCACACATTTCCTTAAATTCATCCATAAGTATTTCATAGTATTATAAATGGTGTTTTTTAATTTCATTTTTCAATCTTTCATTGCTAATGTAGAGAAATAAAATAGGTTTTTATATATTGACTTTTATCCTGTGACATTGATTAGTTCACCTTAGCTGTAGAGATTTTTCTGTGAATTCCTCAGGGTTTTCTGTAAATATAGTCATGTCACAGGTGAAGAAAGACATTTTTACTTCTTCCTTTCAAATCTGTATGCCTTTCATTTCTTCTTATCTTAGTATACTGGTTAGGATCACCAGTACAGCATTTAATAGAAACAGTGAGAGCAAAATCTTTGTATTCTTCCTGATTAAAGGGGGAAAGTGATTAGTCTATAGGCTGTTTATAGAAGCCCTTTATCTGGTAGATGAAGTTCTTTCTACTTATTCTCCAATTATTGAGAGATGAGTATTGAACTCTCTTACTGTAATTGTGGATTTTTCTCCATGTAGTTCTACAGATATTTGCTTCATGTATTTTGCAGCTCTGTTACTAGGTGTATCTCTGTTATTAGGTGCATAAACATTTAACCTTGTTATCTTTGTGCTGGAATGACCCCTTTATAATTATGCAATGAACTACTTAGCTCTGATGCTATTTACTGCACTAAAATTTACTTTGTCTAACATTAATATAGCCAATCTAGCAATTTTTTGATGAGTGCTGGAATGATATATCATTTTCCATCAAGATTTCTGATAGGTAGCATATAGATGGGTCTTATCTTTTTGTCTAATTTATTAATCTCTGTCTTTTAACTGGGGTGTTTAGACCTTTTATATCTAATATAGTTATTGCCATACTTTGGTTTAAAACTGCCATCTTACTATTTGTTTTCTATTTGTCCAATCTGTACTTTCTTCCCTGTTTCTTCTTTTTTTTTTTGCCTTTTGGATTTTTTTAAGAGACAGGATCTCCCTATGTTGCCCAGGCTGGTCTCAAACCCCTGCGCTCAAGCGAACTTGCCGACCTCAGCCTTCCAAAGTGCTGGGATTACAGAGATAAGCCACTGTGCCTAGCCTGGATTTATTTTTTTATGAGTCCATTTTATCTCCCTTTTTTGGTCATATTACCTATACCTCTTTGTCATACTAATTTAGTGGTTACTTTAACCCTTATACTATTCGTATTTAACTTTCACAGTCTACCTTAAAGTGAATACCTCTTCACATATAGTATTAAAAGTTTATAACAATATAAATTCAGTTGAATACATAGCAGGAAGCTAGTCCATAACAGTTATGTCCAAATAGCTGAAAGTGGAAGTCAATGATGGCTTTTTTTGAGACAGGGTCTCACTCTGTCACCCAGACTGGAGTGCAGTGGCAGGATGTCAGCTCACTGCAACCTCTACCTCCTGGATTCAAGCGATTCTCCTGCCTCAGCCTCCTGGGTAGCTGGCTGGGATTACAGGTGCCCGCCACCACGCCTGGCTGGCTAATTTTTGTATTTTTAGTAGAGACAGGGTTTCACCATGTCAGCAAGGCTGGTCTTGAACTCCCAACCTAAAAAGATCTGCCTGCCTCGGCCTCCCAAAGTGCTGGGATTACAGGCGTGAGCCACCGCACCCAGCCTAATGATGGCATTTTAAATATCTACTTGAAACACACGTATGCAACTCACACCCAAACCCACTAATTTTCTGGTTGAGTAGCTTCATGAAATTGATTTTATTTGCAACTCAGTGATACTGCTAATGGGGTAAAAAATTCAGGACAACAAGCAGGTTAATGTGTTTTTTTTGTTTTGTTTTGTTTTGTTCTTAATAATCCCTTTAGTTAACCAGACACAGTTCTAAAATTTATTCTCTGGCTCTGAGAATGTCTGGATGAAAAATAAGTAAAACTTATTCTGTAACAATGTATGTTCGATGGCAATGTCTGTGACAAATAGCAGCAATAATGGTGTCAGCAAATAGTGGAAAAAAACTGGAACATTCTATGTTACTAGATAATATTGCTTATTGAAAAAAATGACTATTTAGGAGAACTTTAAAGACCAATAGACAGCCCTATCTCTGAACTTCTCTGAGTACAGCAACTCTCATAATTGATTGGTATGTGCACTGTGGGAATCGTAAATCCATACCTTTGGAGTTGCTGCAAGAGGTAATGACTGCTATGAGTATACGGATTCAAAGCCAGGAAAGCTCCCGCACACACCCAGTGTGAATCTCATCTTATACCAAAACCATCTGGTGGGAAGATGATTCTCAGACAACTACGTGAAGAGGATGGACTGACACTGCCCTGCTATCTATTTGTATTTCTTATAGTGTTCTGAGTACAGCGATTCTAAATGTAGCCTACAGTAATCTTATCAGTCTAAGTGTTTAGTTAACCTTGAGACCACTCCTGGTGGCACTGCAGAGATGATAAAAGGGTGAATAAACCAGAACATGACTCTACCAATCTACCATCTACTAGCCCTGTGGAATGGGAAAGTCCCTTATATTTTGATTTACTTCCTTAGGGAAAATAAACAGTTGCCTCTGCCTTGCTTACTTACTTCACTGAATACTTTCAAATATCACAAGGAAAACAGATCTAGAAAAGACATCAAATTTATGAGATCAGGTGCTGTCTTATATAACACACATATGATTTTCCTCTAACTTGGTATACTCACACTCATATTTTGCTTAGCAGAATTTCCCCTGGATCCTCGATAGGAAAGAGTGACAGAGTGAAATGTCAGTATCACAATGAGAGCTTTTCCCAATAAAATAAGCCTGCCTCTTCCTCATTCCACCCACACACTTCTGATATATCCCTAACAGCAGGCAGGAATATTACACACATGAAATAGCACTGAATAAGCTATACCATATTCATATGACAGAGATCTGTTTAAGAATATTCTCAAGTTTATGAAAAAGGAAGAAATAGACTAAATATCAATAAAATGTTTATATTTTTATTTTCTACTTTATATTTTTCTGTCCAAATATTTATATAATAAATGATCCTTAAAATTCTTTCCAAGAAAATCACTTACTGTTTTAAGTTCTTGGCGCAATTGCTGGTTATAATTCGTGGATTCTTCTAATCGAGCTTCTAAAGCAGCAATTTTTTCTTCTTTTATTTCAAGAGACTTCTTAAGAGTGGATTCTAATTTTGATTCCAAAAGTTTATACCTACTATCCAAGTACAAAGTAATGTAGTTCATTATTGGAGGTCAGAAAATTATTTTTAAAGATAATTTATGACCACAAATATTCATGCCATAAATGGGTCTTATAAAAGCATTTTTGTTAAAGAGGCAAATGAAATTATCCTCTTCTTACTGCCCCATTCTCCCTTTAAAACTAATCCTGGTAATGAAGCAACAAAATCATTGAGTGAACAGAGCTCCGGATTATGGCTTAGATTATCAAAAGCAATAATTAATTCTCAAGGAACCCGGAAGACCAAAGTCCCAAAATATCCTTTTTATTAATGAAGACTCCTTTGTTTTGTTTTGTTTTGTTTTGTTTTGTTTTGTTTTGTTTTGAGATGGAGTTTTGCTCTTGTAGCCCAGGCTGGAGTGCAATGGCATAATCTCGGCTCACCGCAACCTCCGCTTCCCGTGTTCAAGCGATTCTCCTGCCTCAGCCTCCCTAGTAGCTGGGATTACAGGCATGTGCCACCACGCCCAGCTAATTTTGTATTTTTAGTAGAGATGGGGTTTCACCATGTTGATCAGGCTGGTCTCGAACTCCCGACCTCAGGTGATCCACCCACCTCGGCCTCCCAAAGTGCTGGGATTACAGACATGAGCCACCGCGCCCGGCAATGAAGACTCCTTATCTCAGGGTACAGAGTAGTTACAGTAAAAAAAATGACATACTTATGGCACAGGATACTCGTGACAGAGTGGCAAGAGGGTGATGGATGTGACTGTCAGTATTGCAATTATCTTTCTGAATGGTAGATAAATGAATAATTATTAATAAATACTTTTTTCACAAAAAGGATGGTATATGAACACAATTCAGTGTATCATAAACCACTATTTATGATCCATTTCTTAAACCTGAAGACCCTGAAGACAACACTAAATAAAAACCTAAAGTATGTATATGAGAGTTTCACCACATTCTTTTACTGGAATTAATTTTTATGTAAATATTTTCTTCTCAATCAGATTTTAATGTCATTGAATACAGAGAACAAATCTCATTCACTTTGGTATCGGCTGGAGTCAACAAACATTTAAAAATCATTTACTGCGTCTGATTTTGGGTATGTTGAATTGGTGACGTCTGAGTTGCTTCTGGTCTATCCTGATAGAAACATACAGTAAACAGAGAAAAAAAAGGATCTCAGGTGAGATGATGTATGGGAATGCTCAGCATACAGAATGAATGGATAAGAGGCCTGAAAACATAATCCTGTAAACAACCATATTGAAAGAGAAGACAGAAGACATCAAACAGGTATTAAAAGAGAAAAGACAAGAGTGATCACCTCTGTTTACAACTCTACCACTTTATTTATTTAGAGACAGAGTCTCACTCTGTTGCCCAGGCTGGAGTGCAGTGGCGCAATCTCAGCTCACTGCAATCTCTGCCTCTCAGGCTCAAGTGATTCTTGTTTCTCGGCCTCCTGAGTAGCTGGGATTACAGGTGTGCACCACCACGCCTGGCTAATTTTTTGTATTTGTAGTAGAGACAGGGTTTCACCATGATGGCCAGGCTGGTCTTGAACTCCTGACCTCAAGTGATCCGCCTGCCTCAGCCTCCCAAAGTGCCGGGATTACAGGCATGAGCCACCGTGCCCGGCCTACTAAATTTATTTCGTTGCTTTTAAATTTATTTACTTATACATTCGATTCCAAAACTATATATTCCTTGATGGCAAGAATAAGTATCTTAATAATAATTGTACCTTCAAATAAATTCAGAGAGAATAACATGAATTAGAAAGATGGGACAGTTAGGCCGGGCACGGTGGCTCATGTCTGTAATACCAGCACTTTCAGAGGACAAGGTGGGTGGATCCTGGGGTCAGGAGTTCGAGACCAGCCTGGCCAGTAAAAATACAAAATTAGCCAGGCATGGTGGTGCGTGCCTGTAATCCCAGCTACTTGGGAGGCTCAGGCAGGAGAATCACTTGAACCTCGGAGGCGGAGGTTGCAGTGAGCCGAGATTGTGCCACTGCACTCCAACCTGGGTGACAAGAGCAAAACTCCGACTCAAAAAAAAGAAAGACGGGAAACTTAGATTAATAGGAATTAGGGGCATCATTTGAGACTGATATACATAAATCCCAAGGTGGAGGGAATGGCACATTAAAGGAATTTATGTCTGTGAGTTTCTGGGTTTTTTTTGTGACATAAAGACTAACTTCCTGGCTGAGAAAGAAGCTAGTTTAGTAGTTCAAGCCACTTTCTATTTCCAAAAAGCTTTAGTTCAACATATACCCTTATCTCCATGCCTAATTCATTATGTAAATAAATATGTGGAAATAATGAATGGCATCACATGTTGCCTAGACTATTATAATCACTTCCTATCCTGTCTCTGTGCTTCCAAATTCATCCTTTTTGTAATCCATCTTTCATATACTCTAAAAATTGCTCAGCATACTTTTGTGCTTTTATACAAATGCTTTTGTCTACATGGAATGCCCTTTCCCACTGTTCCCACCTTGTAAACCTCTGTCATTTTTTAAGATTCAGTTGAAACATTATTACTACTTTGATGCTAGATGATCAGCAGATAAGAAGAGCTCAATTAACATTGGCTAACTGTATGAATTAAGGTTTGGGAAGAGGAGGCAAACTGTATGAAGGGTCCACCCAGAGCTGGGTTCATAAATTTATAATAGGGTCAAGTAGCACTACAGGGTGTATTCTACTTTTTCTTTTGCAAACAACATGCAGTACAGTGTCTTACATATAGTAGGTAATAAATCTGTTTGAATAAAGAGGGGATGCATATTCAGTATCTATATTAAAAGACAGTCAACGAAATCTGCACTTATCTGATTAACTCAAATAAAAATATTTCCTCATGAAATATCTGTACAATTAATTCAATAATCATTGCTTGACTTGAACTGATTGCTAGAATAAATGCCTCAAATTATATCTTTTTGTTATTACACAACTAACTTTTTAAGTGTCAATCTATCCTATTTACTTTGAACATTCTGAAAATTACATGAACAAATCCTATGTAATCACCATTAATTCTCCCAATATACATTTAATACAGAATATAAATACTGGAACAGTAATAATGAGTAGATAAAATATAAATTATATAATTACAAAAACTGAATGAAAATCTAGTCTACATAAAATAATATTCTTAACAATATACAACTTCTATTCCAGCTGGATTCATGGAGCTGACTGGATGCTAAATAATAGACTTGAAAATCAGATTAACTCTGTTTGATAGATTGTAATTACCATGAGAGAATACATATTTTTTTAAACCTATATTGATCATTTTTAAAATTAAAAGGCATAGAAGTTAATTTTTTATCCAGCTTTTAAGGCTTTAGTTTTCCACATTATTTTTATACCTCAGTTGCTTTTCTTTTCCTTTGTTTCATACTTTTCCTCCATTTATCTTTAAGTCAACATTTTGGCAAATAAAGAACAGAGATATTTAAGCACATGATTCAAATAAAAAATAACTTGCTTATTTTTGTTTGTTGTTAATGTCTTATTCTGTTTTTACAGTCAATTATAGCCTCTGATCTTCTGCTACCTGGGTGGCATCCTGTTTTCCTATTTTATAACTGTATTTATATAGTAACATTTTAGTTTTTTGTTTTCTTATATCTATATTAGATTGTCTATGATTCCTCTTTTCTCCTTACAGAACTTTCTTTTTTTTTCTTTTTGAGATGGAGTTTCGCTCTTGTTGCCCAGGCTGGAGTGCAACGGCACGATCTCAGCTCACCGCAACCTCAGCCTCCCAAGTTCAAGCAATTCTCCTGCCTCAGCGTCCTGAGTAGCTGGAATTACAGGCATGCACCACCATGCCCAGCTAATTTTTTTTGTATTTTTAGTAAAGACAGGGTTTCCCCATGTTGGTCAGGCTGATCTCGAACTCCCGACCTCAGGTGATCCGCCCGCTTCAGCCTCCCAAAGTGCTGGGATTATAGGTGTGAGCCACCGCACCCGGCTACAGAACTTTCCTTAAGGGAAGGAAGGAACCAGAAATAGGGTGAAATATATAAATGTTTTCTATAGCTAGTACAGAAAGAATTCATGTATGAGCAAAAAAAAAAAAAAATTTTCAACTGTTTGCCAAGTAGACTTAGTACTCACCTGTCATCAGTACTTTGTTCATCATGTAAGAGTCGCTCCTTATTTAACCCTATCTTCTCAAGCTCATGAGTTAATTTTTCGAGATCATTGTTCATCTGTTGGGTCTTCAACTTTTCACTCACCAAATCCTTATTTTAAAAGAAATGCAAAACTCACCTAAGTGTCAAGGGTATAAACATCTAAGAAAGTCAGCTAAGATTCTAATTACCACCATCTAGGAATACATGTAATTTGAACCAGGAAATGTCATTAAACCATTCCTTCATTATTAAAATGTAGTTAAAGTTATAACCTAGTTGAAATAACTTTTTTCCTTTTTTTTGCTAATACTTTAAACAAAACCTTAAAAGGGAGTAGTAACTCTTTACTTGTGAATACACATTTAGGTTTGAAAACTGGGGAAAATCATATCCATTTACTTTTTAATAATGAGCCTGAACTTTAGTGCACATTTCTTCTTATAAATATATGTTGACTATAATACTTCTCTCCCACAAGATCCCTTCTCCCAGTGAAAGAGGCCCTATGATACTGATCTGAAGAACTAGAGGATGTTCTTAGAAGTTTAGGCACAAGGAACTTGTTGTTCATGTTTATAAGTCTACAGAAGAAAAAAATAAAAGGTCCCTCTCAATGCTTCTTTAGCAGAAATGCAGACTGCCCAATGTGACCTTCTGCCAGAATGCTAATATACTTTTAAATTGAACTTAAAGGGTTATCACATATTATAATGCTTAGAGATGGGAAAAAAAGAGCCAAACATATACCTTCTGACTTGCATCAACCATGTTTCACAGGACATACTGCCAATTTACTCCTGTAAGTTTCAGAATTCTTCTTGATACATAGATTCAAGCAAATACTAGTTGCTCAGTGTTGAATGGTTGAACCTGATTTGCATTCTCTGGCTTTGAGGTCAAAATTCATGGGGCTTTGGAGTCTGAAAAATCTGGATTTGAATCCAGTAATCCAACTCTGCTATTTATTAGCTGTGTGATCCTAATTTATTTAATGTTTCTGAACCTCAGTTTTCTCATCTAAAAAATGGATATAATACTTATAAAGGATTAGTTGTAAAGATTATGTGCATGTATATATGTGTGTATATATATTTGGGTGTGTGTGTATATATTATTTATGTATATACAACTTATATGAAGTTTTTAGCCCAGTACTTGGCACACAGCACTCAATAAATAGTAGCTATCATGCTTCTTTATTATACTTAGAATTTAGTGTCTTGATCAAACATTATTATATTGAAATAAAGGTTTAAAATTATAATGTAATAAGTCAGATACCACTAGGAAACTTTATTACTACAAATTCTTTTAAAAATACAATTTATAGGTATTTCTTAGTTTAACAAAGTAGGAAACTTGGAAGCTATTTCTAGTTCTAATTCCAAAATTCTACTGAACCATAAAATAAATGATGCAAATTACTGATAGATTCCAATAAAACTTAAAGAAACCTTGAGTTAAAAATATAAAAAAAAATTTGCCTTAATTTAGGTAAACATATTTACCTCACGTAGTGTAACCAACGTTTTTATATCAATAGTTGCTCTTTTCACAAGCTCCTTATTTTCTTTTTCTAGTTCTTTCAGACGGACACAAGATTCTTTATATATACCAATTTCTTTGGATAGGGTTTTGTTTTCTTTTTCCAAATTTCCAATCTTCACATTATTTTCTTCTAATGTGGTATCTTTAATTTCTGCTTGTTGTCGGAGTCTCTTATTTTCCTTCTCCAATTGTTTCTTATCCTTTTCCAGTTGAGAAGTCTCTTGCTCTAATGATTTATTTTCTTTTTCCAGCTGTTCTAGTCTTTTGCTAGATATTTTTAGTTCTTCTAGGTTTTTCTGCAATGTTTGATTTTCCATCTCTAAGTCTTGTAGTTCACTCTCTAATTGCTGGATTTTTTTATTGCTGTTCTCTAAAGTTTTTTGCAGTCTTTGATTTTCTATATCTAAACCCTGGTAGCTAACTTCTAAGCGTTCTGTTTTCTTGAAAGATGCTTTCAGGAGCTCCAAACCCTTCTTAAGTTGCTCTTTTTCACTTTCCAGTTCTTTGTTTTCTAGCTGTAGCTGAGCCATTTTCATGCTTGCACACTTCAAAGATTCTACATTCCTTCGCAGTTCTAAGTTTTCCTCATCAAGTTGGGAATTCTCTTTTTCTAGGGATTCTAACTGAAAGGTCAGATTTTTAAAGCTATCCAATGTTTTTTTTAATTTTCTATTTTCTCTTTCTAGCTCTGAATTTTCTTGTTCTAAGGCCTCAATTTTTTCACAAGTAATTTTTAAATTAGTTATTTTTTTCTGTAATAATTCATTTTCTTTTTCAAGATGATGCAATTCATTTTCAAGTTCTTCAGCTCGTTCTCCTTTTTCTTTATAATGTTCCAATTCTTTTTTAATTTGTCTTTTTTCAAATTCAATCTTGCTTAGCTTGCTACTTGTTTCTTTGATAGATTCATGAAGAATTTTGTTTTCTTTTTCAATGTCTTTCACTCTTGCTTCTGCACTTATCTGGGACCGCTGCCTTAAGGAAGACACTGTTTGATTCAGATGTTCATTTTCCTGTTCCAGTATCTTAATCTAATTTGAAAAGAAAATAATTAAAAGCTGTAATTGAGGAAAAACTAACTATGGTTTATCTCTTCCAAAAACTACCAAGAAAAGGGGAACAAAAAAAGGGTGCTAGAACATGTCTTACTTTTAATTCTGACAAGTATTTACTGAAGACCACTGTGTACACTTACTGTGAGGTCATTTACTGAAGACCACTGTGTACACTTACTGTGAGGTCATTAAAGTTCATGTTTTTAGGAAGTTCACAGTTTAAAGGAACGGTTGAGAAATGTATTTTCTATTAATCATAATGGTCTTCAGATTATTTACAGTTACATGCTTCAAATTCAAATAGGAATACAGGTAACACACACACATACCTCCTTGAGAACATAAGGTTCTACTTTTACTAAGTAACCTTTGCAATGCCTACAGTGGGTCCTCAGTAAATATGTGCTGTATTACATGTGTATATATGGGTTTGTATGTGTGTGTATTCATTCCCAAAAAGAATTCTAAGTAGGAAGCATCAAAATCACAAAAATCACTGGGTACATTTGGGAACTAATTCATCCAATTTATAGCGTGATCTAATACAATGATTCTCAAAATTTAGTGTGTTAAATAATCTCAACAAGCTTGGAAAAATGAAGATTGAAGCTTAGTCTAGAATTTTGGTTCTGTATCTCTAAAGAAACCTTCATTTTTATGGCTGGTCTGAGGACTGTACCTGGATGATATAAACAAATAATTTAACTTCTAAAAAAATTAATGCTCAAGCATGGTGGCTGGCACCTATAATCCTAGCACTTCGGGAGGCTGAGGCAGGAATATCACTTCAGCTCAGGGGTTTGAGACCAGCCTGGGGAGCATAGTGATACTTTGTCTCTACCAAAAAATAAAAAAAAAAATTAAAAAATTATCTGGGCATGGTGGTGCATGCCTGTAGTCCCAGCTAAGGTGAAAGGATTGCTTGAGCCTAGGTGTTCGAGGTTGCAGTAAGCTATGATTGTGCCACTGCACTCCAGCATGAGTGACAGAGCTGGACCCTGTCTCAAATAAATAAATATTTCAAAAATAAGTCAATTAATCTATGCAGTTCTCAGTTTCCTCAAACATAAAATGAGAATGAACATTAAAGAGCTGAAAACAAATTTGGTAATATCCAAGACAGTGTGGTTGCCACCACATTTCTCCCTCTTTGGTAGGTCAGAGGACAGCTCCATTTCCTGGCCAACTCCACTCAGGGACTCTAGAATCGGCAGCCCTATTCCACAGACACTTGAAAGCACAAGTACTGCAAATGCTTATACTAGATGATTATTAAGCACAATGGTAGTTTAAAAAACTCTAAGCTTTCTCTTCAACTTTCCTAAGACACATAGGTTAGAAAATGAGGTAAAATTATAATTACTTTAAAATAAAAAAATTCTAAAATATTTCCCTTTAATGTTTATATGAACATTTTGTTTGCATATATTTTAAATAACTTTTGCTAATAAATTTTAAAATACATTGTTTACTTAGTAAAAAATGTATGAACCTGTCTCTCTGAATTTTCTCTCAGTGTTTCTATTGTTTTTTCAAGCTGAGCTTTCTCCTTCATTAGATCCTTGCTTAAATTCTGACAATTCTGAAGACTTTGCTTTTCTTGAACAATCTCATTTTCAAGAATCTCAACCTAGAGAAAATTAAATCACAAAACAATACGTTAAATATTCTGTAACAGTGAAAACATGTCAAAACAAAACATAATCGCTGAATAAAGGATAAAATAGTGTTAATATCCAAATGCTAAAATTTAAGAAATTAGTATAGAAATTCAAGTAGCATTCCATGCTAATTTCTGTAGCTGTATAAAATATGCAGACATGATTTCTTATCCTTGTGCATCTTTTGGGGTAAATTTCACTTTCTAAACACAAAGACAAATCCAGCTCAATAAATGATAATATGCTATATGAGAACTATACAAACTTTATTTAAAGATTCACTTGGCTTGAGTGGATTTGTAAAGTAAAATTTTACTTATACTCAGAGAATTTCAGTGAGCAAGAAGGCAGGAGAAGATATAAAAAGCATGAAGGAAAAGATGATAAACAGTACAGTATAAGCTTAATGAAAAAAGAAAGGACTTCCTTTAAGATAAAAAAGGAGAAAAATACTACCATAAAAAAGGGCTAATATTTATATTTTAGGTTCAAATTTCTTTTCAATTACGCATTTTAGAGATGAAAAATACTGGTAGTTAATATGTACAAAATAGCAAATTAAAGTTAAAAATATGCTAAGACTATTGATTTTCCCATTATCATATAACATATTCAAACCAGGCAATTTAAAAAATCAAGAAGACTTTATAAAACATTCTACTGCAAGTTAAATGTTAAATTCTTATGTCAATAATGAAGCACTCTAAAGCAATTTTAATTTTTCTATTTTAACATTAATGGAAATAACTACACACAGAAACAATCTTCCAATAATATTTCCAGCCTGGGCAACACAGTGAAACGATGTCTCTACCAAAAACAAAACAAAAAACAAAAAAACTTAGCCAGGCATGGTGGCCTGTGCCTGTAGTCCTAGCTACTTGAGAGGCTGAGGTGGGAGGACTGCTTAAGCCTGAGAAGCAGAGGTTGCAGTGAGCTGAGATCGCACCACTGCACTCCAGCCTGGGTGATATAGTGAGACCCTAGCTCGAAATACTACTACCAATAATAATGATGATAATAATAATAATAATATGAAAAGCATCAGGTCAAAAAACTTATCCAATAACTCAATTCAACATTAATTTACAGTTCAGGAAGCTTTCAGCTGTGAATAATTAATCAGGTTCTCACATTACATAGATGGAAATATAAGAATAACAATTATTGAAACTCATTTGTTGTTTTGTATCAATGGGATTAAAGTGAAACATTCAGTTTATAAAAAAATCATTTTTACAATTAATCAAAAATTGCTTGAATCACTAAGAATTTACATATTAAACTTCAAAGCTAATTTCAAAAAGAAACTGTACTCTACAGGCCCAATTTTAATGACAACCAAAATAAAACTGTTCTAAATTCTAAATGGTCATCCTACTTTAACACTATATTGTCAAACGCTTATTAAGATTATTTAGTTAATGGACTGAAGACAATGTAAAAACATTTTTAAACAGTAAAAATCTTACAAGAATACTAAGGAGCCTCTGAATAATCTAAAGCAGTGGTTCTCAAAGCATGATTCCAGGACAGCAGGATGAGCATCACTTAGGAACTTCTTAGAAACAATTCTTAATCATGCATGTTTTTATGATGGGATTCTATTTATGTAGAATTATGTGTGCAGAAAGATATGCAAAAATAAAACACTTGTTCTTGCACAACTGAATATTTCTGTTCAACCAGAGTCTGATTAAGATTCAGGTTTCATAATGCCTAAATTGTGGTCTCTAAATATCATTTCCCACTAAAAGGAATAAGGGCTAATTTCAGAGAAATGGCTGTCTCCAGGTCTGGGACAGAAAATGTTCAAGATGAGCCTAGAATATTTTGTCATGGCAGAAAGCAAGAAAGCTCTTAAGGAGTGCTAAGGCCATGTCATAAGGATTCAGGACCAAAGCAGCTTTTAAAGAGGCTTCCACTAGCCCGAGTTGAGACAGTAAGAAAAACAAATGCAGTGGATTGAAACAATACAAATATTTTTAAATTCATGGGTTCATAATGACACTAAAGAAACTCACTCACTAGTTCTCTCAAGAAGATATGAGAGAACCAATTCATTATTTGGAAACTGGTAAATGTAACTCCTCTAGCCCTGCTTATTCTTTTTTTTTTTTTTTGAGATTTTGAGTCTTGCTCTATGGCCCAGACTGGAGTGCAGTGGCGTGATCTCAGCTCACTTCAACCTCCACCTCCCGGGTTCGAGAGAGATTCTCCTGCCTCATCCTCCCGAGTAGCTGGGATCACCGGCGCCCACAACCACACCCGGCTAATTTTTGTACTTTTAGTGGAGACAGGGTTTCACCATGTTGGCTAGGCTGGTCACAAACTCCCGACCTCAGGTTATCCATCTGCCTTGGCCTCCCAAAGTGCTGGGATTACAGGCGTGAGCCCCCGCACCTGGCCAAGATCAGCTAGTAAGTTCTTAATTGCTGAAGCTGAATAATGAGTATAGGGTTCATTCACACCATATTTGTGTATATTTGAAAATTTTCATAACAAGTTAAAATAACATTGAGCGTGCATTTAAAAAGTGGAAAATAAATGGGCTATTTATTTACACTTTTACAAGTTTTTTTAACATTAAAATAAACACTACATTTTAATTTACCTTTTTACTGAGCCTTTGATTTTCTTTTTCCATTTTCAGGATTTTGGAAGCATTGCCTTCTACAGAATCCACAGTAGTCCGAAGCTCTTCTACGGTTTTTGTCAAACTTTGATTTTCCATCTCTAGCTTCAATAATCTACTTGATGTCAACTCATTCACCTCATGGCCCAGGGATTTCTGGGGTGCTATAATATTGAAAAATACACCATTGTATTTACTCTTTACTGTTTTTACTATGTTTACTCTTTACTATTTAAAAAGTTGAGTGTATATGCATTGCATCATCTGATCCTTAACTTTATTAAAAATTCAATGAGGTTATATAAGATAAACAAGATAAAAGAAGTAAATCTTTTTTTTCCTTTTCTTTTTTTCTTTTTTTTAAAGAGACGGGGTCTCTCTCTGTCACCCAGGCTGGAGTGCAGTGATGTGCTCCTAGCTCACTGCAGCCTCAAACGCCTGGTCTGAAGGGATCCTCCCACCTCAGTCTCCCAAGCGGCCGGGACTGCAGGTACAGCCAGCTAATTTTTTTATTTTTTAGTAAAGACTGGGTCTCTGTTACTTAGGCTGGTCTCGAACTCCTGAGCTCAAGCAATCCTCCTGCCTTGGCCTCCCAAAGTGCTGGGATTACAGGCATGAGCCGCTGCACCCAGCTAAGAGATACATGTTTAACTTTTAATGCATCCACAGCATTCTAGTTAAAAAAAGCATAAAATTTAGATTGAAGAAATTGGAGTTCAAGCAGACCCATTAAATATTTTGCTGATATAAGAACATTAGGATTTACAAATGAAATATGAGACCTACTATTTCAAGAAAGGAAATGAATAAAGGTACTGGAGAGAATTTCCGGGTCTGCTTTTGTGTATGTTTCAAATTCTTCTTCATAAAAACCAAAGAAATACACGCACATCCAACATATCCCCCACCATGCAAAAAATCTCTTCAAAATTAGATAAGCAAATAACCTCCATATTTAAGTAAAGAAAATCTCAATTTTTATTTCCAGCTTTTCTAGTCATCATGTTGTTAATCTTTTACTGAAAGCTGGTATACCGAATAGTTACTAACTTTTAAAATTCCATTAGTTGCCTAAGTCTTTTTTTTAATTAAAAGATTATTTAAATTTAACTATAAACTTACAGGATACATTATTCTAAGTAGCAACTAATGAACGATTAAATGAATTTTGAAAATACACTACTACTTATTTTGGCTAAAAGTTCAAAATGAATATTCTGAACACGCTGAAATTATTTTAAAATCTTTAATCCAGTTCCATTCATTATCCCTTTATAAATTTATTCTGTTGTATGATATCTATTAAAACACAGTATAGAAACAGTTTAAATACATATTATTCCCTAAGAGTAGCATTATTGTTAATCTACCTGTATTAGGTGTTTTTAAATAGTCACTATGATACACAATAGATCTCTTAAACTTATTCTCATCTAAGTGAAATTTTGTGTCCTTTGACCAACATCTTCCCAATACCCTCAACTCCTCAGCCTCTGGTAACAACCATTTTATTCTCTGTTTCTATGAGTCTGAATTTTTTTTGATACCACATATAAATGAGATCATGCACTATTGTCTTTCTGTGCCTAGCTTAGTTCACTTAACATAATGCCCTTGAAGTTCATCCATATTGTTGCAAATGACAGAATTTCTTTCTTTTTTTTTTTTTTTTTTTTTTTGAGACAGAGTCTTGCTCTGTCACCCAGGCTGGAGTGCAGTGGCATGATAGTGGCTCACTGCAACCTCTGCCTCTCGGGTTCAAGCGATTTTCCTGCTTCAGCTCCCAAGCAGCTGGGACTACAGGCGCGCGCCACCACGCTCAGCAAATTTTTTTTGTATTTTCAGTAGAGACGGGGTTTCATCATGTTGGCCAGGATGGTCTTGACCTCGTGATCTGCCCGCCTCGGCCTCCCAGAGTGCTGGGATTACAGGTGTGAGCCACCATGCCCGGCACTCCCCGCCCCCTTTTTTTTTTTCTGGGACAGAGTCTCACTGTGTCACCTAGGCTGGAGTGCAATAGGATGATCTCAGCTCACTGCAACTTCTGCCTCACGGGTTCAAGAGGTTCTCCTGCCTCAGCCTCCCAAGTAGCTGGGATCACAGGTGTGCGCCACCATGCCTGGCTAATTTTTGTATTTTCAGCAGAGACGGGGTTTCACCATATTGGTCAGGCTGGTCTTGAACTCTTGACCTCGTGATCCACCCGCCTCGGCCTCCCAAAGTGCTGGGATTACAGGTGTGAGCCACTGCACCTGGCCAGAATTTCATTCTTTTTATGACTGACAAATATTCCATTATGTATATAAACCACGTTTTCTTTATCCATCATTTCATTGACAGACACAGGTTGATTCCATATCTTGACATTTGTGAATAATGCTGC